>NC_000016.10:56380682-56683712 GCF_000001405.40 Homo sapiens
AATCTCTTAAGGCAGGGGCAACATGCTGCCATTCTCTTTGCTAAAACATGACAAGAGTCACCCTTGCTCCAGTTCCCAACAAGTTCCTCATCTCCATTTGAGACCACCTCAGCCTTGATTTCATTGTCCATATCATTATCAGTATTTTGGTTAAAGCCATTCAACAAGTCTCTAGGGAGTTCCAAACTTTCCCACATTTTCCTGTCTTCTCCTGAGCCCTCCAAACTGTCCCAACCCCTGTTAGCTAGTTTCAAAGTCACTTCCACATTTTCAGGTATCTACAGCAGCACCCCACTCCTGGTACCAATTTACTGTATTAGTCCATTTTCATGCTGCTAATAAAGACATACCCAAGACTGGATGATTTACAAAAGAAAGAGGTTTAATGGACTTACAGTTCCACATGGCTGGGGAGGCCTCATAATCATGGTGGAAGGCAAGGAGGAGCAAGCCATATCTTACATGGATGGCAGCAGGCAAAGAGAGAGAGCTTGTGCAGGGAAATCCTCTTTATAAAACCATCAGATCTTGTGAGACTTATTCACTATCACAAGAACAGCATGGGAAAGACCTGCCCCCATGATTCAACTACCTCCCACTGGGTACCTCCCACAACACGTGGGAACTCAAGAGGAAATGTGGGTGGGGACACAGTCAAACCATATCAGCATTTAACCAAGGAAGTTATGAACTTACGTCTACATAAAAACCTGCACATAAATGTTTATAGCAGCTTTATTCATAACTGCCAAAACCTGGAAGCAACCAAGATGTCCTTAAGTAGGTGAACGAATTAACAAATTGTGGTATATCCAGACAATGGAATATTATTTGGTGCTAACAAGAAATGAGCTATCAATCCCTTAAAGATATAAAGGAAACATACATGCAAATAATTAAGTGAAAGAAGCCATCTAAAAAGGCTACATACTGCAGGATTCCACCTGTATGACATTCTGGAATAGGCAAAGCTATGAAGATAGTAAAAAGATCAGTGGTTGCTAGAGGCTAGGGGGAGGAAAGGAAAGGCAGAGTGCATACAGAATCTTTAGGGCAGTGAAAAGACTGTATCATGTGGATACGTGTCACTATATATTTGTCCAATCCTATAGAGGGAACACAAATGTAAATTATGGACTTTGGGTGATTATGATGTGCCAACACAGGTTTATCAACTCTATCAAACATACCCTCTGCTGAGGGATGTTGATAATGGGGAAGGCTGTGTGTGTGTGGGCACAGGAGGCATACAGAAAATCTCTGTACCTTCTTCTTAATTTTGCTGTAAGCCTAAAACTGCTCTAAAAAATTAGTCTTAAAAACAAACAAAAAAGACTCATGAGTATTCAAAAGAATTAGAAGCAGGGTCTCAAAGAAATATATGCCTACTCATGTTCACAGTAGCATTATTCACGATAGCTAAAATGTGGAAGCAATGTGAGTGTCCAACGACAGATTAATAGATAAATAAAATGTGGTATATGCATACAATGAAATATTACTCAGCCTTAAAAAGGAAGAAAATTCTGACTTGTGCTACAACGTGGATGAACCATGATGACATTATGCTAAGTGAAATAAGCCAGTCACAAAATGACAAATATTGTAGAATTCTACTTATATGAGGTACCTACGTAGTTAAACTCATAGAGAAAGCAAGTAGCATAATGGTTGCCAAAGGCTAGAGGGAGGGGAGAATTAGTAGTTAATTGTTTAATGGGTATAGAGCAAGGGTATCCAATATTTTGGCTTCCCTGGGCCACACTGGAAGAAGAATTGTCTTGAGCCACACATAAAAATACTAACACTAACGATAGCTGATGAGCTAAAAAAAAAAAAAAAAAAAAAAAAAGGCAAAAAAATCTCATAGTTTTAAGAAAGTTTACAAATTTGTGTTGGGCTGCATTCAAAGCTGTCCTGGGCCACATGCAGCCTGCAGGTTGGACAGGCTTGGTACAAAGTTTCGATTGTGCAAGATGAAAAGAGTTCTGTAGATGGACAGTGGTGATAGTTGCACAATGTGAATACACCACTGAAATGCACATCTGAAAAATATTAAAACAGTAGATATAACGTATTTTACTAAAATAGAAAAATCGAAAAAAAAATTCACTTTCTTATTTTTTTCTGTCTGAAAAAGAGTAGCATTGGCTTGTATGTGCCTATAAGCCTTCTGGAGCAACATAATACATAAGAAACTAACCCAGGCTGTTAAGGGGGCGTGGGAGCTGGGCACATGGGAAAAGGAAGGGAGCATGACTTCACTGTATACTCCTCTCTAGGTTCTGAAACTTGTAAATAAATGACCTATTCAAAAACCTTAAACAAACGAAAACACTTCCCTGGATGCTACACCCTATCAAGCTACCACCTCTACTGCTCTGTGTCCTTCTTCATAACATACTTCCTGGTATGGTCTATTTCTTCAGCTCCCACTCATTTCAATCTACCATAATCTACTGTCCAACCCCTCGGGCAATGGAAAATGCTGGTTCTTTTCCAGCTAATCAATCACTCCCACTCTGCCAAATCCAACATGCACTTCTATGAGCTCATCTTGTAAGAATTCCACACGCTTGACTCTTCCCTCCTGGAAACCCAACTCCTCTGTGCTGTGCTGCCACCTTCTCCTGGTCTCTTCCCTCTCCACCGGCTGTCATGGCTCCTCCCTCTCTGCCAGACCTCTGAACATGGCAGAACCTAGAGCTCAGATGTCAGCCCTCTTCTCTTTGACCCCCTGCTTTAGATGTCACCTCCAGGCGTCAATCTCCCAAATGTGCATCTCTCACTTGATCTCCTCACTGAGGTCCAGAACTGCCCACAGAGCAACCCAGACTTACCCAAATAGAACACCGCGACCCATCCTCATGCCTGTTCCTCCCGAGTCTTCGCATCTCAGTACGTGGTACCACTGTCAACTCAGCTGCTTAATTCAAACTCAGCAAGGCAGCTTCCATTCAGCCACTTCTCTCATCCCCCATATCCAACCAAAGCACCAAGTCCTGCCAGCTCATCTTACAAAAGTGTCCTAAACCTGCCACTTATTTTCACCTTTATTACAAATACCCCTGTCCAAGCCCCCATGTGAATTTCCCTTGACTACTGCAGCAACATCCTAACTGCTGGTCCTGCTGCTTCCATTTCTGACCCTCTATAATTCATCCTTCTCCCAGAAGCAAAATCATTCTGTTAAATATCCTGTCAGTCCCCTGGTGGTGGTGGTGGGGGTCTGTAAGAAGCTCTGAATGGCCTTCTAATACTTTTACAAGATCTAAATTTGCCTGTGGCCTATAAGACCCTGCATGTTCTGGCTCTGAAATCTCAATTCCTATCACAGTGTTGTTCCCCTACTTGCCAGGCCCCAACCATAATGACCTTTCTCAGTTCCTAGAACTTTCTCACCTCATAGCCTTTGCACCTACTGTTTCCACGGCCTCCTTCCCCCTGATCCAGCTCCATCTCATCCTTCATGTTTTAGCTTACATATTACCCCTCAGAGAGAACATCTCCAAATGCCTCCTCTAAAATGTTTCCTCTGGCCTCTACCCACCCACTCCACCACACTGCCTACCTTACTGCTGCCAGAGCACTCATCACCATCAGCAGTCACCTTATTTATATTTATGACCTGTCTCCCCAGTTAGTATCTACCCTACTTGAGAGTAAGACTTGTGTCTACCTTAATGACATTGCAGGTGCTATGCTCACTACAGTGCCTGTCTCAGGAACAGGTTCTCAGTTCAAATTTGTTCAATCAATCAATAAAGATTAACTAATTAACGAATGAACCAATGACCTTCCAAAGCACTGGCTGGGCTTATCCAGGTCAGCCAGAGGCCCTAATCCAAGCAGGACTAAGGTGGTTTGCACTGGATTTCAACAATGGTGAAACACGTTTCTCCATCATTGTAAAATAACACATTCCTTTGGAAAAATACAAAGAAACTTGAAGTATTCAAACAATATCCTTGAGCCAACAGCACGCCTCAACATTTCAAGGCATATACACACATGCATACATACACACACACACACACACACACACACACACACACTCAATTTTTGGAGGTGAGGGAGGAAAAGATGGGGAACAAAAACACACATTTGGTGAGCCTCATGCAATTTTTTTTTTTTTTGAGACAGAGTTTCACTCTTGTTGCTCAGACTGGAGTGTAATGGCCTAATCTCGGCTCACTGCAACCTCCACCTCCCAGGTTCAAGCAATTCTCCTGCCTCAGCCTCCCAAGTAGCTGGGATTACAGGTGCATGCCAACATGCCCAGCAAATTTTTGTATTTTTAGTAGAGACAGGGTTTCACTATATGGGCCAGGCTGGTCTCGAACTCTTGACCTCAGATGATCCACCTGCCTCAGCCTCCCAAAGTGCTGGGATTACAGGCATGAGCCACCATGCCCAGTCTCTTTGCTTTTTTTAGAGATGGGGTCTCACTCTGTCACCCAGGCTGTAGTGCAATGGTGTGAGCACAGCTCACTGCAGCCTCAAACTCCTGGGCAATCAAGCCATCTGCCTGCCTCGGCCTCACAAAGCTCTAGGATTACAGGAGTGAGCCACTGTGCCCAGCCTCATAAAATTTTTAATAAAAGGCACATCATTCACTCCAGCCGATAATTCCCCAACATATTTTGGCTAAAGGCTGTACGCAGTGGCTCACGCCTGTAATCCAAGCACTTTGGGAGGCCAAGGCGGATGGATCACTAAGGCCAGGAGTTCGAGACCAGACTGGCCAACATGGTGAAACCTCGTCTCTACAAAAATTAGCCAGGCATGGTGGTCCACGCCTATAATCCCAGCTACTCAGGAGGCTGAGGTAAGAGAATTGCTTGAACTCAGGAGGTAGAAGGTGCAGTGAGCCAAGATCGCACCACTGCACTCTAAGCCTGGGCAATGAAGGAAGACCCTGCCTCCAGAAAAAAAAATTTTTTTTTTTTTTGGCTAAAATCGAAGGAGTCCCAAGGTAGGCCTAGATCACAACAGAGTGAACCTAGTAGTGTTCAGAAAAGGTTAGATTATCCGCCACAGAAATAAAATGAACGTTTCAAAATTTAAAACACAGGAATGTAAATGGTCCCAGTAAATAAAAAGAAGCCCCTAAAAATCCTTCCACTCTGCCAGAGCAGAGTAAGACCAACAAGGTCATATACCCGGCACACACGCTCTAGCTGTTCTTTCCCTCCTAATTCCCAGTGATCTTCTTAAAGCAGCTAGCAGACCTTACCATTGCATTGAGCTGGGAGTTGCTGGCCTGCGTAATGCCAAGAATGTTGGTGGTGTGCATCACTTCAACCGAAAAACTCGGCAGCCAGCTCGCAATCCGAGACCCTGAAACAAACAAGAATCCAGTGTAAGTTTCAGAGCCCTGACTCTTTCCCCCGTCATCTGCTCTCACGGTAGCCACTGTAATGGCTGGTGTTCACTGAGGGCTTCTTGTATGGCAGGCTTCTCATGCCAAGTGTTTCACGTGGACTAGCTCATTTAATCCTCACTACACTCCACATGGTACCTCCTATTATCATTCTTATAGTATCCTTCTCAAAGATATAGCACTAGTACCCTTGGTCTTTGGTCTCTGAGGCACTTAGAAGTTAGGGGACTTGTCCAAGATCACACAGTTTAACTATGATGGCCAAGATGTGAAGCCAGACAGGCAAGCTCTAGAACCCTTCACTGCTGAGCAATCCTGCTTTCCAGGGGGGCTGGATGCAGCCCAGCCCAGCGCCCTCACACGCTCAGCCTGGGAGATGAGGAAGCTTTTCAAGGCTCTAAAGCTTCTACAACACATGAGCTTTGGCTCCTCTTTCACAAGCTACACAAATGACTACTCACTTGGAGGCATTTTCACATTTACTTTTAGGAAGTATTTTTTCTTTAATCTTAAAAGCCGTGGTTTTCTGATTCAAAATTCTTTTTAAATTGTTCTATTCTACAAAAAGGCTTGTAGACTAACAGCACCAAGAAGTCTGCTGCTTCTGTTATTTCCCGAAGAAAACAGGAGCCTAAGATACAACAGCACCAAGAATTGGCTGTAAAACAACCCAATTATCAAGCTACACATTTAAGGCTGCTTTTCATTCCTTCACAAAGAAACACTGATGCATGGAACAGAAAATCAAGTGTGGCCAGGAGCAGTGGCTCACGCCTGTAATCCAGCACTTTGGGAGGCTAAGGCGGGCAGATCACAAGGTCAGGAGATCAAGACCATCTTAGCCAAAATGGTGAAACCCTGTCTCTACTAAAAATACAAAAATTAGCCAGGCATGGGGGCACGTGCCTGTAATCCCAGCTACTTGGGAGGCTGAGGCAGGAGAATCACTTGAACCAGGGAATCAGCGGTTGCATTGAGTTGAGATCACGCCACCGCACTCCAGCCTGGCAACAGGGCAAGACTCCATCTCAAAAAAAAAAAAAAAATCAAGTGGAATGGCTATCTCAAAGGTCTTGAGATGGGTACAAACAAAACGTACCCATTTAAGAAATGGATACTTATTTCATGTACTAACTAGGGAGAAATAAAGTTGACTTTATCTATTTTGACTAAATTTTTAGTAGTCATAATTCACAAAATAATGGATTACATAGCCAGGTCTCATCTCTAATATTGCTAGTATATTTCAGAAGTTTTACCTGGAAGAGCCCTTCATTCACAGCCACCAAACCAGGTCCTCTAAACCCCTCTAGCATTCTGGGCCCAGCCAGCCAAGTAGCCCCACCTACTCTTCTGGGAGACATGACTCTACTCCCCCTAGTCCCTTCTTTGAGGGATTTCACCAACACGACACCATCCCCACTGTACTCCATTCTTGAAACTCAAATCAGGGATGCGAATAGCACTACTGCTAACAAAATTCCAGGGATGCTTGTGTTACAGTAATAATTATAAACATGAACTCACAGAATTTAGCAGTACTGGACTGTTGAAAATCAACAGCAGCTTAATGTGAATTAAGGAAGGATGATCAACCAGACCTTGATATGTCATAGCCTTAGAATTTTAAGTGTGGTTTTCATTACAACTCCTTTTAACACTGCCGGGAGGCAGAACATTTATATTTTATGGACAAAGCAACAGGGTTCCAGCTCTGATTCTGCTTCTGGTACTCACCAGAAAGGCTTCTCAATGATCCTTCATTATATGCTTAAATGCTACACAAATGCAATATATTATTAGCAAAGGTTAACTATTGAGCTAATTAAGTGTGCTCCTTGAAGGCATGGTTGATTCAGTTTTACTCCTCCACCCTCCTGCCCCACCCTGCCCATATTGACATGGAATCAGGCAAAATGCCTGGAACCCCTCTGTTTGTTCTATCTCTATCCATCCATCCATCCATCCCACCTAAACACTTTCAATTAAAATTGAAATACAGTCAATGCGTAGCTTAACAACAGGGACACATTCTGAGAAATGTGTTGTTAGGTGATTTCATTGTTGTGCGAACATCATAGAGTATATTTACATAAACCTAAATGGTATAGCTTACTACACACCTAGGCTATACGATATAGTCTATTGTTCTAGGCTACAATCCTGTACAGCATGTTACTATACTGAATGCTGTAGAGGCAATTATAACACAGTGCTAAGTATTTGTGTATCTAAACATATCTAACAGAAAACATACAGTAAAAATATGGTACACAAAAAGTACACCTGCATAGGGCACTTACCAGGAATGAAGCTTGCATGATTAAGGCTGCTCTGGGTGAGTCAGTGAGTGGTGAAATGTGAAGGCCTAGGACATTACTGTGAACTCCTGCAGACTTTATAAACACTGTACACTTAGGCTACACTAAATTCATGACAAAATGTTTCTTTCTATATTCAATAAATTAAATTTAGCTTACTATAAGTTTTTTACTTCATAATCTTAATTTTTTTAACTTTTTGACTCTTGTAGTAACACTTAGCTTAAAATTCAAACACCCTGTACAGCTGTCGAAAATATTTTCTTTTTTATTCTATAAGAGTTTTTCTATTTCTAAAAGTTTTAATTTTACTTTTTAAATTTTTTTGGCTAAAAACTAAGATACAAACACACGCATTAGCCTAAGCCTACACAGGTCAGGAGCATCAGTATCACTGTCGACCACCTCCACCTCCTGTCCCACTGGAACGTCTTCAGGGGCAGTAACACGCATGGAGCTGTCATCTCCTAGAATAACAATACCTTATTTTGGAATACCTCCTGAAGGACCTGCCTGAGGCTGCTTTACAGTAAATTTTTTTTGTATGTAAGTATGAGTACACTTTAAAATAATGATAAAAACTGTAGTAAATACCAGACTACAGGAATTTTTTAGGTCCATTATCATCTTATGGGACCACTGCCATATATATGGTTTGCCATGGAGTGAAATGTCGTTATGGGGCACATGACTGTATAATATTAAACTGGTCTATACAGGGCAATTTATAACTAAAATAGTATCTGCTTAAGGGAGAACACCCCTTAGGTATAGTTTCAGAGGTTGAAACCAACTAACCATCGAAATGGAAGAAGTGATTGTGTTGGTTTAAGCGAGGTCTCCCTTCGGCTGCTGCTACAGGAACCAAATTCTCATCCAAGTTCTCTCCTTGATGTTCTTCCCTGACACGATTATTGTCGGCAATATTAAGAGACATTCTGCATGTTGGACAGGAGGTGTCTTGTTCTAGCCAGGAACGAAGACAGGAGCTACCAAAAAGTCCAAAAGAAGATACGTCAGCATCCTTGATTGTTCCTTAGCATACTTTGTGAGAATTCACCCAGAAGTACTCTGGATATATCAAATGTGCTCCAATTTGATTTTCTCTCTACCACTAGTGAGATTTAAGTGTTGAGAAGCATTTATGGACTTTACCTACTTGCCCTACTTCACTTTAATACACTTCCAGTGTGTCCTGCTGGGAACATGAATTCTTTACCATATGAAGTCATCTACCAAGCTCCTCGTTGTGACCCCTCTTCAATGGGGCTTCCTAGCATGGCTCACCATCTTCTCATCCAACTCCATTTGGCTACTTCAAAATCCATGTGGCTGAATCATCCAACACCCTGGCCTCTCATGTCCTTGAGTCCTCCACTCTGACGCTCATGTCTTTCACTCTGCTTTAGCTACCACCAGCACAGTCATCACCTTGGCTTGTCTTCAAAATCTTGATGTCAAAATTCTCACTCATTCACTCAAGCTCCTCTCCTTCCAACTCACTTATCTGGCACCAAACTTACTAAGACCTCCCATCTGCTTTCTCCTCAAGCATGACAGCCGTACAGGTCCTTACCTCCCTGTTCCCCTGGCTCACCTCTAACCTCTCCTCTCCATTCACCACCTCAATGTCCTCCACCCTCTTCTCTTTGCACGCTGTTTTCCCAACAAGGCCGAAGCTTCTTTTGCCCTCTCTCAGGAGATGATAATGCCTTAATTATGGTAGACATTCAATAAATACTTGAGGTGTCCATTAAAGAAAGGAAAGGGTACTAGAGTAAGAAGCAGAAAATGTGAGATCAGTCCCAATTCTCCCTCTAACTAGCTGTGTGATCCAGGCAAACCCTTCAACCTCTATTGACTAGTCCTCTCCACTAAAGAATGAAATGGCTGGATGAATTAATCTCCAAGGTCCCTCCCATTTTATGAGAATTTGTTATCTTTCTCTAAGGGCTCAAGTAGGCACTGAATAAAAATGCTGTATCTTCTTTTAAATATCTACGAACATGTGTAGATATAAAGTTATAAAGGAAAACCTCACCATAATATGATAATCCTCAGAGTCTCCAGCAACTAAATGGTACATAAGTAACAGGAGTTTCCTAGAGGCCAAGATGGAGCTACTTCTTAATCACTCTGTGTCATAAGAGTGTGTGACAGTCGTGTTCCAAAATAATGTCATCTGTCTGTATGTGTATACCCAACTCTCATATTTTGCAATAATTAAATACCTATAATTTGTATGTGATAATTTAGTCAAATAAATGATTTTTTTAAGTCCAATTCTCCTACTGACACCTTTAAATCACACCACTAGTATAATAAAATTAGCCTTGTGGGAGATTATAAAAATATGTAAGATCCTTGCCTTCCAATAATGCTACACTGTGACATACTTTTTATAAGCAAATCTAAATTTATTTCACAGAGTGCAAAATCCTCCCACATAAAATATAACAGCCTAAAAACTCCAAGGTGAGTACAACTAGTTAGATATAGTTTTCTGTTTAAAAAAAAAAAAAAATGCTAGAGTTCCTTAACTGAGAGAAATCAAACTTTAGAGAGAAAACAGATCTATTCACTGGACTCTGAAATGTTGCAAAAATATCCTCTACAGCAACAAATTATCTAGCTATTGTGCCTGCAGGAATATAGACATTACCTTTATCACAAATTAAAATGAATTTGCCTTAGATTCTCAGCACACAATCATTCCGGAAGTTACAAAGCAAAGCAAACCAAGAGCATATCCTAACAACTATTTGTTCACTCAACCCGAGGCAGATAAGTGTTTTAAAATTAAATCCTAACTCTTAAGCAACCACTGAGTAAAGAAGAAATCATGGGTTCCAAGATGGCCGAATAGGAACAGCTCCAGTCTACAGCTCCCAGCATGAGTGACGCAGAAGATGGGTGATTTCTGCATTTCCAACTGAGGTACCAGGTTCATCTCACTGGGGCTTGTCGGACAGTGGGTGCAGCGCACCGAGCATGAGCCGAAGCAGGGCAAGGCATCGCCTCACCCGGGAAGCGCAAGGGGTCAGGGAATTCCCCTTCATAGCCAAGCAAAGCTGTGACAGACTGCACCTGGAAAATCAGGTCACTCCCACCCTAATACTGTGCTTTTCCAATGGTCTTAGCAAATGGCACACCAGGAGATTATATCCTGCGTGTGGCTCGGAGGGTCCCATGCCCACGGCTCGGAGGGTCCCATGCCCACGGAGCCTCGCTCGTTGCTAGCACAGCAGTGTGTGATTGAACTGCAAGGTGGCAGCGAGGCTGGGGGAGGGGTGCCCACCATTGCTGAGGCTTGAGTAGGTAAACAAAGCAGCCGGGAAGCTCGAACTGAGTGGAGCCCACCGCACCTCAAGGAGGCCTGCCTATAGACTCCACCTCTGGGGGCAGGGCATAGCAGAACAAAAGGCAGCAGAAACCTCTGCAGACTTAAATGTCCCTGTCCGACAGCTTTGAAGAGAGTAGTCGTTCTCCCAGCATGGAGTTTGAGATCTGAGAATGGACAGACTGCCTCCTCAAGTGGGTCCCTGACCCCCGAGTAGCCTAACTGCGAGGCACCCCCCAGTAAGGGCAGACTGACACTTCACACGGCGGGGTACCCCTCTGAGACAAAACCTCCAGAGGAACCATCAGACAGCAACATTTGCTGTTCAGCAATATTCACTGTTCTGCAGCCTCCACTGCTGATACCCAGGCAAACAGGGTCTGAAGTGGACCTCCAGGAAACTCCAACAGACCTGCAGCTGAGGGTCCTGACTGTTAGGAGGAAAACTAACAAACAGAAAGGACATCCACACCAAAACCCCATCTGTACGTCACCATCATCAAAGACCAAAGGTAGATAAAACCACAAAGATGGGGAAAAACCAGAACAGAAAAACTGAAAATTCTAAAAATCAGAGTGCCTCTCCTCCTCCAAAGGAATGCAGCTCCTCACCAGCAACAGAACAAAGCTGGACAGAGAATGACTTTGACAAGTTGAGAGAAGAAGGCTTCAGACAATCAAACTTCTCCAAGCTAAAGGAGGAAGTTTGAACCCATCGCAAAGAAGTTAAAAACCTTGAAAAAAGATTAGACGAATGGCTAACTAGAATAACCAATGCAGAGAAGTCCTTAAAGGACCTGACGGAGCTGAAAACCATGGCACGAGAACTACGTGACGAATGCACAAGCTTCAGTAGCCAATTCCATCAACTGGAAGAAAGGGTATCAGTGATTGAAGATCAAATGAATGAAATGAAGCAAGAAGAGAAGTTTAGAGAAAAAGGAATAAAAAGAAGTGAACAAAGCCTCCAAGAAATATGGGACTATATGGAAAGACCAAATCTATGTCTGATTGGTGTACCTGAAAGTGACGGGGAGAATGGAATCAAGTTGGAAGACACTCTGCAGGATATTATCCAGAAGGACTTCCCCAACCTAGGAAGGCAAGCCAACATTCAGATTCAGGAAATACAGAGAATGCCACAAAGATACTCCTCGAGAAGAGCAACTCCAAGACACATAATTGTCAGATTCACCAAAGGTGAAATGAAGGAAAAAATGTTAAGGGCAGCAAGAGAGAAAGGTCGGGTTACCCACAAAGGGAAGCCCATCAGACTAACAGCTGATCTCTCAGCAGACACTCTACAAGCCAGAAGAGAGTGGGGGCCAATATTCAACATTCTTAAAGAAAAGAATTTTCAAGCCAGAATTTCATATCCAGCCAAACTAAGCTTCATAAGTGAAGGAGAAATAAAATACTTTACAGACAAGCAAATGCTGAGAGATTTTGTCACCACCAGGTCTGCCCTAAGAGCTCCTGAAGGAAGCACTACACATGGAAAAGAACAACCGGTACCAGCCACTGCAAAAACATCCCAAATTGTAAAGACCATCGAGGCTAGGAAGAAATTGCATCAACTAACGAGCAAAATAACCAGCTAACGTCATAATGACAGGATCAAATTCACACATAACAATATTAACCTTAAATGTAAATGGGCTAAATGCTCCAATTAAAAGACACAGACTGGCAAATTGGATAGTCAAGACCCATCAGTGTGCTGTATTCAGGAAACCCATCTGACGTGCAGTGACACACATAGGCTCAAAATAAAGGGATGGAGGAAGATCTACCAAGCAAATGGAAAACAAAAAAAGGCAGAGATTGCAATCCTAGTCTCTGACAAAACAGACTTTAAACCAACAATGGTCAAAAGAGACAAAGAAGGCCATTACATAATGGTAAAGGGATCAATTCAACAAGAAGAGCTAACTATCCTAAATATATATGCACCCAATACAGGAGCACCCAGATTCATAAAGCAAGTCCTTAGAGACCTACAAAGAGACTTAGACTCCCATACAATAATAATGGGAGACTTTAACACCCCACTGTCAACATTAGACAGATCAACGAGACAGAAAGTTAACAAGGATACCCAGGAATTGAACTCAGCTCTGCACCCAGCAGACCTAATAGACATCTACAGAACTCTCCACCACAAATCAACAGAATATACATTCTTCTCACCACCACACCACACCTATTCCAAAATTGACCACATAGTTGGAAGTAAAGCACTTCTCAGCAAATGTAAAAGAACAGAAATCATAACAAACTGTCTCTCAGACCACAGTGCAATCAAACTAGATCTCACGATTAAGAAACTCACTCAAAACCGCTCAACTACATGGAAACTGAACAACCTGCTCCTGAATGACTACTGGGTACATAACAAAATGAAGGCAGAAATAAAGATGTTCTTTGAAACCAACGAGAACAAAGACCCAACATACCAGAATCTCTGGGACACATTTAAGGCAGTGTGTAGAGGGAAATTTATAGCACTAAATGCTCACAAGAGAAAGCAGGAAAAATCTAAAACTGACACCCTGACATCAGAATTAAAAGAACTAGAGAAGCAAGAGCAAACACATTCAAAAGCTAACAGAAGGCAAGAAATAACTAAGATCAGAGCAGAACTGAAGGAGATAGAGACACAAAAAACCCTTCAAAAAAATCAGTGAAGCCAGGAGCTGGTTTTTTCAAAAGATCAACAAAATTGATAGACTGCTGGCCGGGCGCAGTGGCTCACGCCTGTAATCCCAGCACTTTGGGAGGCCGAGGCAGGTGGATCATGAGGTCAGGAGATCGAGACCATCCTGGCTAACAAGGTGAAACCCCGTCTCTACTAAAAATACAAAAAATTAGCCGGGCGCGGTGGCGGGCGCCTGTAGTCCCAGCTACTGGGGAGGCTGAGGCAGGAGAATGGCGTGAACCCGGGAAGCGGAGCTTGCAGTGAGCCGAGATTGCGCCACTGCAGTCCGCAGTCCGGCCTGGGCGACAGAGCGAGACTCCGTCTCAAAAAAAAAAAAAAAAATTGATAGACTGCTAGCAAGACTAATAAAGAAGAAAAGAGAGAAGAATCAAACAGATGCAGTAAAAAATGATAAAGGGGATATCACCACCGATCCCACAGAAATACAAACTACCATCAGAGAATATTATAAACACCTCTATGCAAATAAACTAGAAAATCTAGAAGAAATGGATAAATTCCTCGACACATACACCCTCCCAAGACTAAACCAGGAAGAAGTTGAATCTCTGAATAGACCAATAACAGGCTCTGAAATTGAGGCAATAATTAATAGCTTACCAACCAAAAAAAGTCCAAGACCAGACGGATTCACAGCCGAATTCTACCAGAGGTACAAGGAGGAGCTGGTACCATTCCTTCTGAAACTATTCCAATCAATAGAAAAAGAGGGAATCCTCCCTAACTCATTTTATGAGGCCAGCATCATCCTGATACCAAAGCTGGGCAGAGACACAACAAAAAAAGAGAATTTTAGACCAATATCCCTGATGAACATCGATGCAAAAATCCTCAATAAAATACTGGCAAACCAAATGCAGCAGCACATCAAAAACCTTATCCGCCATGATCAAGCTGGCTTCATTCCTGGGATGCAATGCTGGTTCAACATACGCAAATCAATAAATGTAATCCAGCATATAAACAGAACCAAAGACAAAAACCACATGATTATCTCAATAGATGCAGAAAAGGCCTTCTACAAAATTCAACAGCCCTTCATTCTAAAAACTCTCAATAAATTAGGTATTCATGGGAAGTATCTAAAAATAATAAGAGCTATTTATGACAAACCCACAGCCAACATCATACTGAATAGGCAAAAACTGGAAGCATTCCCTTTGAAAACGGGCACAAGACAGGGATGCTCTCTCTCACCACTCCTATTCAACACAGTGTTGGAATTTCTGGCCAGGGCAATCAGGCAGGAGAAAGAAATAAAGGGTATTCAATTAGGAAAAGAGGAAGTCAAATTGTCCCTGTTTGCAGATGACATGATTGTATATTTAGAAAACCCCATCGTCTCAGCCCAAAATCTCCTTAAGCTGATATGCAACTTCAGCAAAGTCTCAGGACACAAAATCAATGTGCAAAAATCACAAACATTCTTATACACCAATAACAGACAAATAGAGAGCCAAATCATGAGTGAACTCCCATTCACAATTGCTTCAAAGAGAATAAAATACCTAGGAATCCAACTTACAAGGGATGTGAAGGACCTCTCTTCAAGGAGAACTACAAACTAATGCTCAACAAAATAAAAGAGGACACAAGCAAATGGAAGAACATTCCATGGTCATGGATAGGAAGAATCAATATCGTGAAAATGGCCATACTGCCCAAGGTAATTTATAGACTCAGTGCCATCCCCATCAAGCTACCAATGATTTTCTTCACAGAATTGGAAAAAACTACTTTAAAGTTCATATGGAACCAAAAGAGAGCCTGCATTGCCAAGTCAATCCTAAGCCAAAAGAACAAAGCTGGAGGCATCATGCTACCTGACTTCAAACTATACTACAAGGCTACAGTAACCAAAGCAGCATGGTACTGGTACCAAAACAGAGATATAGACCAATGGAACAGAACAGAGCCCTCAGAAACAATACCACACATCTACAGCCATCTGATCTTTGACAAACCTGACAAAAACAAGAAATGGGGAAAGGATTTCCTATTTAATAAATGGTGCTGGGAAAACTGGCTAGCCATATGTAGAAAACTGAAACTGGATCCCTTCCTTACACCTTACACAAAAATTAATTCAAGATGGATTAAAGACTTAAACGTTAGACCTAAAACCATAAAAACCCTAGAAGAAAACCTAGGCAATACCATTCAGGACATAGGCATGGGCAAGGACTTCATGTGTAAAACACCAAAAGCAATGGCAACCAAAGCCAAAATTGACAAATGGGATCTAATTAAACTAAAGAGCTTCTGCACAGCAAAAGAAACTACTGTCAGAGTGAACAGGCAACCTACAGAATGGGAGAAAATTTTTGCAATCTACTCATCTGACAAAAGGCTAATATCCAGAATCTACAAAGAACTCAAACTAATTTACAAGAAAAAAACAAACAACCCCATCAAAAAGTGGGCAAAGGATATGAACAGACACTTCTCAAAAGACACATGAAACAGCCAACAGACACATGAAAAATGGTCATCATCGCTGACCATCAGAGAAATGCCAATCAAAACCACAATGAGATATCATCTCACACCAGTTAGAATGGCGATCATTAAAAAGGAAACAACAGGTGCTGGAGAGGATGTGGAGAAATAGGAAAACTTTTACACTGTTGGTGGGACTGTAAACTAGTTTGACCATTGTGGAAGACAATGTGGCGATTCCTCAGGGATCTAGAACTAGAAATACCATTTGACCCAGCCATCCCATTACTGGGTATATACCCAAAGGAATATAAATCATGCTGCTATAAAGACACATGCACACGTTATGTTTATTGTGGCACTACTCACAATAGCAAAGACTTGGAACCAACCCACATGTCCAACAATGACAGACTGGATTAAGAAAATGTGGCACATATATACCATGGAATACCATGCAGTCATAAAAAATGATGAGTTCATGTCCTTTGTAGGGACATGGATGAAGCTGGAAACCATCATTCTCAGCAAACTATCACAAGGACAAAAAGACACACACCACATGTTCTCACTCATAGGTGGGAAGTGAACAATGAGAACAGCTGGACACAGGAAGGGGAACATCACACACCAGCACCTGTTGTGGGGTTGGGGGAGTGGGGAGGGATAGCATTAGGAGATATACCTAATGTAAATGACGAGTTAATGGGTGCAGCACACCAACATGGCACATGTATACATATGTAACAAACCTGCACATTGTGCACATGTACCCTAGAATTTAAAGTATAATAAATACATACATATATTTTATATATAATCATTTATAATATATAAATGTATCATTTATAATATATAAATGTATCATTTATAATATATAAATGTATCATTTATAATATATAAATGTATCATTTATAATATATAAATGTATCATTTATAATATATAAATGTATCATTTATAATATATAAATGTATCATTTATAATATATAAATGTATCATTTATAATATATAAATGTATCATTTATAATATATAAATGTATCATTTATAATATATAAATGTATCATTTATAATATATAAATGTATCATTTATAATATATAAATGTATCATTTATAATATATAAATGTATCATTTATAATATATAAATGTATCATTTATAATATATAAATGTATCATTTATAATATATAAATGTATCATTTATAATATATAAATGTATCATTTATAATATATAAATGTATCATTTATAATATATAACTCTATCATTTATAATATATAACTCTATCATTTATATATATAACTCTATCATTTATATATATAACTCTATCATTTATATATATAACTCTATCATTTATATATGTAACTGTATCATTTATATATGTAACTGTATCATTTATATATGTAAATGTATCATTTATATATATAAATGTATCATTTATATATATATAAATGTATCATATATATAATATATCATTATATGATACACTATGCTGCACTCCAATATTGGAGAAGTGAATATTTTGAAGGGATATGTATTTTCAAGGGATATATATATCTCTACATATATAAGGATATAGATATATATATCCCTTGAAATGTAGAGATATATGTGTATATACATATATACACCTATACACATAGATCTCTACATGTTTCTTTGATAATTTAACTGAAATTTGCTCTTATTTTAAAAATAAACTATAGTTTACCTGTAAATATACAGATATTAAAAAAAAAAATCACTTGGGAAATGAGACACTTTGAGACAAATGAAAACAAAACCACAACATATCCAAACTTATGAGATGCAGCGGAAGCAATGCTCAGAGGCCAATATGCAGCAGAAAATGCCTAAAAAGAAGAAAGCTCTCAAATCGAAAACCTAACTTTATGCCTATAGAACCAGAAAAATAGCAAACTAAACCCAAAGCCAACAGAGGTATCTAGAGTAATTCATAGAGTCAAAAAAATAGAATGGTGGTTGCCAAGGGCTTTGGGAGGAGCAGAGAGGGACTTGCTATATACTGGAGACAATTTCAGTTTCATAAGACAAAAAAGTTCTGGAGATAGATGGTGATGAAGGCTGTACAACAATGTGATTGTACTTCATGCCACCAGACCATATACTTAAAAATGACTAATGGTAAATTTTATGTTATATTTTACCAGAATAAAAAAAATATACTTAAGAATTATTACTAAAAAAAAAAACAAAATTCACCATAATAAGAAAACACTTCACACCCACGAGAATGGCTATAATAACAAAAATAGAAAATGACAAGTGTTGGCAAGAGTATGAAGAAACTAGACCCCTCAGGTATTGTTGGGGGAATATCAAGTGGTACAGCTGCTGCACCACTTTGGCGTTTCCTCAAAAGTTAAACATAGAATTATCATATGATCCAGAAATTCCACTCCTAGGCATATACCCAAAAGAAGTGAGAACAAGTCCTCAAACAGATACTTCTTACAAGCTCATGTTCCTAGCAGCATTATTCACAATAGTCAAAATGTGGAAACAACCCAAATGTCCACCAATGGATGAATGGATAAACTAATTGTTTAATTTATAAAATTATTTAAATTCACCCATAAAAAGTACTGATACATGCTACAACTTGAGTGACCTCAAAAAATACTAAGTGAAAGAGGCCAGTCACAAAAAGTCACATGTTATATGATTCCTTTATATGAAATGTCCAGAATAGGTTAATCCATAGAGACAGAAAGTGGATCAGTGGTTGCCAGGTGATGGAGAAGGAAGGAATGGAGAGCACTTACTTAGTGACTATGGGGCACTATTGTGGAGTGATAAAAAGGTTTTGAAACTAGCGAGAAGGGTGGTTGCACAACATTGTGAACACATTAACGGCAACTGAACTGTACACTTTAAAATAGTTAAATGTATGTTATCTGAATTTTGCCTCAAAGAAATTAAATCCTAAAATTAATCTAACCATATGCTTGAAAATATTATTTCTGAGCTAAAATAGAGTTATTCTGAGTTATTCTTCCCAACTAGCCTCCAAGCTCCTTAGGGGCTAACTAATTTTGAGAAATGTGTGCAAATTCCGTCTTCCCAACCTCAACAAACAGCACCACTCTCCACCCAACTGCCCAACCTGCATAACTAGAGAAACGCTGGTACCTCTTTCATTCCTCACTTTCCCTCGGCCGGTCTGGCATCACACCCTTCCTGATCCCTCAAATCTGTCTTCTCACTAACTCTACTTCTACCACCAGAGTCCAAGCTACTTTTTTGTTTTTTAGATGGAGTTTCGTTCTTGTTGCCCAGGCTGGAGTACAATGGCACGATCTCAGCTCACTGCAACCTCCACCTCCCAGGTTGAAGCAATTCTCCTACCTCAGCCTCCCAAGTACCTGGGATTACAGGCACCTGCCACTTTGCCCAGCTAATTTTTTTGTATTTTTAGTAGAGGTGGGGTTTCACCTTGTTGGTCAGGCTGGTCTCGAACTCCTGACCTCGGGTGATCCACCTGCCTCAGCATCTCAAAGTGCTGGGATTACCCCTGAACCGCTGCAGCCATTACTAACCAATCCCCCTGGATCTTTTCAAGCAGCAAATCTAACCCGCCAGTCCTTAACATTCAATAGCATCTCACCACTCCCAAAGGTCCTCCAGACCCTGCCTATGTGTCTCCTGCCTCAGCAGACACCCCTCTCCTTTACTCTCTGGGATCGGCCACACAGCTTCTCTTTTAGTCTCTTCCATTTCTTCCTGCTGCACAGATGCTCCCTCTCAAGTACCTAGTACCACGTGATCCCTCCTTTTTGTTGACTTAACTCCTACTTATCCTCAAGAGTCACTTCCTTCAAGTTTGAGTTGGATTTTTTCATTACAAGCTCTCAAGAACCATGTTCCTTTGCTTTAAAGCACTTATCTCATTGATACTTTAAAATTCATAAATATGCCTGGTTCATTCGCTTTTGACTCCTCCATTCGACTGTAAGCTACAGGAAAGCAATGACCACAGTGGTCATTTTCATTTTATCCCCAGAGCCTAACACAGCACTCAGCACATTAAAAAAAAAAAAAAAAAAAAATCTGTCAACATATGTGTTGAGTTACCGAGACTCTAGCTCCCATATGAAAAAGAAGAAAATCTCTTTGAGACTATAAAATAAAGAAAGGAAGATTAAAGATGCAAAGATCAGAACTTTCCCAATATGCAAAATTGAAAACACATGCAAAAGGCCAAAAGATACCTCAAGGTCCATCAACATCAAAACACCAAACCTATACACACAGTCATTTACGTGAGACAGACAGAACCCCAATGACATCTCAGATCTACTTCCATCTGGAAGGATTACAGAAGAGACTATTTGTAATCCTCGATAACAGACACAGCTCTTCTGTGCTGTTTAGCGGTCCTGGTCTAGTCCCATCTCAATCCACTTCTCTGGTGTGCTCTTAAGGCTTCTTTTGGGCATGTACAAAATGCAAAATTATATATTCTCTCTCCCAGTTAGATAATAAGCTGTCTGAAAGCAAGGACTCCCCGCTAATCCTTTCTTTTAAATCTTACAGGCATATTTGCTATACTTCAGAGCTAAAATGGAGAAGAAATATGAAGACAGCTACCATACCCAGAAACTAAGATGGCAAACTATGGGTGGGAAACAGTCCTATGATGTAGGGAAGAGGCTAAGGAACAAAGAAGGATACCCAAGAGCTTCCCAGAACACTCAGTGCCAGCAGCAAGGCCAGGCTGAGGTAATGTCCCCACTCCTCCACTAGGATGAGTCTCGAGCCTGGGTACACAAAGCACACACACGCCCTGGACAGAACACCTGTCCCACATGGCCCTTCACAAAGCTCCTACTTGTGGAAAAGATGTCCACAGGGCAGTTTCCGCGCAGCCTGCATGGAGTCCCAACAGATGGCACAGTCGTCATTGTTGACAGCCAGCTCCTCTGGAGTTGCAACTGCAAACCTGTGGAAACAAAACAAGCCCAGCAGGAACCTCAGTCAGTTCCACACGCACACTAAACACCACTTGATAGACTGCGCCTGTATCACAACACAGTTACAGAGAAAGCATGTTCAGCAAAACATTCTTGATAATCAAAAATATAATTTACCTTCAAAGCCCTTTCAAAAGTGAGTAACTTATGCACAGGAACTTTGTCTAAATAATGGTTGCTAGGCCGAGCGCGGTGGCTTATACCTGTAATCCCAGCACTTTCGGAGGCCGAGGTAGGGGGATCATGAGGTCAGGAGTTCAAGACCAGCCTAACCAACATGGTGAAACCCCGTCTCTACTAAAAATGCAAAAATTAGCCGGGCGTGGTGACAGGCGCCTGCAATCCCAGCTACTCAGGAGGCTGAGGCAGGAGACTTACTTCAACCTGGGAGGCGGAGGTTGCAGTGAGCTGAGATTGTGCCACTGCACTCCAGCCTGGGTGAGTGAGACTCCATCTCCAAAATAATAATAATAATAATAATAATGGCTGCTGTTAGTGAAGACCTCGGAGACCATATCCGGACAAATCAGAGGAGTAAGGCCCCCAGAGATCCAATCTGTGTCCCTGGCCACAAAGAAGAGATCCAAGCTGTCCCCCTGGGTGCAAAGAGGATACCCATTAATCTTGCACCTCCAGGCGTGGCTTAGCCCCAGCTTGGCAAAAAAGTGCCTCCTTCAATGAGGTTAAGTATGTGTGTGTAAACATGCATGTGCAAAGAACTGAGACCCACTTTCAGGAAATGAACAGGGTAGAAGCCCAATGAAGTGTCTATTTGATAATAATGACAATAAAATCATGACAAATAAGAGCCTAATACTGAGCACTATCTGCCCAGTACCATTCTAAGTACATGAATTATCTCACCAAATTCTCCCAATAGTTCAGGCAGAAGGTTCTGTTTTCATCCCTAATTTAGAGGTGAAGTAAATTGCCCCAAATCACACAGCACCTAAGTGGGGATTCACACCCGGGCAGTCTGACTCCAGAGCCTTTCCTCTCCACCACTCTATTAGCAGTTTACAAACATACATTCTGACATACTCTGGGATCTGCTGTTATTAAAAAACTAAAATGAGTAAACTTAGGCAACATCAACTTGTGCTTCCTTACCTGGCCTCCATGTTTCCAACCACACGTAGATAGTTCTTGTGCCGACGAATTCGACGTTGCACCTCATGAAACAGGTAACGCAGCTGCATAAAGATGACCAGGCTGGCCATGGATAACCAGATGTTGCCAAATAACTTAGAGAGAAAGAGAATAAAACACACGGTAAAAGCGAACGTGAACTTGCTAGTGATGAAGGCGCAGTATGCAGCGGAAGCTCTTCACTGTTGGTGATGGTGAACTGCAATGTCTTTCAGAAAGGAAATACACAGATTTATCTCATTACTCTAAACAATGCACATCCTCGTCAGCCTAGGTGCTCCAATGCCAGTCATCTTTCCTGAGAAACTCATCAGAAATGGAAAAGCTTTATGCAAAAAGATGTCTATCCATGCAATTATAAAACAGAAAATATGAAAATGAACAAAATGCCCAGAAGAACAGTTAGGTTGTAAACTCATGTAATGTAAAATTATATAGTCATTAATTTCACTTATTATACTATATAACTACATATTACTATTATATTTGTATATATAACAGTTCTGAAGGTCAATTATGGGAAGATAGTACTAGATAAATGAAAAAAGCAAGATATAACTATCTTTATCAAACTAATACATGATAAAAAATATGTAAAATGTGAAATAGCAAACAACCAAATATAATCTAAATAACCCATTGTGGGATGCGGTTTATTAAATCATGGTACAGCTATCTGATGATATTTTTATCCTGAAAGTATTAAAATGGCTTAGAAGAACTGATGTTAGCACAGGAAAATGTTCATAATACATTAGTTTTTAAAGAACAGAACTATATGTCTAAAATATGATCTCAATTTATGAATGTATGTACTCAAATACATAAAAAGAATCAGTTAAATACAAAATACATAAAAATACAAAATACATAAATACAAAAAATACATAAAAAGAAGCAGTTAAATACAAAAAATACAAGCATGAGGAAAAAAAATTTAAAAAAAGAAGATAAAAAATCTTAACAGTTATCTTTGGCCATTTGTTTGTCCCCTTTTTGAGGGGGGAGGGAGGCTTTTTTTTTTTTTTTGGGACGGAGTGTCACCCTGTCGCCCAGGATAGAGTACAGTGGCGCGATCTCAGCTCACTGCAACCTCCATTTCCCAGGTTCAAGCAATTCTCTGCCTCAGCCTCCCCAGTAGCTGGGATTACAGGCATGAGCCACCGCGTCCAGCCGAGGCTCTTTTTTAAAAAAAAGAATTACATACTTTCTTTAAAAAGTATGTTTTCAAAGTTTCTTTCAAAAAGTAGACTTAGAAATGTGCCACGTCTAGCCCAATAATTTTAAAATGCTACTTGCTAGGCTTATAATTTAAATAAATTGCCCACCAACTATTTTAATTCTCACCATTATTAGATCACTGAAGGGCCAACCAATGAAGCAGATCTACGACACCGTAACGTCTAACATACCAAAGTAAAATGTAAACAATGATGGTAGTAGGAATGTAGGAATTAAGTGTAAAGACTTTTTTTAATTACAAAGATGGAAAATGTATAAATCTGTGAAGTAGCTAACACTGCAGGAATTCCCATTACCACCTACAAAGTACCTGCTAAATATTTAAAGCCATAGAAACTATGGGGAAAGGCAGCTCCTTAATTTCATGCTAAAAGAATAATCTATTGACTTGGTCAGCAGAGTTAACTAAGTCTCCCAGGACAGCAAACACCTCCTGAGTTAGGCACCAGCCAAAGCAGTTCCATGGCACTGCCTTACACCCAGTGGCAAAAAGAGGGAGGGTTTGCAGCCACATTCATTTTTAGTCTTTAAGTAGTCCATCCACATCTTATTTCTAAAGTTTCATTTTTTAATGAAGAAACCATTACTGTTCCTGATTCTGAAAGGCTTGCCCTCTGTTAGAGCTCCTTCTGAGGAAACTTACCAACATGTGAATATGGTGCATGAGGTCCAGGGACAGGAGAGTGAGCTCCATGACAAAGTCTGTGTAATAGACATACGTCCCCTTTCCTTCCCACGTCCCTTCGTGGTTGAGGTCCCAGAGGTGAATTACGTATCTGTAATGAAGAGAGAAAACACCTTAGTAATTTACTGTTACTACTGAATTTGGTTTAACCATGTTGTAATTTAGTCCGATTTTTATATATTTCATACCTGCTACATCTTAAAATCAACTGTATGAGTAGGCCTCCATCACCTCCCTCCCCAATTTCACTCACCGTAAAATCACATGAGCAGTCCTCACTGTCACAAGAAGAGACTATAAAAAAGGATATTTTCTTTTTAGTAAAATGTAGCATTGCTCAGGCCAAACTTTTTATAAAATGATAAAAGACAAACATTTCTCAGTTCAATTAAAAAGCAGATTGTTCAAGTTTACCCATTATTTTATTTTCTCTGCTTCAAATTTCTGTAAAATATTTTTATGACCTAGAAACCCAACTTTTATTGAGGAAAAGTCCTGTTAATAGGTGACAACCAATTACACCTACCCCCCAGGAATCCCCCTACAATCTTGAGGTTTACCCTGGTAGTCTGACCATCAATTCTATTTCACACAGCATTAAGTCACTATCACTGATTACTTAGAAGGGTGATGCTGTAACTCCAAGTATAGTTCAGGTACTGCTATCCTAGACACGAGGACCTGCTCTCTCCCTAGTGCTTTGTGCACTCCCTTTGTCCACCAGCAGAAAAAAGAACGAAAGCAATCAAAAGCAAAATAAGGCCAGCCACATCACACCTTTAATCCCAGCACTTTGGGAGACCGAGGCAGGAGGATTGCTCAAGCTTAGGAGTTCAAAACCAGCCTGGGCAACATGGTGAAACCCCATCTCTACAAAAAATACAAAAATTAGGTGGGCATGGTGGCACGTGCCAGTAGTCCCAGCTACTTGGGAGGCAGAGGTGGAAGGATGGATTGAACCTGGGAGGTGGAGGCTGCAGTAAGCAGAGATCGCACCACAGCACTCCAGCCTGGGTGAGAGAGCCAGACCCCAGACCCTGTCAGAAGGGAAGGGGAAGGGGAAGAAGTGGAAGGGGAGAGGGGAGAGGGGAGGGGGGAGGGGAGGAGAGGGGAGAGAGAGGAGGGGGAGGGGGGAGAGGGGGGAGAGGGGGAGAGGGGGGAGGGGAGGGGGGAGAGGGGAGAGAGGAGAGGAGAGAGGAGAGGAGAGAGGAGAGGGGAGGAGAGGAGAGGGACAAAATAAGTCTCTCATGGCTTTTTTTTTTTTTTTTGTAGAGACAAGGTCTTGCTATGTTGGCTAGGCTGGTCTTGAAGGGTATTTTTTTTATTACAGAAATTGACGGCCAGGTACAGTGGCTCACACCTGTAATCCCAGCACTTTGGGAGGTCGAGGCAGGCCGACTGCTTGATCTCAGGAGTTCAAGACCAGCCTGGTAACATGGCAAAACCCCATCTCTACAAAAAAATCAAAAATTAGCCAGGCATGGTGGTTCATGCCTGTGGTCCCAGCTACTAAGGAAATGAGAGGATCACTTGAGCCCACAAGGTGGAAGTTGCAGTAAGCAACTGCACTCCAGCCCGGGCAACAGAGTGACACCTTGTCTCAAAAAAAAAAAAAAAAAAAAGATATTTTTCATTAAGAAAAAAAGTCCTCTTAATCTAGTAGAATAAAACTATTACATTATTTATGTTTTAGATTAAATTCCCATTTGTAAGTGAAAAATATTTTACAGGAGAGAGAAACACTATGAATGTAAGAAATGATTTAGTTTAAAATATCAAATCTGTAATATGATAAATTATCTTAAAAGAATAAACAGTAACAAGCTAAAATAAAAGTATATACTATAGTATGAGCTGACGGGCCTAAGTTAAATGTGCTTATTTTTAGGTATACCCTTTTCAAAGTTTGGATAATATTATATTAGTTGAAAGTTAGAGAATCAAAAAAAGGCAAACATAAGTATCATTCTAACTTTGCAATAAATCTAAAGCAAATAAGTCAGTGTAAATGGATTTTTCAACAGATTTTCTGTCAAGACGAAATACGGTTGTATATTTTTCATATACAGAAGTATTCACCTAAGATTACATATCTTATTATTTATATTAGGACTATTGTATTTTAATTACAATATTATAATATGATAATTAACATTATGTATTTAAATGTTTCTTTTCTAATTTTACTTACACTACTAAATGTACTCAAAAATGAATGCTATCAAACAGAAATAAACTTTAACTCTGCTCTACCAAATTCCCAATGAGTAGTTCAAATGTAGTGTTTTGATATTAGCCAATTAGCTTCAGTTTATCTAATATCTCATTTTTTAATTAATAATACTAATTATGGGTAAGATAAAAGTATTTTGCCTTTGGCCTGAAGAAAAGGCAAATATAGCCATTAAATATAAGGACATACAAACAATTTTTATTTCTTTTTTTTTTTGAGATGGAGTCTCGCTCTGTCACCCAGGCTGGAGTGCAGTGGCGCAATGTCTGCTCACTGCAACCTCCGCCTCCCGGGTTCAAGCAATTCTCCTGCCTCAGCTTCCCAAGCAGGTGGGACTACAGACGTGCGCCACCACGCCCAACTAATTTTTTTTTTGTATTTTTAGTAGAGACAGGGTTTCACCATATTGGCCAGGCTGGAGAATTTTTATTTCTACTGAACAGAAATTGGTATTTTCAGAAAGGTTTAAAAGAGTGAAAAATTTTTAAATCTTAAAATATTCATGAATAGACCAGATTTTTCCTTCAAAATGATGAGTACAGTTTATTCATTATTTTGTAAAATCTTTATACCCTACGTAAAGAAAGAGTTACATAAAATACCACACAAAAGCATTCAGTACCAGTACCCAACACACAAAAAGGAACTGAAATGCTTGTTAAAATGAAAGACCAAATATCCACCTGTCATTTCATGGGTGAAAATAACTTGTCAAACATCCAGCTTCCTTGAAAACAGACAGAAATACAATCTGAGCAAGTCCTGCATCCAGTATCTCACCTCTGCAGCCATGAAAGCCAAGGTGTGCATTCCGTGGGTGTAGCCGGTGATGGAGCAGACGGCCGCCAGTCCACAGCAGGAAAGCAGCATGGCAACCAACAGGGACAGGACTCGACCGTGGCTGCTCATCGGCGTGGTGGGCGAGAAGGAAAGCTGAAATGCACACAGTAGGAAACTGCTCATTCTTCTTCATGGAAGTGTTAAACTTCACTGAGAAATTCAAGGTCAATCTTGGCTTCTCTGCTTAGGGTTCTGTGCTAAGCACAGAAAAGCATCCCATTACTATATGGTCCTATTCTCCAATAACCCAAATATGAGCATGAGGTGATATTTAGAGATCCGTGTCATTTAATTTACTGAGTATAACAATATGCATTATATTTTCATCCCTTACTCTCAAAGATCCTCCTAGCACTGGGATTATAAACCTCTAGAAGCAATGTTCCGAGGGTATACAACTCTCTCCTCTCACCTTCAACAGGACTCAGGACAGTGCCTGTTCTGTTCTGTTTCTTTCTCAATCTTGCTCTAGTCCTCCTCTCTGAAATTGGCATTCCTAGTCTATTAGGGCTAGCACAATTGAAATGCAATCCAGGCACAGGTTTACCACTACTACAACGTGATGTCAGCATTATGCAAGGAGAGGCAACAGTCTGAAAAGAAGGCCTAGAGCTGCAACTCCTGAGGTCACAGGCGGAGATTAAAAAAAACAGTTTGGGAGGTTAGAAGCTCCTGTTTGTGACTTCAAATGAGGGTTGAATGTGAAAGAAATAAAGGCTGTGAGAGTGAGATTAACTCAAACCAAGGTGCAAGGTCCATGTGGACTGGGTAAAGACAGGGAAAAACAAGGCCCTGGAGCGGGTTTAACTGAGGGGCAGCACTGTAGATGCACATTTATCTGGGACTCATGAGACTACTTCAGGTCACTAATGGGTTGAAGGTTCACTCATACAGCTATGATCTGAAACCAAGTGACAGATCTTGTACCAGACATAAAATGATTCACTTCGCAAACAAGGAAGCTGAGGGAGCTAATTCAGTCCTGGCCCGGGGTGGAAATAGTATAAACTACTCAGAAAGAAGAGCTCCACGAACCAGAGTAAGCTGGGAGAGACAGAAGGAGACTAGAACAGAAAATATCTAGAAAAGACCAGATTTTATTGTTTATGTATCAAGGTTTCCTTGCACTGTGAACAAAACAGTCTGCATAGGTGAAGTGACCCCATGTTAGCAGTAAGTAAACACTATGGGGTTGGGAAGAAAGCTCCCCAGGAGACAACGATTCTGCATCTCTTGGCTGCTGTAGAAAGTTCTTCAAGAAACAGGCAATGGGGGCCTGATCTAGAAGTCTTCCCAGAAGAGCTACCCTGACCATGCCTGCTGTGGCTCATTCACATTACACAATTCAAAGTTGGCAAACGTGGTGACTAAGCAAGCAAAAAGCTTGGCTAAAAACTCACATATTCAAATCGATCCTTGCAGAGCTGAACCATCAGGTGCAGAAAGACAAGTCCGGCAAACCAGAGGCACCACATGACCACCTCTTCCACTGTCTGGACATTCAGCACACCAAAGATGAAAATGAACTTGTAGAAAATAAAATTCCAAAATTTGTCTTTGAGATGCTAAAAAAGAAAAATGTTTATGAAGGTGAGTACCATCACACCTACCCCATTTGAGGGAAGTTACCATAACAAAAGCCGGCTTCTATGGAAGATATATTCTGCACTTGGCTTTCTAATACTTGTCCTCAAGAAAACAGAAAAAAAAAAAAAAAAAAAAAAAGCAGCCATCTGAAGAATGGAGGTAAGACACCCAGAAACTAATCTGTAAACTTTGGACTATAACCCTAAATCAATTATGGAATGTTAGCTATTCAAAGGATAGCGATATTAGTTTAGTAACTTATATATTAAGAAATAGGCCAGGCGCAGTGGCTCATATCTGTAACCCCAGCACTTTTGGAGGCTGAGGTGGGTAGACAGCTTGAGCTCAAGAGTTTGAGATGAGCCTCGGTAACATGGGGAAACCCCATCTCTACCAAAAAAAAAAATACAAAAATTAGCTGGGAATGGTGGTGCACACCTGTAGTCCCACCTACTCAGGAGGCTAAGGTGGGAGGATTGCTTGAGCCCAGGAGGTCAAGGCTACAGTGAGCCATCATCATGCCACTGCACTCCAGCCTGGGTGACAGAGCAAGACCTTCTCTCAAAAAAAAGAAAAAAATGCTTACATTTTTAATGCACAATGAAAAAGAATGGCAAGGGCTATCATTTTTACTACTTCTACCTTCCAGATTCTTACACAATAGAAAAGATTAGACTTTGTAAAAAAAATTCTTCAAATTAAAAAATAACACAACACAACCACTTGCCAGCCCATAATAAAGGCGGCATAAAAAGTACAAAGAAAATGAAAAATGCTGCCTTAACATTTTTATGAATTTTCTTGTCTTTTCCCTATGTACAAAACACATTACTTTTTGTACAATGCTTTCTTTCACCTATTGTATTGTTAGAACCTTAACAATGTCAATGAATATTCTCTGAATATACCAATATACCGTTTCAATGGCTAAAGATGGACACTGAAACTGTTTTAAAATTTTCACCACGCAAAAAAAACATTATAATGAGGGCCGGGCGTGGTGGCTCATGCACGAAATCCCAGCATTTTGGGTGGCCAGGGCAGGCGGATCACTTGAGCCCAGGAGTTCGAGACCAGCCTGGGTAACATGGCAAAATCCTGTCTCTACTAAAAATACAAAAATTAGCTGAGCATGGTGGCACAAGCCTGTAATCCCAGCTACTTGGGAGGCTGAGGCATTAGAATTGCTTGAACCTGGGAGGTCGAGGTTGCAGGGAGCCATGATCATGCCACTGCACTCCAGCCTGGGCAACAGAGCAAGACTCTGTCTCAAAAAAAAAAAAAAATTGTGATGAATATTTTTGTATGTATCTTTGTATGAGTTACTTCAGCACTGTCAAATCAAAAATTGCAAAGATTTTTATGGTTTATAGTAAAATCTACCTAACTTCCAAAGCAGTCCTGTAAGTGTACATTCCCATGGGCAGTGTGTATGCATATTTGCTTCACTGTACTCTTTTACACAGAGGGCTTCCAGTTTTAACAATCTTCACTAACCCTGAAATAGGAGAGCAATAAGGAGGGTCTAGTTCCCCCACATGTTAAAATAGACTATCAAGCCGTCTAGGGGGGTCAGGGAGAACTGACTGAAGAGGATAAGAATGGAAGCATGATTCTAAGTATACTTTTTTTTTTTTTTTTAAAGAGACAGAGTCTCACTCTGTCATCCTGGCTGGAGTGCAGTGGCCCAGTAGTAGCTCACTGCAGCCCCAAACTCCTGCGCTCAAGCGATCCTCCCACCTCAGCCTTCTGAGTAGCTGGGATTACAGGCACATGACATCATGCCCGGCTAATGTTTTTTATATTTATATTTTGCAGAGATGGGGCCTCCCTCTGTTGCTAAGGCTGGTCGCAAACTCCTGGGCTCAAGTGATCCCACCTTGGTCTCCCAAAAGAATGCTTTTATATGTAATTTGGAACCATGTAAATGTTTCACAAATTCAAAAAATAAACACAAAAAAGCAAAATATACTACAAATTAACAACGTGACTCCTTAAAGATTTTGAGAACTTAAACACACTGTACTCTGACCAGATATCTTTTGTAGAGAACAAAATAAAGTGGAAAAAAATCATAGAGTATGCCCTAATTCTATCCATCAAAAGGGCAGAGACACCCTAGTGGTAATGAGCACACTCAGCCAGTATACAGCTTGGCTTCTAAATATCATTGCCCAATAACGTGAACTAGGAATCGTTGGTGAAATGTCTGTTTCCAGACCTGGTGCAGGGAAAGTACAAGGTGAACTTAGGACATTTTGTGCCCTGGTTTTGAATGACACTGCCACTTGGCTCTGCCATTTAGTTTCTGTGTGACCTTGGGAAAGTCACTTAACATCCCTGTGCTTTAGTTTCCTCATCCATACAATAGGTCTTATAATAACAGCATATACCTCATAGAATTGTTGGGGGAATTATACATAATATATGTGAAATGGTTAGACAAGTGCCATACTAGGCACTAAGCACTTAAAAACGCATCAAAAAGCTTCCTTGCTCTAAACCTCCACTTAACATTTTAATCATTTTAGATATTCGATGTCTTTGCCTCTAGCATTACTCTATTTCTAGAACTTTAAGCACCCAAGAGCAAACCCATGTCAATCCTAGAGATTTCTAACTCAAAATGGTTCCTAATTGATGCTACTGGATGACATTAAACATAAATAAACCAACACAGAACAGCAGGGAAGATGCGATCGATGCTGAAAAAAATTAAAGTGGAGCTGGATAAGAAATATGCTCATTATAATTACCTCTGGATCTAGTTAAAAAATCTCTAAAATACTCCAAGGTTATACTTTCTATAAATTTCAACCTGATAGAAGTAACCTTTTAGGGAAAAGAAAGTATATAAAGCCCACTGGTGCCAGATCAATCCACCAAGCCTGCCTGGCCTGACCAATTTCTGGTCCACAAATAAAAAATTTGAAGAGAAACTTGAAGAAGTATCAAAAGAAGCATTTAAGCCAGTAGAAGTGGCTCACACCTATAATTCCAGCACTTTGGGAGGCTGAGGCGGGCGGACTGCTTGAACTCAACAGTTTGAGACCAACCTGGGCAGCATGGTGAAATTCCGTCTCTACAAACACCTAAACAATTAGCCAGGTGTGACACATGCCTGTAGTCTCAGGTACTCAGGAGGCTGAGATGGGAGGAGACTGCTTGAGCCCAGGAGGTTGAGACTGCAGTGAGTGGAGATCGCACCACTGCACTCCAGCCTGGGTGACAGAGCAAGACGCTGTCTCAAAAGAAAAAAAAAAAAAGGCAGCATTTACAACCTATCTGGGAGACCTCTAGAGTCGATACTGGAGAAAGTGCTGAAAATGAAAAATCTCTGAGAATACAAAATAGTCCTGTTCACAATGGCATCCAAGGGCTCAACCACCAAGTAATACATGTCAGCTCTAAACTAGGACTTCAGCTGATTTTATAAAAGGAAATTTGGGTTGAAAAGGGTAGGTAAGGAGAGAATGGAACACTCTGAACATAAAGTAAAGCTGCTGTTGTGCTTTTCATATAGTAGGTTCCTGTGTTTTATCACTGGGATAAGATAGAATAAAACACAATTTTGTTCTTATGTTGTGATTTTGAAGGCCAGTTCTAAATTTTTACTTTAAAACATACCATGCCAGGCACAGTGGCTCACGCCTGTAATCCCAGCACTTTGGGAGGCCAAGGCAGGCGGATCACCTGAGGTCAGGAGTTTGAGACCAGCCCGGCCAACGTGGCGAAATCCTGTCTCTACTAAAAATATATAAATTAGCTGTGGTGCACACCTGTATTCCCAGCTACTTGGGAGGTTGAAGCAGGACAAGTGCTTGAACCCGGGAGGCAGAGGTTGCAGTGAGCTGAGATTGCGCCACTGCACTGCAGCCTGGGTGACAGAGCAAGACTCCGACTCAAAAAAAAAAAAAAAAATTATTCTACACCCTACCCACTCAAATCCTCAGCGAACTGCCAATCTATACAGTATGCTTGTGGCGTAATTCTTCATTGAAAGCATCCCCTGCCCATTCTGAGTCACTTTCCAATGTCAGACAATCTCACCCAAAACAAGAACAAATCTCCTAATTTTATGCTTTTAGAACAATGATTCTTAATTCACCTTCCCACAGAGAAAATTATCTTGGTAAATTCTTTTGGAAAAGAACCCACATTCTACAGAGTGACATTTATGATCATTCAAAATAAAACAAATCTAGGCTTCTTTAAAAACGACATTCCTAAAAGTCATGAAGAAAAACAGCTATAAAAAACAATATTGGGACAACTTGGCTACACTGAATATGGACTGTGGATTAGACAAAGTATTTTTTCAATGTTAAATTTCCTAATTTTAATCACTGTGCTGTAAAAATGCCTTTGCTCTTAGAAAATACAAACTGAAGTATTTAGGGGTAAAGGGGTAATGATGTCCACAACTTACTCTCAAATGAATCAGAAAAAAAAGTATGTATAAATAAAAAGTGAAGATTAAAGCAAATGGAACAAAATATTAACAACTGGCGAATCTGGATAAAGGGTATATAGGAGTTTTCTGTAGTATTCATGGAACTTTTCCACACATCTGAAATCATAATACAAAGTTTAAAAAAAAAAATCTAGTCACAAGAATCCATCCTTTCAGTGTAGACTTACCTGTCTCTCACTCACTCGAAGAGGGCCAAACACAATACACTGGATGAGCTTAGCCACCAACATCAAAACACAGCAAGCGGTATTTACTAGAACCTGTAAACAAATCAGAGAAAGGAAGTTTATTTCTTCCTGCTGAAAAATAAAAGCAGCTCTAAAAATCTCATATTAGGAATTCAGCCATCATTTCCAGTGACTGAGCCTTTCTGGTTCTCTCCCAATGCAAGATAAGGAATATCTGAAAAGGCACACTGTTCTGGGGAGTGGGTGTTAGGGATGAGGACCGGAAAGAGAGGCACCAGCTCACCAGCTAAGTCACAGTTCTTGTCCCAATACGCACCCTCCAGCAGGCCACCTTATCTTTCATCCTTAACTGAATTGTGTGTATACTTTGTACTGTATGTGCAAAACTACATTAACCTCGTAAACTGCAGGTCCTTCCCAAGTACCTCATTTCCGACATTATTTTGACAGCCTTGAAGAAAACTGTTCTAGAAATTGAAGTTACCGTGAATAGTAAAACCCAGCACCCAGAGATTCTGCCCTGCCAAACAAATAGGAGGTAGGGGTAGGAGTGTGGATGGTCACAAAAAAGTCTCATCATAAGGAACTAATAATATAAATATATATATACAGAGAGAATATTTTAATATTTATTGGAATGGAAAAATCTTTCAACCAAAAGATAAATGTTCTCCATGCTTGGTGTTGGCTTTGAAGTAAAGGTTTTGTGGCACTGCAGCAGGGTGGAATGGGTTAAACAGAAGGAAAAGAAAACCGGCGAGAGGGGCCAAGAGATGAAAGGCAACCTGGGGATACCAATGCAAAACCAAGGCCTTCTTCAACAGTCTATGAGAAAACTTGAAAAACAAAACAAAACAAAACAAAACTCTAAATGATGAATATCCTTACACCTAAACGCCAAATCTTAATGCTTACAAAATGGAAGAGTTGGCTGTCCCCAACCCAGAGATTAGTGTGGGGTATCACATTACTCTGAATGACTCCAAAAAGCCAAAAGGACCTTGATAAAAACAGTACAGATGACTTGTTGAGAGCAAATGAAAAGGAACTCCAATTCAATGTAAAGCTGCTTCTGCCTCTGATTCACTACGTTTACCATATTACCCTTGCCAAGTCATTCTTCCCTCTACTTTTAAAAGCAAATGATAATTTTAAAGAAGAAAGAAAGGGGATAGAGGAGAGTAATTTAAGAAAGCAAGATCCCTGAGATCACCTCAGGGTCTGTTTAGTACCTCATGCCATCCCTCCTTTGGGAGAACACTTAAGGGCAGCCCTGATTCATTACAAATGATTAAATTTAGTTCTATTCTGTCTGCCTAATGGGCCAAGGAAGTATGTAATACATTTTTAAAGGATTGAAACGAAAATAGTTCTGCTAAAGAAATAAACTGTTTTGGTACTTAAATCCTTCAAACAACCAGGAACAAACGCCCAAACTAGTTGCCCCAAATATCCTAATCTGTGTAACAGACCTATTCAAAATGGTCCAGATCACCAGGAGCATGGTGGCTCACACTTGTAATCCTGGCACTTTGGGAGACCAAGGTGGGAGGACTGCTTGAGGCCAGGAATTTGAGACCAGCCTGGGCAACACAGCAAAACCTTGCCCCTACTGAAAAATATATAAAATTTTTTAAAAAGAAAAAACAATTCAGGTAACTTGAAATGTTCATTTTTAAGGTGATGAAATAGATGCTAAAAAGACTCACCTTCATTGTGATCTAACCAATCTCAGCCACATTAACTAAGAGAAATGTCATAAGACAAAACCACAACCCCTCATGTCACATCCCCCAGCCAAACATGCCCCAGCTTTATTACGACGCAATTTCTTAAAATAATTCTTCCCGTTTTTACATGTAGTCAGTCATATGAATTTAAAAAATAAATGCAACACATTTAGCACTTGTTCGAGGCATGTGGGAAATCAGAAAAATGAGGGAGCTCTGAACCCTAAACTCAAAGAGCTTTTAGAATCTACAAGAGATAGAGCATGGTAAGCAATTTAACAGAAGGCCAAGCAGGCTACTACGAGAGTAATGATGGAGAAAAAAAACAAATTTAGGGTCACTTAAACATTTCTCTATTCAAAACAGTACTGTCACACACATCTTAAGTTATCAAATAAAAAATAAAGTATTATTTACTATTTCTCAAACTCTTTAAATAAAAGTCTATTTATTTATTTTTTTTCTGACAGTCTCACTCTGTTGCCCAAACTAAAGCACAATGGTGCAATCTCCGCTCACTGCAACCTCGGCCTTCCAGGTTCAAGCTATTCTCCTGTATCAGCCTCCCAAGTAGCTGGGATTACAGGTGTGAGCTACCACACTAATTTTTGAATTTTTTTATAGAGACATGGTTTCACCATGCTGCCCAGGCTGGTCTCGAACTCCTGGGCTCAAGTGATCCGTCTGCCTCGGCCTCCCAAAGTACTGGGATTACAGGCATGAGCCACTGCGCCCAGCCTAAATAAGTCTTTGAATTCAAATAAGGTATAAAAAATGTGTATCTTTAATTTATCCAAAAAAAGGTAAAAGTCTCTTATAATCCCATCACCCATAGAACAACCACTTCCTATTTTAATTTAAATGAAGATTTGAAAATTAACATGGCTAACCAGGAAAAAAAAAAAAAAAGTCTGAGTATACTGATACTAAAAAGGGAATTTATGTAAAAAGTAGATAAGCTGTTGTGAACTTTGTAACCAAAGCTACAAAGGATTGAAAGCAATCCTTATTTTAAGATTATAAGCAAAGTTTTTTAAAACACCTTAATGATTATTAATAACTATTCCATGTCTATTTATAGAAAAATACCTTAATTATAATGATTATATGTTAATTACAAATACTGACCTGGCACAGTATCTCGCACCTATAATCCCAGCACTTTCGGAGGCCAAGGTGGGGGGATTGCTTGAACTCAGGAGTTCAAGACCAGCCTGGCCAACATAGTGAAACCCCATCTCCACAAAAGATACAAAAATTAGCCGGGTGGGGTGGTGTGCACCTGTAGTCCCAGCTACTGAGGAGGCTGAGGTGGGAGGATCTCTTGAGCCCAGGAGGTCAAGGCTGCAGGGAACCGTGATTGCACCACTGTACTGCTCCAGCCTGAGCAACATAGTGAGGCCTTGTCTCAAATAAATAAATAAATAATATTGTGTCATACATATAACTTCTCAACTTCAGTTAACAAAGGCTTGAAAAATTGTAAATACAATTGAGCAACCCTGATGCAAAAATCCAAAATCTGAAATGCTCCAAAATCCAAAACTTTCTGAGCACCAACATGGCGTCACAAGTGGAAAATTCCACACCTGACCTCATGTGACGAGTCGCAGTCAAAATGCAGACTTACAACAGTTTACTCAGTGTCCCTAAGGGAAAAATGAAACTACCTTCAGGGTATGTGTATGAATGAGATGTATATGAAACAGAGGAATTTCATGTTTACATTTGGGTCCCATCCCCAAAATATTTCATTATGTATATGCAAATATTCCAAAATCCAGGAAAAAAATCCCAAATCCAAAACTTCGGGTCCCAAGCATTTTGGATAAAGTATTCTCAACCTATACTGAAAGAAACATAACTGGAGCATTCCTCATTTAAAAGCACTGGCTCATGTCTATAATCCCAGTACTTTGGAAGGCCAAGGTGGGTGAGTTGCTTGAGTCCAGGGGTTCGAGACCAGACTGAGCAACATGGCAAAACCCCATCTCTACTAAAAACACAACAAATGTAGCCAGGCATGGTGGTGTGTGCCTGTAGTCCCAGCTACTTGGGAGGCTAAGGTGGGAGAATCACCCTAGACACAGGGAGGTTGAGGCTGCAATAAGCCCAAATAGCATCACTGTACTCTAGCCTGGGCAATCGGAGTGAGACTCTGATTCAAAAAAAAAAAAAAAAACTGCTTAAAAAAAGTAAACTAAAATAAAATAAATCCCTGAATCAGGCACAGTGGAACATGCCTGTAATCCCAGCACTTTGGGAGGCTGACGAGGGAGAATCACGACGTCAGGAGTTCAAGACCAGCCTGACCAACATGGTGCAACCCCATCTCTACTAAAAATACAAAAATTAGCCAGGGGTGGTAGTGCTCTCCTGTAATCCCAGCTAGTCAGGAGGCTGAAGCAGGAGAATCGCTTGAACCCGGGAGGCGTAGGTTGCAGTGAGCCGAGATCATGCCACTGCACTCCAGCCTAGGTGACAGAGTGAGACTCCATCTCAAAAAAAAACAAAAAACAAAAAAACGCCAGGCGCACTGGCTCACACCTGTAATCCCAGCACTTTGGGAGGCCGAGGCGGGCGGATCACGAGGTCAGGAGATCGAGACCATCCTGGTTAACTCAGTCAAACTCCATCTCTACTAAAAATACAAAAAATTATCCGGGCACATGGTGGGCGCCTGTAGTCCCAGCTATTCAGGAGGCTGAGGCAGGAGAATGGAGTGAACCTGGGAGGCGGAGCTTGCAGTGAACCGAGATCGCGCCACTGCACTCCAGCCTGGGCAACAGAGCGAGACTCCGTCTCAAAAAAAAAAAGGAAATATGTGCACACACGTTTGTATAATATGTAGGTGTGAACTGTCAAGGACTTGATCAATTTGGGTATTTCTTAGTCTCCTACTTAACAACAGTACTTATTACAAGAATTTGATAATTGCCATTTCTGGAAGAGAGAAGCAGGTAACAGGGAGAGAGAGAGATCTACTTTTCACTGCATGTCACTTCTGTATCCCTTAACTTTTTTTTTTTTTTTTAATTTTAGACAGAGTCTCACTCTGTCGCCCGGGCTGGACTGCAGCGGCGCATTCTTGGCTCACTGCAACTTCCACCTCCCAGGTTCAAGCGATTCTCCTGCCTCAGCTTCCCAAGTAGCTGAGATTACAGGCACCTGCCACCATGCCTGGCTAATTTTTGTATTTTTAGTAGAGACGGGTTTCACCATGTTGGTCAGGCTGGTCTCAATCTCCTGACCTCAGGTGATCCTCCCACCTCGGCCTCCCAAAGTGCTGAGATTACAGGTGTGAGCCACCATGCCAGGCCTGTACCCCTTAACTTTTGTACCCTGAGCATGCATTATCTATTTTTTAAAATTTTTTTAAAGTTTAGAATCTACTAAACTAACCTGACTAGTTCTGCAATTCCACATTATTTTTCTCACCATATGATGACAAACTGATGAGTAACAAACCAAAACAAGTTCTCCTGTTACAGCACAGTATTTCAACTATGGCCAGGCGTGGTGGCTCATGCCTGTAATCTCAGCACTTTGGGAGGCCAAGGTTAGTGGATCACCTGAGGTCAGCAGTTCAAGACCAGCCTGGCCAACATGGTGAAATCCCGTGTCTACTAAAAATACAAAAAATTAGCTGGGCATGGTGGTGCACACCTGTAATCTCAGCTACTTGGGTGGCTGAGGCAGGAGAATTGCTTGAACCCAGGAGGCGGAGATTGCAGTGAGCCGAGATTGTGCCATTGCACTCCAGCCTGGGCGACAGAGAAAGACTCTGACTCAAAAAAAAAAAAATTCAACTATATTAAAACACTTCAGAATGTTTCTCATAGCTATAGTGCTGTCAAAGCTTCAAGTCATTTTTTAAAAACTCACCAAATGCCTTTTTTTTCCAGTCTACACAAAATAAAAACAAGTTTTACTTGTCCCCGTTCAGAGTGTAGCAGGTCAGGCAGCAGTGATCCCAGCAACCCTGACTTACTCAAGGCTCAAAGTTAATTCCCTTCACTCCAAGGCCCAGCAGGAAAATGTCCCTTCCAGAATGGTTCTACTCTTCTACTGGAGAAAACAGAAACTAAATTATAAAATAGTTAGGCCTGCCTGGGAGAAAAAGAGAGGAAGGTGCATTTATCACCATGTAACCCTACAGGTGTTTTTGACCCTGTAAAATGTTGGCCACCAACAGGTGCTTATTTATGACCTTGCAAAGACATGGGATTAAACTACTAGGAACCTATTCCAAGACATGGTCAATCTGGATATTTCTTAGACTCCTGCCTACACCAGCACCACTCCCCTGCGCCCCCTACCATTTGGTGGTTTCCTCCCTTTAAGGACAATTCACGTATTGTTACCTCTCTGCAGGCTCCCAGAAACAAACACATAATACAAACATGCACACACTCCCCTTCATCACATAGATGATAACTGTGTTCCTTCTTTAACAAGACTAGGGAAATAGACGAGAGTCCGCACGCAAAGCATACCTAGGAGGTGATCAAATAGCAGTCCCCTTCTCCCTCACCTGGAAGACATTCCTTTTATTTTTAATTTATCTAGGCTCACATCCAATTATTCACAAGTTTAGTCTTTTTTCCTTCAGCTGCCCCAACATTTCTGGAGCTAACATTTTTCCCTCATATACCTTGAAATAGTCAACTCATAAAGACTAAAACCTAGGAAGTCACTTTCAGCTCTTAATTTTGTTTTGTTTTTTTTTTTTGAGACCAGAGTCTCACTCTGGCCCAAACTGCAGTGCAGTGGCACAATCATAGCTCACTGTAACCTTGAGCTTCTGGGTTCAAGCAATCCTCCTGCCTCAGCCTCCCAAGCAGCTAGGACTACAGCACAGGCCACTACACTTAATTTGCATAATTAAGTCAGAACCTTGACAGTAGTTTCATATTTCTATTTCTCCATTTACATGTCTTGCTCTTAGAATTTTAGAAGCAGGTATTTTATATCTTTAAAGGGTTGTAAAACAAATTAAATAAGGAAGTTGCAGAGCCTAAAATATTCACCATCTGAGAGCACTTTAGAGAAAAATTGGCTGACTCTTATTTTAAAAAGCCTATTTTCACATAATTATAATGGTGACTAATTTTTTTTTTTTTTTTGGTAGAGCAGGGGGTCTCACTATGTTGCCCAGACTCCTGGGCAGCTCCTGGCCTCAAGCAATCCTCCACCTCCTGCCTCAGCCTCCGCCTCTCAAACTGCTGAGACTGCCGGTGTGAACCACTGAACCCAGCCCTTAAGTTTTATAATAATACGAAAATCGGCTCTTTAAAATAGGATTCAGCCAATTTTTCTCTAAAGTGCTCTCAGATAGTGAATATTTTAGGCTCTGCAACTTCCTTAATTTATTTAATTTGTTTTACAACCCTTTAAAAATATAAAAACCATTCTTAGCTGTTAAGACAAAAACAGGCCTAGTCAAATAGGTCACGAGTTTGCCAATCCCTGTTCTAAATGGTCAATTCACTTTTATCCACTTTTGTTTGTGGTCATTTTTCCCCTTGAGAGTTCTATTTAAATGATATTATTTGCATAATTAAGTCAGAACCTTGACATTAGTTTCATATTTCTATTTCTCCATTCACGTATCTTGCTCTTAGAATTTTAGAAGCAGATATTTAAGAAAGCAGAAAAGGGAACTAATAAAAGTAATGAGTAAGAATTAAAAAATGAAAAAGCCAAAACACCTGAACAATCCAAAACCATGCTAGAATGGACCAAGAGGTAGCTGAATGGAAGCATTATCTGAGCAATGTAAAATAGCCCAGAAATGAGTAACAAAATAAAAACTCATCTGAAATGAAACTTTAGGATGGAAGTTTTAGAAAGACAAGGAGAAACAAATTCTCAGGTCAAACCCACATATTTGTTAGTGTAAAAACCCTGAAGTCTCCTCCCAAATCCTTTCTCAATGTCATGCCTGAGGGCCACCTGGAGAGGCCCCCTTGGGAGGAGGAAGTTTTAGGTCACTAGATCTCCCGTCCTCTTCCCACTCTACATAAATCTATCTTCCACACTGCTCCCAATCTTCTAAAAGAAATCATGCCAGCACCCCCACTCCTCCATGCCCCACCCCCACTTAAGCCCCATCAATGGCTTCTCTCACTCCACAAAATACTGTCCACACTTGGTAGAGCAAGCAAGGTCAAGGTTACATGACATCACACTCTAGCCTCTTCCTAGGTCAGTTTTTCAACCACTAGTGTTCCTCAAATCACCTAGGGCATTCATTAAAATGAAGATTCCAAGGCTCCACCCTTCTCTCTGAAATGGATCCCCAGGGAAACTACATTTTACAAGTACCCCAGATGACCACATACCAGGATGCCAGAGGTCCACATTTTGAGAAAGAAACCTTCAAGGGGGTTGCTCACCTCCTCCTCTCACAGCAGAGCCACCTGCCCCACCTCCTTCACCTCCTCCCCACCTCCTTCACCCCCGGTCTCCTCTTCACCTTCTCAACCTCCCTCTTAAATCAGAAGATTCAACAGACTTTTAATTTAACAGCCCAGCTTCCGGACCACCCTGCCTGTGCCTAGCACTGTCCTCCCCACGCCAGACCGAGCTCCACATGCTGGTTTCTCTATCTGGAATACCCATTGCTACTGGTTGAGACCCTTCCCACCTTCCAAGCTGGTTCAAACACCACCTTCCATGAACCCTTCCCTGGGCACAATTCCTTTCTTTTTCCTCCAAACTCTGCTTCATTTTATTTATCTATTATCCCCTATAAAATTTTGCCATATTACTGAGGGTAGGGGAAAGTGTTGTTCACAGATATGCCCTCCAAAGTGCCCAAAATAACACCTTCGAAAGGTTTTAAATTGTGTTTGTTCATGAAAAACCTCCTGTGATGCTATCAGACCGATATTATTCTAAACTGTGCTCTAAAAAGATAAGTTTTGGGAATTACAATATGTTAATATCTAGCAGGACTTGCACTGGCAGAAGGATCAGTCTTTGTTTTGTCTTGCTTGGCCTTGGCAGGCAGTGTTCGTGAAAAAGTTGAATCTGAATTCAATAGAACTAGGGGAGGGCGCAAGGAGGATCCAGTTGACAAAGGCACCACCACATAGGGTATTCACTCAACAATCTTAATCTGTCCCACCACTGGGGAAGGCTTTTGAGATTGTCACTTCTACTCAGCTGCTAAAGCAGAAACTACATATACACTGAGTGATGAGACAAACAGTGAGCACATGGAGGGTCTGAGAAACCAAAGCAGGCCAAAGTAAACACGTGGAGACCCCAGAGGAAAGATGGAAGAAAAACAGCACTAGGATCAACTGAGAAATGAAAATATCATCAGCGGAGAGTAAGAAGTGATAAACCTGCCAGAGGTAAGACCTCTACTGAAAATGCTGGAAGAAAAGGAAATTTCCTAAAAAGTAATCATCATCACAGAAAAATCAACAGCTTTTATGTAATGTTTTCTGAAGAGATATTAACTTTAGAATCTGAACATGGCTTTTATCAAAATAAAGTCCTGCGGGGGGAAATCCATTAAACAATACCAGTGTTGTTATATAAATAAAATAAGGGTTCCTTCTCAAAGGCTTATTTATATCTTAGACTTAAAAAATATCAAAGACTACATTATAATCTTAACATGGCAAAAACACTCTCCATATCACTTTGTTTACCTGCTAACTCAAATGCAAAAACAGATTTGAAATTAAGCAAGAGATGTGAGTTGAGTTCTTTCGCTTCTCCCTTCTTTAGGACTGTAAAGTTCAGCTTTACACAGCAGTAGATAAACAGGAACTTCACCCTTCACTGCCTTCTACTAAACTCTCCATCAGAAGGACCAGGAGACTTAATCTACAGCCCACAGAGTCCATAAATCCCACCGCTTCCTGATGAAGCACAGTGGGACTAATTATAACAAATGAGTTGCATATCATACTATCAACTTGGAATATTAATCTCTCAGTCATTTACAGCCCACTTTCAACCCCAAATGGGAACATGCAAGGAGACAAGATCCAAGAAGCCATATTAAATCCAAGTGAGGCTTTAAATCCTGGAGAAACTTTTCTGATCACTGCGGGATTTACATAAGTATTCAAGGCCAAGATGAAAGCAAAATTCTCTAGCCAAAATACCGTTGATCTGATCAGTCTGAAATTATCTGTTCTAATGAACGAAACCAGCATGTGTGCCTTATCAATGCTGCTTATCTCGCAGGGGCAGACAACCTGGAAACTGTGTTAGAATAGATCCTCAAATAAGAAACATTCAGTTAAAATGATGGGCTGCCTCTTGACACTGTGAATGTTTTGCTGCGTTCAGACATCAAAGGAAAACTGTCATGAACATCAGGTAAAGGCAGCAGAAAAGGAAGCACAGTTTGGTGTTTGTTTCATTACACAGCTCCCAAAGGGGACAATCGAATACTAAGCGGCAAAAAAGTTGTGGGAGACGGCCTCTCTCCAACCGGAATGTCCAAAGACACCTGAGTGCCGAAAATTCCCCCATACTCAACGTCTGAATTCTCCCCTCTGCCCTCTCCTCTTCGTCGGAAGAAAATCCGCTAACAATCCCATGCCTGACCAAGTGGGAAAAGCTTTCAACTTCACTCTACTTCGTCCAACCCTCGGGATAACGCACTCCCAGATCCCGACCTCCCCTTGAACCTGCCCTCTGAGATCTTCTAGTTTCTCCCGAGGGTCCCTCAGAAAACCCAGCCCGTTCCTCCCCACTGCCCCTTAACCCCTTCCCCTGCCCCAGGCCCCGTCCGCGCCCCAGCGCAGACCATCACCCGCCGCCTCCCCGACCCCCTTCCCGGAGCCCTCAACGCTGGCCTGCCCCTCGGGGCCTCCTCCTCGCAACCCCACGCGATGTTCCTCCCGCCCGCGGCCCCCTCCCCCTCCCCGCGCCTCACCACTCTCCCTCAGCAGCGCTCCCGCGAGCAAGGCCGCGCCCCCCAGGCGCTCGCCCTCGGGGGTCCCTGGCGGAGGGGCCCCTAGGCCCACCACGCCCCCGCGGATAAAGGGTGACGCAGCGGACCCCGCCCCTGCCCCGCGGGCCCGGCCGCCTCGCTCACCCACACGAAGAGGCTGTCTGAGAGCAGGTACTGGGCCACATCGCGGGCCCGGGGTCCCCCGGCGCTCGGCCGGGCGGGCGCCGGCGGCTCAGGCTGCAGCGAGGCCGTTAGCTGGTCCGGCTCGCCGGGGCCGGCCTCGGGCTGGCTGAGCGCGCGGTAGGCGCTGATGATGGTGCCCAGCAGGGCCAGGCCGCTGAGGCCCGTGTAGGTGCGGAGGCTGGGCCAGGGGAAGCGCTCGAGGAAGAGCAGCGGCATGGCGGCAGCGGCGACCTCTGGCCCCCAGGCTTCCCTGCGCTGCGGCCGGGCCTCTGCGGCGGCCTCGCGAACGGCGCCCACGGGCTCTGGCGTCGCTGCCGCTGCCGCTGCCGCCGCCGCCGCCGCGCCGGGCCGGGCCGGGCCGCTCCTGGCTGCTGGCGCCGCTCCGCCCCGCGCTGCTCCCGCTGCTGCCCCTGCCGGCGCGGAAGAGCCTGGGCGGGCTCGGGACAGGCCGCCGCCCCCAGCGGGACGCTGGCGGGACGGGCGCAGGGGCGCGGCCTTCGTCCCCCGCCCCCAGCGGTCGCGCCGCCGCCTAGCGGGCGTAGCCCCGGGCCTCAGGCCGGGGGGCGGGCACCCAGCATCATCCGCCGTCCGCACCACGGCTTGGCTGGGCCCGCAGACACAGAGGGCACCTGCTCCGGCCGCGGCGCAGGGGTCACTCGGGCTCGCAGGCGCTGGCAGGCGGGCAGGGCCTCAGGGCGCGGGGCACCCTGGCCACCAGGCCGTCGGCCACTTGCCCCCCCCCCACCCCATTAACCCTCTGAAGAGGTTACCCCCAGCACTCCTAGGGGCCGCGCAGCTTCCCTGGTGCCCGAAACCCCAGAAGAAAGAATATTAACAGTCTTTCAAGTTTCTGCTGTTTGCTAGTAGCCTCCAGCAGAAACTAAAAAATGAACCTGATTTAGCGGGAAATAAAAATGTGTTCCCTCATACCCCAGAAGTGAGAATGTCAAATGGTGCAGCTGTCTTGGAAAATAACCTGTCCTTTCCTTAAAGTCAAACAAGAGTGACCATTTGACCCAGTAATTCCACTCCTCTAAGAAAAGTGGAAACATACCTCCACACAAAACTTGTACACAAATGTTGATTACATTCTAACAATCAAAAGATGGGAACAACGCTAATGTCCGTCAAGCGATGAGTGGATAAATGTGATACATCCATAAAATGTACTATTCGGCCATAAAAATGAACTACTGATACATGCTACAATAGGAACGAACCTTAAACACGTGCTAAGTCAAAGAAGACAGCCACAAAGGTCCACGTGTTGTGTGATTCCATTGATATGAAATGTCCACAATAGGCAAGTACATATACAGACACAGAAAGTTGATTAATGATTGCTTAGGGATGGGAGGAAGAGGGGAGTAGGGGGTGATAAAGGGTGCAGGTTTCTTTTAAGAGACAGGGTCTGTGGCCCAGGCTAGAGTACAGTGGCATGCTCACTGCATCCTCCATCTCCTGGACTCAAGAAATCTTCCTGCTTCAGTCTCTCCAGTAGCTGGGATTACAGGCGTATGCCACCACACCTGGCTAATTTTTAATTTTTGGTAGAGACAGCGTCTTGCTATGTTGTCCAGACCAGTCTGTGGCTCCTGAGCTCAAGTGATCCTCCCACCTTGCCTTCACAAAGTGCAGGGATTACAGGCGTGAGTCACTGGCTGGGATAGGTTTGTTTTCAAAGTAATGAAAATGTAAAATTGAGGTGATGATTGCCCAACTCTGAATTGAAAAATCATTGTACACTTTAAATAGTTCTATCTCAATATGCGAATTGTATCTCAATAAGCTGTTACCAAAGGAAAAAAATGTTACCTTGGGAGTTTTATTCCTTTTGCATCCCCAGGGCCTGTAAGAGTTCTCAGCCCAGAGTAGGTGCTCTGTAAATATTTGTAGGATTTTCCAAACTTTCTAAAGAAAAGGACCAAATTATCTTTCAAGGTCTTTTTCATGCCTAATATTCTAAAAGTCTATTAACTAGAAAACAAAAGATCTCTCAAGCTTACAATTCCACTTTGGAAATTTTAGAAACATCTTGTTAAAGGGTCTTTGATGAACGTTTGGCTTTACCGGGACAGGGAGAGGCCTTACCTTTGCACACGTGCATTTTTTTAATACAAGGTCTATATGAATACTAGACTTGAATTCACTTTGGTTCTCTTCCCACAGCCATGCAATTAAAATGCTAAACTTTAAACTTTATCAGTAAAATAAAGGAAAGCTTTATTTTGAAAAACTATTGTAATTTTCCAGGGAAGTGTTCTACTTTACAGGTCAAGATCTGAGCCACCATAACTTTTAAACCACTGACTGGCAATCTTTATTCAATCCTAGCCACAGTAGTTCTAAACTGTCACAAACCAAATTTGTCCCATCACCCTTAGAAACAGGCTGCTGTTAACAGATCTGCCCTTATTAAACTTTTAGAAGCTTGAACCTTCTGAAACTTCACATGAATGGGGGAAGTTAACCCAAAAGAACGTAAATCGTTTGTGTTTGGATCTTTTACTAGAATTAGTAATTTTTCTACCATTACTTTTTCCTTTCCCACTCCAAGACACACTCCAAGAAGGTACTTTGCACACCGTTGTTCTCAAGGAAGGACATTTTGGCAATAACCAAACAAGCCTTCTTAACCAATACTTCTAGTTCTTGGTAACTGCATCTTACTCCATGAGAGGACTGGGAAGGAGGCAGGACCCAAAAGGGATGAATGCTTAATGTGCCTGGGGAGACTAGATCAACATACGGGCTACCTGTCAGCTGTGTCCCAAGCCCCAAGTGTGGCAGACAGATGACAGCATCAGACTTTGAGAGGCTGGTCCTGCTTGGACAAGAATCAATAGAGTCCATGATGAAAGCTAGAGGTCCCCCGTCACCACAACCTTGATTTCAGAATAACACTATGCCTTCCAGATTTGAGACTTCAAATAGGTCCTTCATTTCCATTATGACTGATAGACTTAATTTCCTGCCGTCTTTGTGGGATGGTGGTTCTGACTTGGTTTGATTTAAAGGGAATAAAATAATTACTTCAGACAAATCAGTTTGTGTGGAGTAAGATTCATACCTAGATACAATGCTATTTTCATTTTTAAAATATCTGAAGTCCTTTCATATTCATGACCTCATTCACCATCATGTGAGACGGGTTGGGTGGCTTTGTTGTTGCTTAAGATTCTCAGAATCCTAGAAGCTGAACTTCACTATCTAATCCAGTAGCTTTAAATGTATTCCCATGGCATGCTAGTGTTTCATCAGCTGGACCCATGTTCCACAGCTAAATCTAGCAGAGAGAAAAATAACCAACTCTTCAAGTTTTTAGAGGAAAAACTAAACTAATGGATATATTTCCATTTGTAGCTTTTCTTTCATATTTATTTTTCATAGATCTTTGGTGCCTGCTATAAAATACACAAGTAGTAAAGTTTTCAGAAAAAACCTTTCAATTTCTATCAGGTTTCATTCACACTTCTGTTCAGATATAAAGGCTGAAAAGGCTATAGTTTTATCAGACACACATATATTCCCGTATTTTGGGTAAACTTTCTATTTAAGATAACATTGAATTACACAGTATTACATATGCAGCAGGTATGGTGTGTGTCATAGAACATTATGAATTCCAGGCAAGTTTGAGAAAAAAAACTAAAGGAGTCAACCCTCCCTTTACAGATGAGGAAACTCGGACTCAGTCCCCAATGATATGGACTACACACAGTTAACACAACTGTGTAGCAACTTCTAACTTGTGGCCTTCATGTTCCAAATCTAGTGACCCTTTCACACCTCAGGAAACTGAAACACTGCTAACACACAATGGGAGGAGGGAGTGTGTGGGGCACAAGGAGAGGGCAACATCAGTGACCCAGGCCATCAGGCCCTTGCTATTATGCTAAGCTGTCTCTTACCTAAAGGCCCTCGGCCACTCACAGTGACGAACCATGCAAGATTTCTACTAGCACAGTAGGATCAGCAGCCACACATACAGGACTACTATCCCAAAACAATCACAGAGTCATTCTCTTTCAAATATTTTTTATTGAAATGACAATAAAATAAAAAAAGAACAGTGATCACTTTAACCAAACTTACTTTACAAATATAAAAATATAACCAAAACTTGTTTCTTTTATACATTTGCCATAAACGTAATACCAGAAAAGTTCTCAAAACCAAACTATAAATGATGCTTGAATACTATGATGTGAACACAATAACCAAAAGTTTAAATTTCTAAATACATGACCTTTCCCTCAACAGAACAGCATAATCAATATATCTTCCCAACTTATCTCTATTTTTACGATATGATCCATTACTAAGATACAAAATACACCTGAACTGGCCTAATCTAGAGTTACCTAGGTTTTAGTAAGTTTTTTTCCACAAAAACAAGCTTAATAACTATAATACAAGCTAATATTAAAATGTGTTTTATGGCTCAAATCAAATTACAGTATTAGGTTTCTCATCACGATTTGAACAAAAGCAAACTGCTTGAAATGAGTCCAGTTTAACCCAAATAATCAGTGATGTATAACAAGTGAAGTAAGTATGGGAAAATCAAATCTTATGCTACAGAAAGCTGACTTATACTACAGTCAACAACCACTAAGCCTTCTTTGGCAATGAAACATACAAAATTGCAAACTCTGATGCAGTCTCAGTGATTGGCATATACTGTTCCAAACACTATGAACTAGTAAAAACATTAAGTTTGAGGATGGAAAAGCTACCCCAAGCATTTCATCTCAAGTGACTGAACAAGTACTGTAAAAATAAAGTCATTAAAAAGCCGAGAACATAAGAGCACAACATTTAAGAAAGGGAATTTTAAGCCGATTGCTTGCTGGCCTGTTGAATTTGAAGTACTTCTACCTCTCACTTCTAATTAAACATGGAAGAAAACAGACTGGCTAATTTGGTCACACTTTGTCCAAATACAGTGTTAACTTAATGGAACCCTTAAATATCCAAAATAATAAGTGAATGCTATTTATAAGACAATAAAAAGTTTTAAAATCTTCCAAATGTGCTGTTAACAGTACAAATTCAAGTGCAGAATTATTACGCCATTTTAAGTATTATCTACTTTTTTAAAAAATCACAGTGGTCTTCATCACATGGCGAAAAAACAAACTTCACTCTTCTCCAAAGGGATAAGTCCATCCTAAATGTAACTACAAACAATTGTATAAACCTTTATAGTTTTTCCCCCTAATCTACTAAACATATTCCAGTGTCATTTAGTAGTTTTACATAGAATCTGCACTATACTTGGATACTCAGGGAAAATAAGATGACATATATTGTAGTTTTAGAACGCAAAAGAGCTTTCATTTTAGACAAATATACAACATAGAAGCCACTAAAAAATATGGGTCTATTAATCAAGAGCCCATTTCAAAATGATAAGAGCATTTAGTATGTAGATCTGGAATGCACAGTTTCTGGAAGTATTAGAACTTAGTGTTAAACAGTGCCCTTATACCCTCTTCTAATACTGTAGACACCTACCAACCAGATTTGATTTCCCCTAATTCTATTATTTCCATCAGAAAACCAAAAACAGATTATTGGGGATCCACCTGTAACTGACCAGAGCAAAAAGTTTTTAAGACTTCCGTTTGTGTGTTGCAACTTTTACATTCAAAACCAGATCTCTTACATTTCAAGGTTAGTAACCCAGCCATCCTGAATCAAAGGTTTTTCTCAACTAGGCCTTAGTGTATGGATGACTGGCTCACGTACTTACTGTATATTGGGAAGAAGTGAAGAAGTGAGAAGTGAAGAATTTCTTGGTCAAAGTTTAAGTTACAAAGAACATGAGTGGCCTCGAATCAGATGACTCTTCAACTCAAACACTCCTTACTGAGAGTACTTTATAAAACACACAACAAAAGTCTACCTCTCTCCACCCTCCACAAATTGCAAAAGTGAACATCTGAAATGTGGCCACTGTAGCTTTTCCCTCAAAAGCAATCATGGAAGGTGAGCTGAATCAATCCATCTTCATATCCACTTCCTCCAATCTAAAGGAATAGCTGAAGGACGCAGCTAATGGATGAGCTTACCAGCAAAATACATTACATGAGAAATATGCTAATGTAGGCTAGAGGGGTAGGACTGTTAGGGGCAGGAGGGAAAAGGACAATTCACAGAACTAGTGGCTTTTTCAAAGGAAACTGGGGCATTTTTGATCATGGAGACTGGTGCTCACCTACCATGAAGGACATGCACAGTTAGTCACTACTTAACCACCATGTGAGGGTTTGACATGACCCCAACTAAAAAAACTTGAGTGTTTATTAATTGCTCAGCTACACTTGGCCTGATTTCCTCAAGTATCATATACCTTTGACATCACCCAATATTCAGGAAAATAGCCCTGTGACTGGCACCATACTAATCAAAAGTTCATTTCTATTAAAAACCCTTTTTTCCTTAAGTAGCTACATCTGGCAAGATTCCTTTTTACATTAAGCCTATAGTCAACAAGTCTGTAATAAGGCATACATGCTATACTTTGATCATTAAATAATGACACAACCAGCAAACTCCTTTGCTCTAATATTTTTTATTCCCCCAAATTTGATCCGAATTTATCAGTATTTTTTAAAGTTTTTAAAATTTCGTTTTTCTCTTAACCTGAGAAAACCTGTCCTCTGCCTTGCCCCCAGTTTTCGGTTGATTCACATTATTCCAAAAATATTTTTGAAGGCTCTGTCATTTGCTAAAACCAAATTTTCTTCTCTATGTACACAACTTCAAGTTAATTGAATATTTGTGCAATCTCAGAGTTCAAAACCTAATACATCCAATTTTAGAAATTTCCTTCACAGATCCCTATTTTTACCATGGCTTTAAGAATAAGACACATAATTTCGCAACAGCACAAATAATTAATACCCCCATTATGTGAAGAAAACTCTGAGCTCTAAATGAGTCTCTTCTTATACCAATTCCTATGACTACTGATCGAGCCAATTTTAATAGTTTCCTGTATGTTTAAGGTCTGTTGCTTGCAAACCAAGGCCTGGATGGTTATAAAATGTACTGGTCAGTGAATTATACTGGGAGTTCTCTGCAACACAATTCATTTAGGAGTTGCACCTTGGACTCACTCAGATAAATATAGTTTTCAGAAGTAATGGAAGCTCTTCATCACAAAAATCTAATACAATCTTGGAGTATGTGCCCAAGAATGGTATCAAAGCAAGGGTCCAATAAACTTGACTGACTTAAACCTGTCATTGTGTTGCAACATTCACCATCCTAAGGTGGGGGGAAAAATGATCCTCACCTATAAGAATTTTAGAAGTTTAATGAGAAATTAAAATAAAAAAAGTCCATTTTCTTTAATGTTGTACAAAAAAGTATGAGCAGAACCGAAAGTAAATAAACATTATCACATTTGTTTACACCACTATCTAGTTCTTCATATTAATTTTACTATTCAAACAATAGAAAGGTGGCAATTTAGGGATCGCAAAAGAGATAAAACCAAAAAAACTTTTCTACCACATTTATTCTACACTGTATATAGCTGTGCTCACAGAGACAAGCGGCTTCTTTTACTTCTCCACTGCGCAGGAATTCAGTTGTAAATAAAATTGAACCTGAATTTTAAAAAGAACAATACCTTTATTAAAGACAGTACATACTACTTTCCATATTAGATAAATAAATTTATCTGGATGTTTCTGCCCTCCCTTAGCATGTCTGGCATTTTCTTTTTTTCCCCTTCGAATGCCTTTTTACCACGTTTGGCATTTTCTACACCAATTTTCCCTCACTGGTCACATCTTACACACTAAAAACACTTGTTGAATACTTATAATAAAAAAAATTAAGACTATAAATTTGATTAATTATCCACTAATAAGTTCTTTAAGGCAGGAAAAGTTTCTACATGTCCTTATACTCTGACTACTCAGCACAGTTCCTGCACTTGACAAGTAGGTGTTTGAATAAATAATATGACTCTTTTCCCCCCATATGCATTTCAACTTGTAACCTATCAGGAGGCCAAAGTGGAGTGGCAAAAGATAAGGTTTGATTAGTGACGAAGTAGAAAGAGCAATTTCATACTCAATAAGCTTTCACAAAAGGCCAATTTCACTAACATTTATTAAGTATGTACCAGATTACTGGCACTGTTGTAAGCATTTTATATGCATTATTTCACTTGGTCCTCATAATCCTCTGAAGTAGAGACTACTATCCCCATTTACAGAAGAAGAAACAGTCAAATAGGTATAATAGTTTGTTCAAGGTCACACTGCCAGCAAGTACTGAGGTTGGGCTTCAAATCCAAAACACTGACTGCAGAATCTACTTTCATAACCACCATGTTATTCTGCAATTCCTATATATGGCTGGCTCTAATAGAGACCTCAACCAGTACAAGTCAACTTTTAAAAAACTGCATTTCTTATCACTCTAACTGCCTAAAGATTCAAACCCCACGTAAAAGTTCAGGACCTAATCCCACAAGCCTCAATTTGGGCCAAAATATAGTAAGTTTCAAAAAAGGAAAACGAATATATTACACCAAGATATTCGATTTGCCACCTTTTTTTTCTTTTTTTTAGATGGAGTCTCACTCTGTCGCCCAGGCTGGAGTGCAGTAGCGTGATCTCAGTTCATTGCAACCTCTGCCTCCCGGGTTCAAGCAATTCTCTGCCTCAGCCTCCCAAGTAGCTGGGATTAAAAGCGCTGGCCACCACGCCTCACTAATTTTTGTATTTTTAGTAGAGATGGGGTTTCACCATCTTGGCCAGACTGGTCTCGAACTCCTGACCTGGTGATACACCCCCGCCTCAGCCTCCCAAAGTGCTGGGATTACAGGCATGAGCCACTACATCCAGCCAATTTGCCACATTTTAATACAGACAACTCCGCTCATATTTACACACTGTTGACTGCTATTTAACCATCTCTTTTTTGAATAAAGACATCAACCTTAACTCTTGAGAATATCAGAATTAGGGAAGAGCAGTTGCACAAATACCAGAATGTCATGCCGAAACTTAAGAGTCTGGGGATGGTATTAGTCACAATTAATCTATGGCTTGCACATGATCTAAGAGTCTATCTACTTTCTTAGTTTCCTTAAAGACCAAAATTCATGAACTATACCTTCCCAAGTGGCTCAGAATATTTTAAATTTGACAGTTAATATGGATGAACCAAAAAATGTTCAACTTTCTGTACCTGCTCAACAGCTGAGGGAGACTAGAAATGATGGGTCCATATCCTGGTGCATTGTCATACAATTCAAACAATGGTGCAGCTACCAGCTTGTAATTTTTAGGGACTGCAAACAAGGCTAAAATAAAACAGAATTCATTATTATAAGTTATTATATAATCACTGCTTCCATTTCATTTTTAAATTACCAATTTTACATTTAATAAAAAGTGTAAGAAAAAAGATAATTCTCATTAATACATTTTGGTTGTGTCTTTCAAGGTAGATTTCCTAGCCACAGATTTGAAACTAAAAGCATGGTATACATCTTTAGTTTTACAACAAACCCAAAAGTTCAAGGAACTTTGAGAAAACACAAATAGAGGTATCCTTGAAATTATTCTACAGAATTTTTAGATGGCTACCTTTGAAAACAAAATAACTTACCTTTTTCTTGAAGCTGAACCAGAAACAACTTCTTATGTTCCTTAGGCTTTGTAATATGTGCAGGAATATATGGATACTGAAATTACAAATGAATACAACTTTAATATGTATTCCATGGCTTCATTTCTTTACATGTTTACTCCCCAGTATAGTATAAACTGTTGGGAGAAGCATACTACTTTCTGTCCTCTTTACCAGGACTTATCTAACAGATACACTAGTAAATAAATGCTTTAATGCATATAAAATAACAAGCAGTAAACCAGTCAACCATTCGAGATAAAATATGTAGTCACAGGATTTATAGCTTGAGATACTTAAAACATAATGAAGTCCGATTTTAATTAGTATCTTTAATAAAAGCTTTTTTTTGTTTGTTTGTTTTTTAAGACAGAGTTTTGCTCTTGTTGCCTAGGCTGGAGTGCAATGGCGCAATCTCGGCTCACCACAACCTCTGCCTCCCAGGTTCAAGTGATTCTCCTGCCTCAGCCTCCTGAGTAGCTGAGATTACAGGCATGCGCCACCATGCCTGGCTAATTTTGTATTTTTAGTAGAGGCAGGGTTTCTCCAGGCTAGTCTTGAACTCCCGACCTCAGGTGATCCACCTGCTCTGGCCTCCCAAAGTGCTGGGATTACAGGCATCAGCCACCATGCCCAGCCTAAAAGCTGGTTTTTTAAAAATATATATATAGGCTGGGCACAGTGGCTCACGCCTGTAATCGCAGCACTTTGGGAGGCCAAGGCAGGCGGATCATGAGGTCAGGAGATCAAGACCATCCTGGCTAGCACAGTGAAATCCCGTCTCTACTAAAAATACAAAAAATTAGCCAGGCGTGGTGGCGGGCGCCTGTAGTCCCAGCTACTCGGGAGGCTGAGGCAGGAGAATGGCGTGAACCTGGGAGGCAGAGCTTGCAGTGAGCCGAGACTATGCCACTGCACTCCAGCCTGGGCAACAGAGTGAGACTCTGTCTCCCAAAAAAAAAAAAAAATTATATATATATATATATATATATATATATATATATATATATGATCAGTAAGTTAAACAGTCTAGAATCCTGTTGTAGACCTGTTTACATTAAAAATTCAAATATAAGCTGTGAGGCATTTGACAAGATGCTTCTTGCTCCTCCTTCCAGCCCCAACCTCAAACCTCCCCGTATGCCAAGGTGCATGCTTCAGGAATACCAGAAGAGCAGTCTAAGTGAAGTTTTGCCAGATGGGCAAAGCCAAATTACTCGAGGAAACAAATATAAAAATATATATATAATATATATGTATATTTTAGAGAATTTAAAGGGATGAAGAGAATTAGAGAGGGAAGTTGCTACCCGGGAAGGAAAAATTCTGACACAGAACAAAAAAAAAGTCTAAGGGTTATACAATTCTTGTATAAATCTCTCCACAATACATTCAGAAATCTACTTTTGCTGTTGGAGTTGTATCTGAGAGCTGGGGAATTTAAAATTGCTGAAAACAGATATAAGGGGAAAGTGAGATAAAAGCAGAAGCTGCCAAAAGGAGGTATTAGCATCATCCTCAATTTACACAGAATCACATGCTAAGAGAGGCTAAGTATCTTTCCCAAGATTACTCAGCCAAGTTGTGAAGCCAAGATTTAACTGTATCTATTCAACTCTTATCTAATTATAAAAGCCTATGTTATTTCCCACTGTGTTACTCATTGGCACCTAACCAGTATTCCAGTTAGAATAATTATATATCAGAGCCATCCCTAGGGTACAATGAATTGAGGCAATTGTCCCAGGCTTTGGAGGTTCCTTAAACTGTCATGAAAACCAGATACATTAACAGTCACAGAGAAAGTGGCCTGAATAGCACAAGCTAAGAGATCTGTGGATCACATACAATAAAAGTTCCCAAACCATGATCAAACAAAATGAGTAGCATTTCCCCAAATTTCTTCTGCTCAAGGCTACATGTTCCTATTTTTTTAAGCCTTTCTTCTCTGGTCTTAATGTTTAAGTTGACTGTACTTTATACAAAAAGACTGAGATAGGAAGATGATATGCTCCTTTTCCACTGACATCTAACTAATACTCTAGGCTTCCTAAATAAATCAATACACTTACCTTATGTCAAATACCACCAGGGCCAACTCTAGGCCTTACTGAATGAAGAGAACTGTCCTAGGACAGTGGTAGGGGAGATGAGTGAAGATATTCAGAAAAGTTATCTGGAAAACCACTGGGGTCACTACTAAGCATTTTCCAATTAGATCAAGGCATGTTCAGGAAGCCAAAAAAAAGTTTAGAATAACTGTACTATGTATCTTTGAACAAGTAACTTCACTGTTTCCATATGAAATTGTTCTTCCTTAAAGCCAAGATGTGTTCCTGGCAATTCTTAGGTAGTGAACACCAGCATCAGCTTCCACAGCCCCTATCTTCTTGTCCCTCTGCCATACAAGGGAGTCAGAAGCAAGAGAAAAGAACGATCTTTTGCTTGGTTGATATTTTGTGCAATGCTTGACCTGAAACATCTTGTCATGTAAAGGAGCTATAAAGTCATAGGGCTTTTTAATTTGCCTAAAGAATTCAGGATCCAACTTTAAGAAGTTCCACCATTAGCAAAAATAGGAATATTTGAGCATCAGTAACATCATCACTCATTATCATGGATTAAAATATTTCAAATTATTTAAATCCAAAAGGTCATACTGACACTTTAAAGGTCACTGAAACATGCTTTTTGTGTGTGTGTGCCCCACATTACGCTACCTCTGATTTCGGGGCAGCTATGTTTGAAAAGTATCAGAGGGTTCCCTGTTTGCTGCCACTGTCTCAACAAGCACTCAAGACTCAACATGGAAATGCAAGGGAGTTCATGCAACCCTTATCCAATGGGGTATAGGAGTCCCTACATGGTTCCTGGTCCTTAACAGAACAAATCCAGTTGCCCACAGGTGTAAAAAGATCAATAACATGCCCTGTCTTACTTCTGCTGCTTCTGGTCTCTCTCTCCCCTGTATTCTGCTGCTTCCTGGAATCACCTCTCAAACTGCCTGTACCCAAGTCTTGGTCTTACCCTCTCTTTTGAATAAAGTCAAGTCTTTAGAGGATGCTAAGGAATTAAGTCATTCTTCTGAAAAATGTTAAGTAAAGGAATAGCAGCATATTTTTTTTTTCTACACAAACCACACACTTCAGTAATACATAAGTTTCTTTTTATATGAGGATCACAACCCTTATGAATTCATAGACCAGGAAATGATCATCAATGAGCTGCTAACATTACAACAAGAAACAACCAAATATTTTTAAATTCCTGATGGAAGTACACTATACCAATTGTGATAGACTGCCTTAAGATGACCCCCAATGATTCCTGTCTCCTGGTATTCACTGCTTTGTGTAGTCCCTCCTATAGCGTACCAGGGTTGGCTTGTGTGACCAATAGCACACAGCAGAAGTGATGGTATGCCACTGCCAAGATTAGGTTATCACAGACTGAGGCTTCCTACTTGGGCACTCCTCTAGCACTCTGTCTCTCACTATCTCTTGGATCACACAGCCTTGGGTAAGCCAGCTGCCTGAGAGTTGTCCTTTTAGAGATGTTCTCATGGCAAGGAACTGAGGGAGACCTTGAGACAACAGCCAGCAACACCTGAAGCAAAGCTTTAGTCTAACAGCCCAGATGAAACTAAGAAGTTTGCTAACACACACACGTGTAAGCTCGGGATCAGATACTTTAACCCCAGTTCCACCTTATGATGCAGTCCCAGCTGACAACTTGACTGTAACTTCATGACAGAGCCTAAGCCAGAACCACCCTAAGCAACTCCCAGAGGCCTAAAGGCTGCTAAATTTTGAGGTAATTTGTTATGCAGGTATAGATTATATACCGCCTATGACAAGCCTTGTTACCCCTCCCCAAATTAACTGAGCCTGAATACAATTTCTAGATCTAACTATCAATTTGCAAGACACACAGGGGAAACAGCTACATATTCAACAACAACAGGGGAATGCAATCGAAATGGAAACATTAGCCTGTTTTCATTAACAAATAAAACACAAGGAAAAAAAAAAGGTGCCAAGTGTGTAAAAGAGACTTTAGAGACTATCCTAATCCAAACAAATTATAAAAAGAAAATAGAAATAATCAGGATACGCGAACAGTGACTATATATTTGACAATAATATGGAATTGTTTATTTTTAGTATGATAATAACAGTACTATAGTTATCTTTTTAAAGAGATCCTTATTTTTATGATTCACACTGAAATATTTACAATTGAAATGAATAGCTAGGATACACTTCAAAATAATCCAAGATGAGGGTAGGAGAATGAAGCGGTGGAATGAGGGGTTGTGATGTGCTAACTGTTAAAGGCAGACGACGGGTAGCGCAATTCATTCACTTTTACCATTCTCTCTTCTTTTGTATTTGTTCTATTTATTTATTTATTTTTTGAGAAGGAGTCTCACTGTTGTCCAGGCTGGAGTGCAATGGCACAATCTCGGTTCACTGCAACTTCTGCCTCCCAGGTTCAAGCAATTCTCCTGCCTCAGCCTCCGGAGTAGCTGGGATTACAGGCTTGTACCATCAAACCCAGCTGATTTTTACATTTTTTAGTAGAGACGAGCTTTCACCATGTTGGCCAGGCTGGTCTCAAACTCCTGACCTCAACAGGTGATCCACCCGCCTCGGCCTCCTGAAGTGCTGGGATTACAGGCATGAGCCACCTCGCCCGGCCTTGTATTTGTTTTACATTTTCCTTTAAAATAAGAAGTGCTTGGCTTAATTTTGTAATTTAAATTAAGGAGGGAAGAAAAGAAAATTTCAAGTCAAATTCTACTTTAATCTTTTTTAAAGTGGCTAGAATTAAACGAGCTTTCTGCTTCCAAAATGCCCAGCAAATGTAACTGAACACTGACCTGAGGAGGTTCAAAATTTGGTCTCCACCAGTTACCAATGCAATCGTCAATGACCCAGTCTTGCAAAACTCCATCCTGACGACCCAGTATCTGTCAAAAAGAAATAAGCCAGTAAACAACTAAATATATGTACTCACAAATCCCCTTCTTCAGTGAACAGAAAATTCTTAGCAGTGCTCCTAATTGAAACATAGGGATAATATGCCTTCCATACAGATTTTCTATGATTTGTTAATATAGATGTCACTCTGCCCAAGACATACAATATTAGTTCAAAACTGGCAAGCTAGTATCAACATAAAAATTGTGTTCAAAATTCAGCTTTCATTTTTATTAATTTGTATAGCAGAACACTAAACTTATTTTAACCAAAGTCATACTCTACATATTTTAAGTGGCCAAAAATAGTTCTACAATGTTCATGGTGAGAAACTGCAGTTCTCTGTCCTGCTTCACCCATTCCCACTGGCTGTAACTTTCAACTCTTGGTTGTTTTTCCCCTCATGTTTTCTTCTATTTTTAAAAGCATTCTTCTTGGTCTTAAATAAACGGTTTATTTTAGGATAGTTTTAGATTTACAGAAAACTTGCAAAACTTGTTCAGAGACTTCTCATATACCCCACACAGTTTCCCCGACTGTTAACATCTCACACTAGTAAAGCACATTTGTCAAACTAATCAACCAATACCAAGACAAGATTATTAACTGAAGTCCATATATTATTCAGATATCCATAGTCTTTAACCTAATGTCCTTTTTCATTTTTCAGTCCCAGGATCCCATCTAAGATACCATATTACACTTAATCTTCATTTCTTCCGAGGTTCCTCTACATTGTGACAGCTTTTCATACCTTCCTTGTGTTTGATGATCTTGATAGCTTTGAGGAATACTGGTCAAGTATTTTGTAAAACATCCCTCAATTAAATTGAAGTTATGAGCTTTTGGGAAGAAAACTACAGAGGTAAAAGGGCCATTCTCATCACGTCATATCAAAGGTACATGCTATATCAATATGGCTTATCACTAATGGGCTGAGGTACTGTTTATCACGTTTCTTCAATGTAAAGTCATATTTTTCAAAAAAAAAATTTTTTTTTGAGACGGAGTTTTGCTCATTGCCCAGGCTGGAGTGCAATGGCGCAATATCGGCTCACTGCAACCTCCACCTCCCAGGTTCAAGTGATTCTCCTGTCTCAGCCTCCGGAGTAGGTGGGATTACAGGCACATGCTACCATGCCCAGCTAATTTTTTGTCTTTTTAGTAGAGATGGGGTTTCACCCTGTTGGTCAGGCTGGTCTCGAACTCCTGACCTCAGATGATCTGCCCACCTCACTCTCCCAAAGTGCTGGGCTTACAGGCATGAGCCACTGCACCGGGCCTCAAAACTACATTTTTTAAGAGATAGGGTCTTGCTCTGTCACTCAGGCTGGAGCACAGCGACGCAATCATGGCTCACTACAACTCCTGGCCTCAAGCAATCTTCCGGCCTCAGCCCCACAAAGCACTGGGATTACAGGTGTGAGCCACCATGCCCAGCCAAAATATTCTTTTATGACAGTTTCTTGATTTTCATTTTATTTTATTTTATTTTTTTGAGACAGAGTCTCGCTCTGTTGCCCAGGCTGGAGTGCAGTGCCGCAATCTTGGCTCACTGCAACCTCCACCACCCAGGTCCAAGCGACTCCCCTGCCTCAGCCTCCCGAGTAGCTGGGACCACAGGTGCCCGCCACCACACCCAGCTTTTTTGTATTTTTAGTAGAGACAGGGTTTCACCATGTTGGCCAGGATGGTCTCGATCTTTTGACCTTGTGATCCACCTGCCTCGGCCTCCCAAAGTGCTGGGATTACTGGCGTGAGCCACTGCGCCTGGCCTCTTGATTTTCATTTTAAAAACATTTTTTAAAAGCCTATAACCCTCTACTATGAATGAGAATTTAGATATTAAAATCACACATCCTAGTTACACTTTTTCTTCCACCATCTTCCCATTATCAATATTTGGTTAAGTCAATATTCAGTATTTAAGTTAGTATGATCCGGTAGATCAGTCACAACAGAGCAATGATTAGCAAACCGTATCTCCTTACTTGTTCAACTGTCCTATTCTTTAGTTAATAACTTTCATTTCCTTTGCTATCACTAAATTCATTTCCCACATTCTCCATGATAACTTAAATTTCTTCCCAATTCAAATATCAATTGTCAGTTATTCTATTAATTTCATCTTTTCTAAGACATGTTTTTCCTTTTTTCAAGACAAGATCTGTCACCCAGGCTGGAGCGCAATGGCGCGATCTCCACTCACTGCAACCTCCACCTCATGGGTTCAAGCGCTTCTCTCACCTCAGCCTCCCCTGCCCCCAGCCTCCCGAGTAGCTGGGACTACAGATGCAAGCCACAGCACCAGGCTAATTTTTCACCATGTTGCCAAGGGTGGTCTCAAACTCCTAGGCTCACGTGATCTGCCCATCTCAGCCTCCCAAAGTGCTGAAATTGCAGGCATGAGCCACCACACCCAGCCTAAGACACGTTTTTCTATCATCCTGCTGTAATCTGTACTTGATAGTCTCAACCCTGCTTCACAGCTGGAGTCCTTATTTTATTCCATTTTGGGGGTGAACACCCTCTAGTAGCTTCCTGAGAAAAGGTACAAGAGATGTAACTTTTTGAAACTCTGCATGTCTAGAAGTAACTTTTACCCACACACTTGATTTATAGTTTGATTAGAAAATTCTAGGACAGAGATTATATTCTCTCAAAATTACAAAGACAACACTCCACCATCCCTTAGCTTCCAGAATTATTTCTGGGTAGTTTAATGCAATTTCTGATTTTGATGTTTTGCATTTAACCTCTCTGCTTACCAATCCTCCACCTCCCACTTTGGAAGCTTTTACATCTTTTTGTTTTTATTTTCGTTTGTAGGATCTAAAACGTCATGATGATATGCCTTTGCGTGGATCTTTAAACATTCACTATAGAGGCAAGGCCAGTAGGTCTTCTCAATCTCAAAACTCATGCCCTTTGAGGTTTGAGAAATTTTCTCTAATTATGCTTTGCTAATTCTTCCTTTTACTCTGTTCTATTTATCTATAGTTTATATTGGTCCTTCTAGAATGACCCACTAATTTTATCTATTCTTACCTACATTCTATCTTTTTATCTTTTCATTCTATTTTCTGGTAGAATGAACCTCTTAACTCTTTACTGAATTTTTCATTTCTTCCAACATTTTTTTAATATCCATGAGGTTTTTCTTGGCTAAAATGTCTTTTTAATAGCACTGTTTCACAGGTGCAAAATCTCCTCTCATCTCACCAAGAATATTAATCATAGTTTTGTCAATGGTTGAATTTTCTGCTTCTGTTGAGGTCCTTTTGCTTCTTTTGATCTTTTTCTTGTTAAGAAGTTTTCTCCAAAAGCCTGGTGATAGTTGGTTGTGTACTCACAAGGGAGAAGCAACAAGATGCTTAATTGTCACCTCTGTGTGCATGAGTGATAGGACTACAATATTTTTTTTTCTTTTTTTTTTTTGAGACGAAGTCTTGCTCTGTTGCCCAGGCTGGCGTGCAGTGGCATGATCTTGGCTCACTGCAACCTCCACCTCCTGGGTTCAACTGATTCTCCTGCCTCAGCCTCCCGAGTAGCTGGGATTACAGGCACCCGCCACCACGCCCAGCTAATTTGTTTATGTTTGTAGAGACGGGGTTTCACCATGCTGGTCAGGCTGGTCTCAAACTCCAGACCTCATGATCCACCCGCCTTGGCCTCCCCAAGTGCTGGGATTACAGGTGTGAGCCACCGCGCCTGGCCCAGGACTACATTATTTCTATAGAAAATTCTTGCTTTGGTTTGGATATGGTTTGTCTCCCTGCCCCCAAACTCATGTTGAAATTTGATCCCCAATGTGACAGTGTTGGCAGGCAGGGCCTAGTGGAAGGTGTTTGAGTCATGCAGGTGGATCCTTCATGAATAGTTTAATACCCTTCCTCCATCAGGAATGGATTAGTTCCCTGGAGAGAGGGTTGTTAAAGAGTGTGGCTTCCTGGATTCACTCTTGCTTCCTCCCTTGCCATGTCTCTTTGCACATGCCCACTCCCATTTTGCTTTCTGCCATGAGTGGAAGCACCATGAAGCCCTCACCAGCTGCCCAATCTTGCCACCAGAACTGGTGAGCCAAATAAATCTTTTTCTTTATAAATTACCCAGCCTCAGGTATTCTGTTATAGCAACATTAAACAGACGAAGACAGCTCCCAAATGGCAGTATCTGAAGTTTTTCTTGGACTGGTCACTTTTTCCAGAAACAAGAATTCCAACCCTCAGCCTGGGATATATAAATCTAATTGTTGGCTGGGCCTGGTGGCTCATGCATGTAATCCCAATGCTTTGGGAGGACTGCTTCAGGCCAGGAGTTTGAGACCAGCCTGGGCAACATAGCACGATCTCATCTCTATAAAAAACTTTTCTTTAATTAGCCAGGCATCATGGGCACATACCTGCAGTCCTAGCTACTCAGGAAGCTGAGGCAGGAAGATTGCTTGAGCCCAGGAGTTTGTGGTTACAGTGAGCTATGATCACACCACCATCCTCCAGCCTGAGGAACAGAGTGAGACCCTGTCTCTAAAAAAAATAAGTAAGCCTAGACTGACAGTGGCTCACACCTGTAATCCCAACACTTTGGGAGGCCAAAGCAGGCAGATCACCTGAGGTCAGGAGTTCGAGACCAACCTGGCCGACACGGTGAAACCCCATCTCTACTAAAAATATAAAAATTAGCTGGGCATGGTAGTGGGCACCTGTAATCCCAGCTACTCTGGAGGCTGAGGCAGGAGAATCGCTTGAACCCAGGAGGCAGAGGTTGCAGTGAGCAACCATTGCTCACATTGGAGATCACGCCACTGCACTCCAGCCTGGGCGACAAGAGTGAAACTCCGCCTCAAAAAAAAAAAAACAAAAACAAAAAAAAAAAAAAACAAGCCTAATTGTTAACATTCTGTCAGCCTAATAGAGGTCCAAGAGTCTGACTATTCAGAATAGGAACTCTTATTCTCCCCATCCCCTAAACTTTTTTCATTGCTAGTTGTTCTCTGATTCAATTACTACAGAGAATCATCAGCCAGTCTTTGCCTAATTACAGAGTGGGGAAGACAATCTAGATACACAGGTTGAACATCCCAATCTGAAACTCCAAAATCTCAAACTTTTTGAGCACTGACATGATGCTCACAGGACATGCTCAGGCCGGGCGTGGTGGCTCATGCCTGTAATCCCAGCACTTTGGAAGGCCAAGACAGGCAGATCACCTGAGGTTAGGAGTTCTAGACCAGCCTGGTCAACATGGTGAAACCCTGTCTCTACTAAAAATACAAAAATTAGCTGGGCGTGGAGGCAGGCACCTTTAATCCCATCTACTCGGGAGGCTGAGGCCGGAGAATCGCTTAAACCCGGGAGGCGGAGGTGACAGTGAGACAAGATTGCACCATTGCACTCCAGCCTGGGTGACAAGAGAGAGACTTCGTCTCAAGAAAAAAAAAAAGGAAATGCTCATTGGAGCATTTCAAGTTTTGTATATGGGATGCTTAACTGGTAAGTATAATGCAAATATTCCAAAACCTGAAAAAAATCCCAAATCCTAACCACTTTTTTAATTTTTAATTTTTTTGAGTACACAAGATGTTTTGATACAGGCATGCAATGCGTAATATTCACATCATGGAGAATGGGATATCCACCCCCTCAAGCATTTATCCTTTGTGCTACAAACAATCCAATTATACTCTTTTAGTTATTTTTAAATTTACAATTAAGTGATTATTGACTATAGTCACCCTGTTGTGCTATCAAATAGCAGCTAAACACTTCTGGTCCCAAGCTCTCAGATAAGGAATACACAACCTGTATAAATATACTCCATATATACTTTGAACCAGTCCAGTTTTCAGCCCATGCATGCCCCCACTTTCATAAGTACCTAGCACCTTCAGTTCCTCAGTCATTCTGGTACTCTGCAATGCTAGATTCTGCCTGCCTGTCTGCTGGACTAAGGTTTCTGCTAAGTTAGTTATAATTTGCCCATCTGTTTTCCAGTTTCCAAAAATTTTGCTTTTGTGATTCTCTCATTTTGCACTCCCTCAACCTTAATGGACTTATATCTTTGTACCATACATTATATAAATGGAAGTCCAAGCACAGGAAAATGTTTAAGAGTTATAATACATTTTTAGAAATACTAGAAAGACAAACCAATAGGTCAAAAGTGGGAGAATTACGGGTGACTTTAGTTTTGTTTCTCCTTTGCTTTTCTGTGTTTGCCAAGCTTTTTGCACAGAGAATATATGAGCTTTGTAACAGGGGCAGGCGGCAATTGAATGTTAAAGAAGAAAACTAACATTGAAAACAATTTACAATCTCAAAATCCTCAGTATCTATGCATTTGGCCCCAAGTCTTTACATGCAGGCATTACAATGATTTTTAAAAAGTAGAATAATTTGGGCAAAGTCTAAAAAATATGTGAAAAAAGTGAAAACACAGGCATCTTTCTCTTTTCAAAATTCTATAGAGGCCTACTCTTGAACAAAACTACCTGCATTCAAACCTCTGGCTCTACAACACACTAGCTATATAACAAGAAGTAATTTAAACTTAATAATATCTACTTCCTACAGTTGTGGTGGTGATTAAAGGAATTAGCGCATGTAAAGCACTCAGAACAGTGTCTAGCACAGTAATACTTAAATGTCAGTTTTAATTTACCATTGCTGTGACACAGTTTAACATTTTAAAAATTGAAATAAGTGTAACTTCAACTTGTAAAAAAAAATCAACATTGTACTAACCTTCTGGAGTTTAAGTTGTATTTATTGAAAACTAAATATTCCAAAATAAGCATCCTTTTTACAAGACATTAAAAGCCAAATAACTAGTAAGTTGATGGTATTCAAAGTGGTTAAACAGAAAAATACCTCTGTCATTAAGCGTTTTAGTCCTTCAACTTCATCTTCTCCTGGGTTAAGTTCACCACCAGGTCTGTATAAAAGTTAAGAATTTCAGCTTTCAACTTAATACAATTTGGAGATAACAAATAACACAATAATTGTTATTTCTACCAAGTCACTAAGAACATATTTCAGCATAATAAGGCAATCAAAACAAGTATCAAAGTGAAGGGGGAGAATATGCTTGAATTCATGTCAATTCCCCAGACTAACAGTATACAAACCCTAGGTTTTTTTCCTCTTCGTATATATTTATTTTTATTTTATTGTAGATTCAACGGGTACATGTACAAGTTTGTTACATAGGTATATTGTGTAATGCTAAGGTTTAGGCTTCTAGTGAACCCATCACTGAAACAGTGAACATAACATCCAATAGGAAGTATTTCAACCCTCGCCTCCCCCTCACCCTCCCCACCTTTGGAGTATACAGTGTTTATTTTTTCCAACTTTATGTCCATATGTACCCATCACATAAACCCTAGTTTTAAACAAACAGAATATATAACATAGCACAAACATAAACAAAATTGCTAACCACCAGTCCATCCCAATCTCCTCTCTGGGAGCTATCTGATGATAATGGAGTCTAGAAATGCTCAGAGAGGAATGGATCACATTCTTTAGGCCTAAAGAATGGGAAACTTTTTCAAGAACGTCATCTAAGTATTGGAGACTTTTCTTTTTGGTATAATCTAGTCAAATAGTTACGGATCAAATGTTTGAGAGATGTAGGAGCTTAAATGATAAAACACTAAACTGTTATCCACAAAAACCTAAGTCATCTTAAGAACAGGAAATGCTAATCATACCAAGAAAGAAATATCAATTGTTCTTGGTAATGCTACAATGACATCTAGACATTGATCTTGGACTCAACTATTCCATGGGGTTTCTACCAAGCTCAATCATTAACATCAACAACATACAGAAACATACAGATTACTAGTTAGGAAAATAAATGAGCACTGCAATGGAGAAAAATTACTCATGATTTTCTCTTTCTAAAGACATCATTAACAGCAGTGTTTGTTGAAATGAATGACCGAGGGCTAAAATTGTATTCCAGAGCTGCATAAACAGCAATCCTACTAAAAACTGTCTTGCTGTTAATTTCCAACACTACTTACAGTTTGAAGAAAGTTGTTCCCAGCTGCAGCAGTAACACATGGGGTAGCCGGTGCTCATGTACAATCAGAACCCCTTCTACAGTCCTCCTCATTCCAATTTTATCAAATTCTTCCCTCATGCGCTGAAATCTGGCTGCAACAGAGCTGTCCTTCTCGTAGAGGGGCTCTTTTGTACCAAAAGTATAATTGGTAAGAGGGTACCTGTGATCCGAAGACAAACATCTAACATGAGAACTGAAGAATGTAATTTACCATGACAGACATTAGCATAAAGAAACCATGGTACAAAAAAAGTGCATATATTGTACTCAGACACAGGATTTGTACAGTTAACTAAAGTTAATGAAACAGCAGAGACTGGAATCTTGCTCTCTGGACTCTTAAAGCCAGAGCTTCCATTAGATCAAGCTGCTCCTCCATACTTTAACTTTCAAGTGTAGATAACACTATCCTTAAATGCTTAGAGAAATGGTTATCTGAACATTAGTAATCCTCTGGTTTTATACCATGGCTGCTATTTCAACATTACCAATTTGGCTAATAATTAATGTCCCCCTGCATTCCACTGACTACTAATCTAATCAGAAAGTTTTAATTATGGGTGCTAATGGCTAATTTCTTTTTCCTAAAACTAAGCCACCGTTTTTCATCAACATCCCTCCAGTTATTTTCTATTTCTCTCAGTCAACTATCCTCAGATTTTTCTTGCACCACAGCCTTTCCTTTTCACAGCAACTCTTCTACTTTCTCTTTTTGTCCTCTAAACCTATTTACTAGCCTTTGGCATTTATTCTATTCAGTCTCCTTATTGTTTCCTTCTCCTCATCTGAATCTTCTACCCACCATATCTAATCGAAAACTCTCTTCCTTTACCAATAATTTAAAATATGGCTCAAACTGTTAAAGACAGTTTTCATCTTGCCTAATAAGGATCAAATTTTTCTTTAAAGATAGTTAAAAAATCCATACTTATATGTTGTAAGCCCTTAATTAAAGCCTTACAGCAAGAAGCCTTTGAGTACGAATTTAGGCCACATTTGCCCATCCAAGGTATCTATTCTACCAAAAGCCCTTGACATTAATAGTCAACATTATTGTATCTACCCCACTCAGCCATTCTTGAAAGGGGAAAAAATCAAGGTTGCCAAAACTTTAAAAATTACTTTAATTCCAGAAGCCAAGTTCTAGGCATATGAAAAAGCTCTAAAATAATTAAAATATACCATTCCAGGATGCTTTAAAAATTTAAAGAACATCCCCGGTAGATCCAATGCTAAATCTAAAACCATCATCCATAGCAGCAGCAGATATGCTACATAGAACGACGTGCCAAGCAATTTTTTAAAACGCTTTACATATATTAACATTTAATTCTGACAACCTGAGTTAGAAAGAATTAAGGATAGCCATTACACATCTCTGTTGCAAGAGCCAGCTCCAATATATCAGTAAGGAGATGTGAAGATGAAATGTCAGAATTTTCACCTGTGAAATCAGAGTGCCAGCCCAGACATACATATTGTTCTCATCATACTGTGAGCTTCATAAAGCAGGGGCTACACCTTACTTCCTCACCACTGTATATCCAGTATTGTGCACAGTGCCTGGTACAAAGTAGGCATTCATGCAATATTTCCTAAAATAAAATATACTGGGGGAGAGGGCATTTGTTTTCAACTTAATGTTAACTCAGGTGAACTTAAGTTCACAACACAATTATTATTTCTGAATATTTGTATTTACACAGGAGAGGAAATGTACTGTAAATCAACCCATAATTTTAATAGAGCGAAGATTAAAATATCTTACTGAAAGCTAACTATTTTGCCAATTCTACAAAATGGTTGGATGCAAATTAATTCAGTAATCAAGACAAAACAAGAAAAGACTGTGGGTTTTAGTTCTAATAACCACCGAAAGTAATCCAGAAGCTGTGCTTTCACACTTTTAAAAAGGATAACATTTGCCTTTACCATTTGATGGATTTTTTCTTAATTTTTAAAAAAATTTTTGTAGAGACAGCCTATGTTGCCCAGACTGATCTCCAACTCCTGGCCTCAAGTGATCCTCCCACCTCAGCCTCCCAAGGTGCTGGGAGTACAGTCGTGAGCCGCCACTCCTGAGAACTTTTATACACACAACTATCAACTAATTCCAGATTTTATAAACCCAGCATTTCCATTATCTAAATTTCCAAGCCAACACGTTTTGCAAAATAAAACAATGTTAACCATCTTTTCAACTTCAAATCACTTTTGGTTGGGGGACGGGGAGACAATGTCCGTTTATTTTAATATGAAACAGAGAAACACCTAAACTGCCTTACGAAAACATCAATACCACCAAATCCTTGCACTTGTACCCTGACTGGCATAAACTGGCCACTTTCCTCCATCCTGGCATAAAATGGAGGCACCGCGTTGCCTCGAAAACAAATCCTCAGAAACGATTTTAAAAAGCATTACTGACAATTTCTTGATTAAGACACCCCAAACGCCAATTACCTGCTACAGCGAGTCTGCTTCTGAGAATGACCTTGAAATGCAATGGTTTGAAGTGTTGAAACAGAAAGGTGTTGAAAATAAAACACAGCCCACAATGGGTTTTCTGGTACAAACATTCTGGTTCCCTCCAGTCTGAAAGCCCAACCATAGCAGCATCCTTACTCCCAAGGAGGGGCCTACTTGTGGTGCCTGGGATGCCGGCATTGAGACATCAGACGACGCGAAGGCATAAGGCATGGGGCAGGGCAGACAGCCCTGAGCACATGAATAAAATGTGTTGTATTCAAAAACTGAAGTATTAAGTGGCACCTAAAAGGAAGAAAACTAGACCTAGGCATTACAGCTAGATCTCGAAACCTTACTGTCAGAGTGAAATCTGCAAAAATGATACTAGGTTATACCATTCGTATCACATCAACACTCACAAAGCAATACCATGTACGTGATGCGAAAGCATAAACAATTCACTGGAAGGATTAAAAAAACACACATTTTGAAGTCGGTTACCTCTGGAGAGGTGGGGAAAGGATGAGTTAAAAGCAAACTCCGTTTTTCCCCATTATGACCGAATACATAGGATGGGAACAAGCCTTCCTTTCAGAAAAGGACTCTAACCCTGGAGGCTGGAGGATGAGAAAGGGGCCTGAGAGAGGGAGGAAGGCGCGCATCCGCCAGCGGGAGTTGGAGGCGGGGAGGTGCAGAGGCGTGAAGCGCGCCGAAAAGCCGGGGGCGCGTCGGAGAGTCTATAGGAGCTTTCACGAGAGAAATGCCCGCCAAGGCCGCGCCGCACTTACAGGTTGATGGTGCGCTCCAGGGTGAGGGGCTTCGTCTGCTGGATGTACTTGTTGCCGAACTGAGTGACCCCCCGGGGCCAGCCGGTCTGCGAGCGATTGGGCGGTACCACAGACATGCTGGCGAGCTCCGGCGCTGACGGCGAGCAGAAAGTGGCAGGCAGGGTAGACTTTCCCCGTGCGGGAAGCGGTTATCTGCAATCCCCTCAGCGGCTACTGCCCGCCATTAACAGGACAGCGCAAGAGGAGGCGTAGGCACGCCGGAAGTGAACCCGGAGCCTCTGGCGGCAGGAAGTAGAGGGGCGGTGGCCTGCCAGACCGAGCTCCAGTGGGCCAATTGCTGGTGGGATGGCTGCAATAGCTGGAGCTCCCATTGGTAAACCGGGTATAGGTTCCGCCTTCTCTTACTTTGGTGCTTCCCATTGGGTAGGGCCGGGAAACACGATAAAGGGGACATGCCGGGAGTTGCAGTACCCTCAGGAAGGTAGCGTCTTGATCTGCGTGGCGTGGTTCTGTGCCTTGGGAAGAGATGAATGGGAAGCGGCCAGCGGAGCCCGGCCCAGCCCGGGTGGGAAAAAAGGGAAAGAAGGAGGTGATGGCGGAGTTTTCGGACGCTGTTACGGAAGAAACCTTGAAAAAGCAGGTGGCTGAGGCCTGGAGCCGCAGGACGCCGTTCAGTCACGGTAACCGGGTGCTCTCAGGGAGGGGCCGCCACGCAGAGGTCTAGGGATCTCTGAAAAAGCCCTGGGACTCGCGCCCAGCCTTGGGCAGCGGGGCCGCAAGGGAAGAGGCTCTTAGAGGACTTTGGCCACCTCCTACTCTCCTGCCTCGGCTGCTGCTCCCTTTCACTCCAAATTCGGTTGCAATTTAGAAACGTGAGAAGAGGGAGAAATGGAGGCCGGAGAGTTTTGGGAAGCAGAGGGTATGCAAGAGATAGTTGCATTCTGGAGTCAAAGATTACTGAGTTAGAATCCTCTCCCCTGATTGGGCGTCGCCAGGCAATGGAATTAACCTTATTAAACTTCAGTTGCTTCCTAAGTAAAATGGGATAGTTCATAATATTTACCTCGGAAAGTCGGTGAATGGGAGCGACACACTAATGCTTGCAGGCTTCAGTAAATGTTTCCCTGAGTAAGGCCCAATACACATGTGGACAAATACAGGAGTGGCTGATGTCATTTCTCCTGCAAGGGCATTGCTCAGCTGTCCCAGGAGAGTCTAGCCAGGGCATTTGTCGTGAGCTGCCAGCTTGACTCCCTAGTGTACTCGTCTCTACGCGCCTGTAGTTTGACTCCATGATGTATGAAAATAAACGCGCTTTGACCAAGGAAAGGCGCCTACGTTGAACGATTCCAGCCTCAGCTTTAAATATCACCTTAGGTGTTCAGAGCTCTGCTTCATGCGCCAGGCATCCCCTTCTAGAGTTTGCCGTAATTTTTCTTTCCGTTGTCAAGTGCTTTGAAGAGGTGAGTCCTGGGTAGGCTGGATGCCTATAGAAAACGATAGCTTAGTGTTTAAGTGCAGGCTCTGTACTCTCAGTTTCTTCATCTGTAGAATGGGGAGAGTGATAATGTCTCCCTCAGAGCTGTTAAAAAGATTGAATGAGATCATGGGCCTGGCACCTGGTAGGTGGTGCTGATGATTACAGGATGGTGATCTAGCCAGCCGGAAGCAGTGGGTAAATGTTGGGGTAGAAATCAAGGAATTAGAGGTGGTTATGCCCGAACTGAACTGATTTTTTTTTTAAGTACAGTAAGTAGTAAATGCCTCTGACAGTAACTTGGGAAAAGCAAAAGCAGGGAAACTGCCGACCAGTATTGCTACTCTCATTTAATGTGCTACCCAAAGTTTGAGGGAAATGAATTAAAAATCTAAAATACATTCAATTCAATATGTAATCATTGAAACACATAAAAAAAAGAGTAGGAACCTTGATTTAGTGACATCACCCATCACTCATCTCAAGGACTGGAGTTGTAAGCATGGTATCTTTAAAAGTAGTATTTAATGGGTAAAGAAGAAAGGTCAGAGCTTATCATTTTTTCCCCAAATCTTAGACTTTAAGTATTAGGTTCCCCAAAATTCATGACCATCCCCTTTTGTATTAGCTCTGCTATGTTACTTGGATGTCAAAAATACAAAAGGAAAAAAGCCATAGATAATGTTTTTCTTCCAACAGAAGTCATTGTCATGGACATGGACCCTTTTCTTCACTGTGTGATCCCAAACTTCATCCAAAGCCAAGACTTCTTAGAAGGGCTTCAGAAGGAACTGATGAACTTGGACTTCCATGAGAAGTATAATGATTTATATAAGTTCCAGCAGGTATTTATTCCCCTGCCACATTAACTCTTCCAGCTTGGAAATTCACTGTCTATGAAGTCATTGAATACCTTTAGACTTGAGGTTTTAGGGTGGGTTTGCCTTGAACAGTCCTTGCATTGACATTCTTAAGAGCATGCCTTCATTTAACCAAGCTTACTGAGTGTTAACTATGTGTTAAGTGCTATAATTATATGGAAGCCTTAGACAGTGCCTGCCCTGTAAGACTTTAAAATCTAGTGTTCAAAGTGCAAGCTCTGTACTCTCAAAGACTTCTCAGTTTCTTCATCTGCAGGATGGAGAGAGTGATAATGTCTTCCCTAGGTACACAGGTTTCTATGGGTCTCATGGCTTTACCTCCTCTTGGATGTCTAGTAAGTGTCTGACACTTAAGTCTAAAACTGAATTCTTGGTCTTCTCTAAATTTGCTCCACCTGTAGTTTTCCCCATCACAGTTAATAGCAACGTGATCTTTCCAGTTGCTCAGGCCAGAAGTAATAATAAGGGTGAATGTGACGGTGATAGAGATAGTGAAGAAACAAATTAAGCCGATGAGTAAGTATGTTATAAACAAAGGGGTTAAGTACATGTGGGTAAGTGGTATGATGATGAAGAGAGTTGTACGTTGGGAGACAATTACCATTTAAAATCTTGAGTTCGGGCCAGGTGTGGTGGCTCATGCCTGTAATCGCAGAACTTTGGGAGGCCAAGGCGGGTAGATCGCCTGAGGTCAGGAGTTCGAGACCAGCCTGGCCAACATGGTGAAAACCCGTCTCTACTAAAAATATAAAAATTTTCTGGGTATGGTGGCATGTACCTGTAATCCCAGCTACTTGGGAGGCTGAGGCAGGAGAATCACTTGAACCCAGGAGGTGGAGGTTGCAGTGAGCCAAGATCACATCATTGCACTCCAACCTGGGCCACAAGAGCAAAATACCATCTCAAAATAAAATAGAGTTTTGAGTTCATGTTTTTGTTTCAGGTGACTTGCTATATTACAGTATGCTCTACATTGCAGTAGGGCAAAGCGTTAAATCCGTTCTTTTTTTTTTTGGTGGACAGTTTAATTGGGCAGAAAAGACTATCTCTTTTTTTTTTTTTTTAAGTTTGGTTTTTCTACTCTGGAAGACACAGCCTAGTCTAGGTATAGAAATACAGGTCATTGGTTTCCCCAGTTTGGGGGTATATCTTTCAGTACATGAATCCTTTGTAAACCTCAGGGACATCTGTGCTTCAAATTGGGGGGGGAAAAAAAAAAGAAAGATTAAAAAGATGAAGAATAATTTTTTTTTTTGCATTTTCCCATTTTATTTTATCTGGGATAAGAGAGTAAATAACGAATTTCTCTCTCTTATTCTTTTACACTAGAGCTGATTGGTCAGATGGTTGTATCCTGACCTTCCCCAGATCTTTCTGTCTTTGGACCTTATACACATGACTGAATTAACCAGGATAAATACATGAAAGATATGACTCTTAATAATTCAGAAAGCTGAAAACTAAACTGCTTTCCATGGTAAGGTTGCACAGGTTAATTAAAAACCGCAGTTACCTGCTGTTGTGATTATCGCACCCTTGGCCTCTTGTTGATTTGGGGCCATACGCATCTGATTATTAAAATTGAAACATCACAATAATTTTTACTTCATGCAATTTGGAAGATTAAAAATACTGGAAGATGGCCGGGCACAGTGGCTCATGCCTGTAATCCCAGCACTTTGGGAGGCTGAGGCGGGCAGATCACAAGGTCAGGAGATGGAGACCATCCTGGCTAACACAGTGAAACCCCGTATCTACTAAAAATACAAAAAATTAGCCAGGCGTGGTGGCACGCCCCTATAATCCCAGCTACTCGGAAGGCTGAGGCAGGAGAATCGCTTGAACCCAGGCGGTGGAGGTTGCAGTGAGCTGAGATCGCGCCACTGTACTCCAGCCTGGGTGACAAAGTGAGACTCCACCTCAAAAAAAAAAAAACAAAACTGGAAGATATAAGGCAAAATAATAAAAAGAGCCTTGGGTGATTGAAAAAAAAAAAGGAGCTGCCATTACTTTGGATCCACATGGAAGTTTGGTGAAACTCTACTGTGAATAATTTTTACTGTTGATCCCTTTTGGACAGGAACTCTTCACCCTAAGACAGTAGATGTAAAATCTGGTTTCATTCTCCTGCTCCTTTAATCCTCATCCATGCTCTTTTCTTTGCTTGTGGTATGAATTGACTTGATAATTGGGTCTCTGACATCTTCCAACTCCCATAACCAACTCTGTCATTAGGACTTGCCCAGTATTCTGTATTTTTTAAAGCAAGCATTATTGAGTGCATACTTTATGCCATGCTAAGTGCTTTATATTTATTCATTAAATCCTCAAAACAATCCCATTACTATACCTGTTTCACAGTTGAGGAAACTACATTAGTTTTTCTTTCTCTCTGGATCATTCCCTTCAACATAACAAAAAGAAAAAAAAAACTGTTCTTTTCATAAGAAAAAAACAAAGTTCTTGACCTAAGTTTCCCTTCAGCTACCATCCCATTGCTGTGCTTCTCTTGACAGCAGAATTTTATTCTTATAAGAGTTGTCTGCACTGTGTCCAGTTCCTCTCCTGTCAGTCTCTGGTAAGCCCATTTTAATCAGGCTTTCGCTTGTACTACTGCACTGAAACTACACTTGTCAAGATCACCCATAACCTCCACATTACTAAATCTGATAATCAGTTTTCAGTTCTTCCTTGTCTCATCAGCAGCATTTGACCTACTATATCACTCCTTCCTCCTGGAGACTTTTTTTTCACTTTACTTTCAGGTTACCATGCTCTCTTGGTTTCTCTTCTTCCTCAGTGGCTATTTCTTACCAGCTTCCTTTGCTAGGTTTTCCTCTTCCACCTGACTTCTTAATGATAGAGTATTCTGCATCCTAATGCTTGGCCTCCTTCCCTAGGTACACAGGCTTCTATTGGGTCTCATGGCTTTGCCTCCTCTTTGATGTCTAATGAGTTTCTGACACTTAAGTTCAAAACTAAACTTCTGGTCTTCTCCCTCTAAATCTGCTCCACCTGCAGTTTTCCCCATCACAGTTAATATCAGCTTGATCTTTCCGAGGGCTCAGGCCAAAAAGGAGGTCATCCTTGATTCCTCTCTCACCTTATATCCAGTCCATCGTGAAACTCTGCTATCTCTACCTTCAAAATACAGGCAATCGCCACATGATATTTTCTGTCAGCAACAGATACGATAGTGGTCCCATAAAGTAACACCTATTTTTACTATACCTTTTCTATATTTAGATATGTTTAGATACACAAATACTTCCTATTGTATTGTCTATAGTATTCAGTAGAGTAAAATGCCAGGTTGTTCGTGGCCTGTAAACAATAGGCTATACCATATAGCCTAGGTATATATTAAGTTCTACCATCTAGATTTATGTAAATGCACTCGATGATGCTGAAACAACAATGAAATCACCTAACAATAAATTTCTCAGAGTGTAAATGACATACCACTGTATATCCAGAGAAGCCCACTTCTTACTACTTCCACTGCCAAAGGCCAACACCTGGTTCAAGCTATCTGTGTCTCCCCGGGATTATTCTATTAGTGTATCAACCATTTTCCCTTCTACTGTCACCTGCTTAGACAGTCACTGAAGTCATTGTATTCTTTTAAAATGTAAATAGACCCAAGATAATTAAAAATATGTAAAAATATGTTCACATAAAAACTTGTGCACAAATGTTCATAGCAGCTTTATAATTGCCAAAAAGTGGAAACAATTTAATGAATAAACAAAATGTGGTATACCCATAGAATGGAATACAACTCAGCCATTAAAAGGAATGACGTACTGATACTACCACAACATGGATGAACCTTGAAAACATTAGGCTAAGTGAAAGAAGTCAGATGCAAAAGGCTACATATTATATGATTCCATTTATATGTAATGTCCAGAATAGGCAAGTGGTTGCGAGGAGCTGGGGGGAGGAGAGAAGAGGGAATGACTAACAAAATTGGCACAAGGGTTTCTATTTGGAGTGTTAAAAAGTTCTGAAATTAGGAAGTGCTGATGATCGCCCAACATTGTGAATATACTAAAATCCAATGAATTATACACTTTCAAGAAATTGAAATTATGTGGATAATTGTGTTATGTGGATATTATCTTAAAAAATGTTCTCAAAAACTCCAATGACTTTTTTTTTCTTTTTTTTGCTTCAGAAATCTTCTCATTTCTTTAAGTCAAAGCCAAAGTACTTAAAATGGCTTTAAGTCACCTATTAGGTTTTTTTTTTAGACGGAGTTTTGCTCTTGTTGCCCAGGCTGGAGTGCAATGGCGAGATCTCAGCTCACTGCAACCTCCGCCTCCAGGTTAAAATGATTCTCCTGCCTCAGCCTCCCGAGTAGCTGGAATTGCAGGCATGCACCACCACGCCTGGCTAATTTTTGTATTTTTAGTAGAGACAGGGTTTCACCACGTTGGTCAGGCTGGTCTCGAACTCCTGACCTCATGATCTGCCCGCCTCGGCCTCCCAAAGTTCTGGGATTACAGGCATGAGCCACCGTGCCCGGCCCCACTATTACCTTTTTGGCCTCATCTCCTACTGCCCTCCCTCTCCCTCTCTGCTCTTGCAATAGCTGGAATAGGCCAGGCGCGCTTCATGCTCAGGACCTTGAATGCTTTGTGCCTTGATATTGCCTTGCCACACTTCCCAGCCTCCTTCAAGTCTTTGTATCACCTCCCTGAAGTCTACCTTGGCCAACCTGTTTATAATTGCAAACCACTCCCCAGGCTTAGCACTCCCCATTCTTTCCCTGGGTTTCTTTTTTTCCTTTATGCACTTCTCACCATCTTTATACTAATCTGCTTTTTGTGTCTGTTGTCTATCTCCCTCAATGGGCATAGAAACTAGACTATAATAACGACTTAAGTATTTGTTTAATGAATAAAGCACAGAGGGTAATAACTTGTCAAGTCACAGACCCATCCAATGGAGGGGCCCTGTGTTAAACCTAAGCAGCCTGGCTTCAGAGTCTGGGCTCTTAATGACAATGCTAGGACCAGAACACTCACTAAACTGCTCTCCTTTGTGTGTCTCTTATGTGAAGGAAATCCCTTTTTTTTCTCTATTTTCATGATCAAGTCTGATGATTTGAAGAAGAGAAGAGAGCCTCACATCTCCACTTTAAGGTAAACAAGTAATCATATTTGTTGGGTGCTAATATGTGCCAGGCAGAGTAGTAAGTGCTTTAAATGTTACAACATTGTGTATGTCATATAATTCTTGTTGACATTGTTAACCCACTTTGTAGAGGAGGAAAGAGACCGAGAAATTGAGTTTGCATAGCTTAAAATTAAGGGAGCTAGCATACAAACCTAAGTCTGTCTGATTCCAAGGCCCAAGTTCTCAGTGATAAAATGCTCAATCTTGTTAGTAATCAAGGAAACAGAAGTTAACACTGGAGATACCATTTTTCACATGTTAGGTTGGTAAATATTAAAAATAAAAACCCTAGTGTTGACAGATATAGATAGATAACTTTATACACTGCTGTAGTCTTTCTTCAAAGATGGTTTTGAAAGATGTATCAGAACCCTTAAAAGTATGCATATCTTTTTGTAGAACAGTTTCACTTATAAGAATTTATCCTGGGGGCTGGGCGTGGTGGCTCACGCCTGTAATCCCAGCACTTTGGGAGGCCGAGGCGGGTGGATCACCTGAGGTCAGGAGTTCAAGACCAGCCTGACCAACATGGAGAAACCCTGTCTCTACTAAAAATACAAAATTAGCTGGGCGCGGTGGCACATGCCTGTAATCCCAGCTACTCAGGAGGCTGAGGCAGGAGAATCGCTTGAACCAGGGAGGTGGAGGTTGGGGTGAGCCGAGATCGAGCCCGTTGCACTCCAGCCTGGGCGACAACAGCGAGACTCCATCTCAAAAAAAAAAAAAAGAAGTTATCCTGAGAAAATAAGGATATGCTCAAAGATTCCATACAAGATTACTTATTGTAATATTGTTTATAATATTGAAAAATTATATACAAATTTGATCGCCCATGGAGATTTAAACATAATAGTACAAAACATAAAGTGGAAACTATACAACCATTAAATATGATATACATGAGTTTTGACACATGAATGTGGTAGTTATCTATGTTCTCAATTCTAAGAAACTTTTAACATTTTAACACCTCTGGGATCTAGTGTCTCACACAATCACTTTTGTGTCCTACTTTAATTGACAGCATTTTTTCCTTAGTGATATATGAAATAATGATACTTAACACATTTTTGTCAAGAGAAAAAAATAATACACACAATTTGATGCTTTGTTGTTTTTTCTGACCAATGGATTCACATCACGTGATCTTATTTTAAAAAGAGATACACACACCTACATTTGGATGTCTGTGTGTATAAAGTAAAAGATTTGGAAAAATAGAGTATTTAACTCCTGCTAGTAGGAATACAGATTTTTTTTTAATAGTTTTTTACTTACATGGGATTTTTTTCCTAGTTTCTATAATGAATAGATGTTGCTTTGTAATAGCTGTTTTTCACCTATATGGTATAAATTATTTATTCTCATTATATTTTTTCTCTGCAGTACTTCCATGTATTATAGGCAGCTTGCACAATTTCTTCTAAATCCTGAAGTATTGCTTGTGTGTTAATTGTAATGCATTATGTTTCATATTTACTTAGACTTTTTTCCCCCTAAAGAAAGATTATCATGAATTAAGGCATTATCCCCTTAGTTCACAACACCACTCTGCTAAGCATTTCATGTGGGACTGAGTTACATTCCACACTAAAGGCTTACAGCCAGATGGTGAGCAAGCTGCAACTCCGTAATCGTTACAGAGAGCTGATCTTTTTATTTCCCACTTGGATTCTGTGAGTTCCTTCATGAATACAATTAACAAATGCTAACAATGACAAAATAAGCCTGTCCTTGTGACACTTTCATAGAATGAATAGAAGAGCTTTTTCTGGAATTTGTGAAAGCTAATGTTACCAGTAAAGGATTTAAGACTATTAGTTGCTTACAGTATCAAGACTTTGAAGAAATATTTATCTCTCACATTATCTGAAGCCTGGTTCAGCAGTTTGCTATCCTGACCCATTTTACATAATTTCCAACTCTGCCTTTAAAAGTTACATGGCACCTCTGAGTGGACTGACTGAGCACAATTATTTTATGGAATGTTCTTTAAGCTTGTTCGCAGCTGATAATGGAATTTTTTGGTTTTGATAGTGTATAATATAAAAAGGTATTTGGTAATGAAATCTTAGAGATCAACCTGGAGATTTGATACTTAGTTATAAACAGGACAGTTCTATTTTATGGGAATTTCAGTAATGTGCATTTGGAGTAGGATGATCCAAAAAAATATTAAGTATCTTTGTAAGCGTAACTTGAACTAATGTAAATCTTTTTAAAATGTTTTAATTCCTCAAGGTTAGTAATAATTCATAATTTCAAAGTTGATTGGCTGAGTGAGTTATAAATTGTGTTAAGAGATTTCTACATGGAGAGCCAGTTTAGCTGGTAAATGGAAACGTTCACCATCTTCTATTGGTATCCTGTTAGCATCAGAACTTCTATGAAGGATTTCACTCATTATTATGCATTTAATTCAACACTCATCATTATTGCCATTTAAAGTTGTTTTAATCTTCTAAAACAGTGCCACCCAAGTGTTCATTAAATGGCGGTACCAGTATTGGTGCTTGTGATTTATAATAAATGTATATTTGGTCTTGGTCTCTATTCCTGGCACAGACCTCTCTGACCTCCTGCAAGGGAAGAGAGGCTGGAGGTTGAGTTAATCACTAATAGCCAATCACTTAATCAATGATTCCTTCATAATGAAGCCTCCATCAAAAACCCTAACCAAAGGAGTTCAGGATTGCTGAACTCCCATGGAAGTGCTGGGAGGGTGGTGTACCTGGGGAGGACGTGGTGTGGAAGCTCCACACCCCTTCCCCATACCTCACCCTATACATCCCTTCCGTCTGGCTGTTTCTCAGTTCTGTCCTTTTATAATAAACTGGTAATCTAGTAAACAAACTTCTTCTGAGTTCCGTGAGCTATTCTAGTAAATTATCAAACCCAAGGAGGCAGTAGTGTGAACCTCCAGTTTATAACTGTTTGGTTAGAAGCATATGGGTCACAACTTGAACTTGTAATCAGTATCTGAAGTGGGGTTGGGGGAGAGGGCACACTGGGGGCAGTCTCATGGGACTAAGCCCTTAACCTTTATTAATGCCTGGTAGATAGTGTCAGAATTGAATTGAATTTTAAGACACTCAGCTGGTGTCAGAGAATTGGTCAGTGTGGGGGGATAAGCCCACACATTTGGCATTGGAAGTGAAGTAAAGTGTGTAAAGAAAAACAGTTGAGGCCAGGTGCTGTGGCTCATGCCTATAATCCCAGCACTGGAGGCCGAGGCAGGCGGATCACTTGAGGTCAGGAGTTGGAGACCAGCCTGGCCAACATGACAAAACCCCATCTCTACTAAAAATATAAAAATTAGCCGGGCGTGCTGGTGCATCCCTGTAGTCCCAGCTACTCGGGAGACTGAGGCAGGAGAATCACTTGAACCCAGGAGGCAGAGGTTGCAATGAGCCAAGATCACACTGCTGTACCCCAACCTGGGCAACAGAGCAAGACTCTATCTCAAAAAAAAAAAAAGAAAGAAAAGAAAAGAAAAACAGTTGAGCTTTCCATTTTAGTGCTGAAAAACTTGTCTGAAAATCAGTAACTTGGACTAGACCACTGGTGTGATGAGTTGTTATGACAAAGGCCAAACTGCTGCCATGACAGGGCATACTTTAAATTTAGGAGAAAGAAAATACTGAGAAAACATGAACCATTAGAACAAAAAATAACAAATATAATGTAGGTAGAGACTTACATTTATTTTTCTGGGAACATTAGACTTAAACTATGCAAATTTGAACTGAGAAACATTTCTCAGAATGTCTCAAATGAGATCGGAGAATGGATCTCTTGAATACAATGTGATCTCCAGGAAAGAAAAGTTGTGGCCTAGATCCAAACAGTTGTGACCTAGATCCCACACTGTGGCATAACAAGTTATCTTTTGTTTACATTTCTAGGAAAATTCTGTTTGAAGATTTCCGGTCCTGGCTTTCTGATATTTCTAAAATTGACCTGGAATCAACCATTGACATGTCCTGTGCTAAATATGAATTCACTGGTAAGGAAGATAAAGGCCTGGTGTCTGTAAGATATAAAGGCTTTAACTCAGCATTAATGGAGAGATGGTATCTGTGTACCAAAACACTCAACTGAATGTCCCTGCAAAGCATCCGGATCTTCCTGATAAAGACCCAGTTCATAGACAGAAATACCCACCTTATTGGAAGGCATAAGCAGTGGTTGTCTTTCAGAATATGATGAAAGCTACTGACCATATTTTCAGCAAAATCCCCATAACATACATACACACCAACTGTACATACAATATCAAGAAATTCAGAGTGATATATAAACTCTATTCTTAGACTTCCTAAGGAACAACCATCTCCTTCAATGCCATTCTCCCTTCTCTTTTTTATTTTGAAGGCAATAAGTGAATGCATTCTTAAAGGAAAAAAAATCAAACAATATTGCAGGTATATGGTGTAAACCATGATAGCCTTCTTCACCTTCTCCCTGCTCCCTCTTCTCTTCAGAGGTACCTATTGTCACCAGTTTGGGGTGCATCCTTCCATTTCTCTTTCTGAGCATATAAATGGTTTTTTTGGATACAAGCTTGGTTTTTCACCCAGAAGGAAAAGGTTTTTTCTTTTTTAAATTTTACTAAATAAAATAATTCTTTGAGTGTACTCTCATACACTGTCCTGGAAGTATAGATGGCTCACAACTTTTAGAGGATGACTTGGTGATACATAGGAAAAGCCATATCATGTATCTTCATTTACTGCCATGTCATTTCTTTTTTGGGTTTTTTTTTTTTTTTTTTTTTTTTTTTTTTGGTTTGTTGGTTCGTTGGTTCGTTTTGAGACGGAGTCTCCCTCTGTTGTCCAGGCTGGAATGCAGTGGCGTGATCTCGGCCCACTGCATCCTCCACCTCCCGGGTTCAAGTGATTCTCCTGCCTCAGCCTCCTGAGTATCTGGGATTACAGGCATATGCCACAATGCCTGGCTAATTTTTGTATTTTTAGTAGAGATGGAGTTTCACCAGTTGGCTAGGCTGGTCTCAAACTCCTGACCTCAAGTGATCCGCCTGCCTTTGCCTCCCAAAATAGTGGGATTACAGGTGTGAGCTACCATGCCAGTATTTTTTTTTTTTTTTTACTTTGAAGTAATTTCAAACTTGCAGAAAAGTGGCAAGCATAGTACAAATAATTTATTTTTTCCTATTTTACTTGAGAGTAAGTTGTTGGCATGATGTTCTATGACCCCTGAATACTTCAGTAATTTCTACAAGGACATTCTCCTACATGATAATCATAAACCATCAGAATCAGGAAATTTACGTTGATGCCTTATTCCACATCAATGGATTATCTAATCCTCAGGCTCCATTCAGGTTTCATTATTTGGTCCTTTATAGCAAAAGGACCCAGTCCAGGATTGCATGTTGCATTTAGTTATAATATTGTCTCTTCAGCCTCCCTCAATCTAGAACAGCCCCTCCATCTTTCCTGGACTTTCATGATCTTTATGCTTTTGAAGATGTACAGATGAGTTATTTTGGAAAACTTGCTTCAGTTTGGGATTGTCTGATGTTTTCTCATGATTAGATTCAGGCCATATATTTTTGGCAGGATTACAGAAATTAATCCTGTATTCTTTTCACTGTATCAGGTGGTGCATGGTTTCAGTGTGTCACATTATTAGTGATATGAACTTGGATCACTTGATTAATGTGGTGGCTGACATCAGGTTTTTCCACTGTTCTTTTTCCCTATCAGTATATATTTTGTGGGGAGATACTTTAAGATTATGTAAATATCCCATTTCTCATCAAAGTTCGATTTGCTTATTTTAGCATTCTCTGATGTTTCTTGCTAAATTATTACCATGAAGGTTGCCAGATGGTGATTTTATAACACAATCATTTCTCTACATTTATTGTCATTCCACTCTAGAGAAGACCTTTCTCCTGATTTATTTATTCATTCGTTTATATTGGTATGGATTTATGGATTGCTGGTTGTGTAATGAGCTGTTACCAGTTACTATCATTATATTGATGCTCATACTGTCCCTGATTTATCAAGGAGAACCCCGTCAAACTGACTTCTGCGTTCTTTTGCTATGTCCCCATCATTCTTTTTTTTTTCCTACTTTCTGCAAAACAAGATTTTCCAAGCTTATCTTTGTATTTTCCATGCCAACGTCCTAGAATGACCTGGAGTTGGCCATTCTTCCAAAGAATCCTGGTTCCTTTTAGTGAAGAAAGATACTTAACAATCAAGATCTGGACTCTTAAGTGTCTTTGCTATTAGGGTGTCACTGCTCCCAGACCCCTTCAGTTTGAAGAGGTGGTGAATATCTGTATACATGTATATACACATGTGGATGCACACACATACATTTACATTTGGAATGTATTTCTTTTTTTTTTTTTTTAGACTGTCTCTCACTCTGTTGCCCAGGCTGGAATACAGTGGTGCGATCTTGGCTCACTGCAACCTCTGCCTCCTGGGTTCAAGCGATTCTCCTACCTCAGCCTCCTGAGTAGCTGGGATTACAGGCGTGCACCACCATGCCCTGCTAATTTTTGTATTTTTAGTAGAGATGGGGTTTTGCCATGTTGGCCAGGCTAGTCTCCAACCCCTAACCACAGATGATCTGCCTGCCTTGGCCTCCCAAAGTGCTGGGATTACAGGCGTGAGCCACCGTGCCCGGCCTGTATTTCTATATATAGATATATAAAACTATAGATATAGGAAACTGAATTCCCATTGATTCCTCGAGTTCCAATTGAACACCACAGGGTTCATTCTAGATTTCTGCATTTCCATATTTGTAACTCCCTTCTTGAACAGTGAGAAACCTGGCTTCCATTATCTTCAATGTATTTATCTATTGAAACAATCCCTCCATGTGTAATTGGTTGCAGTTCACCATAGCCTTCCCTCCCTCTCAGCCTGCACAGATGCCTATCTTGCTAGCCCCAGGACATGACTTTTAGAAGTTCCCCTCAAGAAATTAATACGAGCAAGTACAAAAGATCCATGTACAATAATGTTCATTAAATTAGTCTTTATAGTAGCCAAGAAATAGAAACAACTTAATTAACAAATAGAAAATCTATTAAGGGTGGAAGGAGGTAAGTTCATAATCCATATAGTAGAATAACTACAGCCATTAAAAGTGATACCAAGTGTGTATATTGATAGGGAAAGATACTTGCCATGTAATTTAAAAAGCAGGCCACAAATAGACACTGTCGGATGCTATTTTTTTTAAAGTAAATACATATATGTAGGAAAAATACTGGAAGATGATATGTAAAAATATTGTTAGCGATTATATCTGGATCTATCTAATTATGTGCTCTTTATTTTTAGAGTTTTCTATATTGACTTATTTGTTTACTTATAAAAGAGGAGAAATAAGTGTCATTTTAAAGCTGGAGGACATTTAAAGCTGGAGCTGACATTACAGTTGAATGTCAAACGGACTGATATTAAATGCAGAGTCAGGTGTCAGCTGGTCACTATCTGCAGGGATCTAAGGTGTCCATTAAACTATTGCAGATGCCCTGCTGTGCCATGATGATGAGCTGGAAGGGCGCCGGATTGCCTTCATCCTGTACCTGGTTCCTCCCTGGGACAGGAGCATGGGTGGTACCCTGGACCTGTACAGCATTGATGGTAAGATAAGTATAAGTGCATGCACTTCACCACCAGTGGCACTTCTGAGTTAAAGCTGAGTTGATTCAGTATCATGTTTTTGTATACAATGTCTGTACTCCTCAAAGGAAGTGGAAGCTATTTATTATAGTAACTACCTCAAGAGGAATAAATGCCAGCCCTGACAACCACCTCTTTAAGTTGGACTTAAAAATGACTCCAGAGATCAATTAGAATCCATTTAAGATGAGAAATAGTCAGACCAAGCTTCTGAATACTGACTGTGGAAGGGTGGAGTGCATATAAGGCTGCCTGTGGCTATGAATCTGCCAGGACCAGTCCATTTGACAAAGTCTAGGTTTTTTTGAATGTCTAGCACCAGAAGTTGACTCCAGGAAACTTTGAGAACTTATTCCAGCCCTTCTCAATAATAGATGGATGGTGTAGTAAGAACAGATGCCACGTAGTCAAACTCGCAAGTATGAGTGAAGCAGATGGAAAGGGCGGTATTTCAGGGTCTGAAGGGCACATCTAGATGCCCTCAGAAGTTTGGAAATTGTCAAGAGTAAAATGAGGCAGGCTGGAAGTGGTTAATGATAATTTATTGATGTGTTCTTTCCTGGTGCAGAACACTTTCAGCCGAAGCAGATTGTCAAGTCTCTTATCCCTTCGTGGAACAAACTGGTTTTCTTTGAAGTATCTCCTGTGTCCTTTCACCAGGTAAAGACTGTAAGCCACAAATAGAGTAGCAAGGATTATGTTTTTTAATCACCCATTATCCAAACATGACAGCTTCCTGTTAGACTTGTTATCTGATGTTGTTTTAATGCTTAGCATGGAGGACCCTGAAATTAATGTGCATTGGCGGTAATCCCCCTATTCTTCGTGTTGATGTGCTACTGGGCTTCTCCTTTCAGGTGTCTGAAGTGCTGTCTGAAGAAAAGTCACGTTTGTCTATAAGTGGCTGGTTTCATGGTCCATCATTGACTCGGCCTCCCAACTACTTTGAACCCCCCATACCTCGGAGCCCTCACATCCCACAAGATGTAAGAAGAATTGCTGATATCCTTATCTTAGGAGCTATAGCATATCATTTGTTTCTCTGATTTTAAAATTAGCTGTTCCATTTAATGAAACTGGACCTTGAGCTTGCCCCTTTCCACTTTTCTTTTTTTTTTCTTCCTTTTTTTTTTTTTTGAGACAGAGTCTTGCTCCGTCACCCAGGCTGGAGTGCAGTGGTGCGATCTTGGCTCACTACAACCTCCACCTCCTGGGTTCAAGCGATTCTCCTGCCTCAACCTCCTGAGTAGCTGGGCTTACAGGTGCCCACCACCACGCCTGGCTAATTTTCATATTTTTAGTAGAGAAAGGGTTTCACCATGTTGGCCAGGCTGATCTCAAACTCCTGACCTCAAATGATCCACCCACCTTGGCCTCCCAAAGTGCTGGGATTACAGGTGTGAGCCACTGCACCCGGCCTACACTTTTCTTAAGTAAACTTTTGAGAGTGTCTTTCTCAAGCAGAGTTTTCCAGTACTTTAATAGGAGAAACTTATAAAATGAGGATTTGCATGTATTTTATTAGTGTGAAATGATGTAAGAGCAAAAGCAATAGGAATTATTAACTCACATTTTGCATCTGCTGCCTCTTCGTAAGCATGAGATTTTGTATGATTGGATCAACCCTACTTATCTGGACATGGATTACCAAGTTCAAATTCAAGAAGAGTTTGAAGAAAGTTCTGAAATTCTCCTGAAGGAGTTTCTTAAGGTAAGCTTAGCGTATGTTGTTCTGAATATTTTGTTTGGCATGCAATTTTGCTTCCCAAATGGGTGAATAGGCATCACTGGGGAGTTTTTGTTTTGTTCCTGATTAGAATGTTTTTGTCATTCCCTTCTTCAAGTGAAACATAGAAATGATGATAACACTAACATTAGTATCAGCAGTATGCTTAGTGGGTTAAGAATCCCTTGGATATTCCCCAGTTCTCTAGAGTCTTAAACACACACACACACACAAGCTTCCACCCTGAAAAGGAGTTGTGTGTAGTTACCTTTCTATTCATCTAACAAATATGGTGCTTCTTATTACTTTTAAAAATAGATTACTAATAGATCAATATCTGTTGTTGAACATTTGACAGTGATGAGGTAGCTTGTTATAGTGGAAAGAGATTAGAAATCAGAAGACTGGCCAGGCACAGTGGCTCATGCCTGTAATCCCAGTACTTTGGGAGGCCGAGGTGGCCAGATAATCTGAGGTCAGGAGTTCAAGACCAGCCTGGCCAACATTGTGAAACCCCATCTCTACTAGAAAAAATAACAAAAATTAGCCGGGCATGGTGGCATGCACCTGTAATCCCAGCTACTCAGGAGGCTGAGACAGGAGAATCACTTGAACCTGGGATGCAGAGGTTGCAGTGAGCTGAGATTGCGCCATTGCACTCCAGCCTGGGTGACAGAGCGAGACTCCGTCTCAAAAAAAAAAAAAAAAGAAATCAGAAAACTTATTCTCATGCCCTGGCTCTGTGGTTTTACTAACCTGGGCAGATCACTAAATCACTCTGGGTATTTATTTTGTCTTCAGTTAAACTGGGATTCATACCTGCCTTGTCTTTCTCATAGAGTTGTTGTGAGGGCCAATAAGATAACTTTTGCTGGCATGGCACTTTACAGTTGACTGTGGGTCCCATGGAGCCATGGTCCCAAGAGCTATTCCTCCATGAAAAAAGGTTGAGACTCTACATCCTGTCTCTCTCTAGCAATTTTATAGCTGACATTAGCATATTAAGGTTTTGAGAAGTATTATAGTAAATAAACTGAATACCCTATTCAATTCAGTTTACCTAAACCATGCTATGGGATCTTTCCTTTTTCATGCATTTATAACTGATAGGACTGCTTGGGAAACTGCATTAAACAAATAAATGGAAAGCCTCTTGTGGAGAATATTTCAATGGATTAACCAGCTTCCTGTGTCGTACCTAACTTTTTGAATTTAGAATGGTTATTAAATTAGGGGCCTAGAGAATCGGAATTGTTATACAGAGATTGTCACGGTAATGACCTTGATTGTAATGCAGTTTAATTTTTTATCCTCAAAACATCTTGTGAGTTGTATTATGGTCTGTATTATGATCCTCATTTTATAAATGCAGCAGTCTGGGAGGTTGAGCAGATTGACGTAAGGTATATAACTACTTAAGAGAATGAGCCACAATGGCACTCAGGTCTCTTGGCTAAAGCAAGCCAATGATGTATCCAGTCTTCACCCTGGCTTTACCACAGGAGGAGTAGGGGATCTTGTATGAAAGGAGTGAGAGTCGGCCAGGCGCAGTGGCTGATGTCTGTAATCTCAACCCTTTGGGAATCCAAGGTGGACAGATCACCTGAGGGTCGGGAGTTCGAGACCAGCCAACATGGAGAAACCCCATCTCTACTAAAAATACAAAATTAGCCAGGCGTGGTGGTGCATGGCTGTAATCCCAGCTACTTGGGAGGCTGAGGCAGGAGAATCGTTTGAACCCAGGAGGTGGAGGTTGTGGTGGGCCGAGATCACGCCATTGTACTCCAGCCTGGGCAACAAGAGTGAAACTCCATCTCAAAAAAAAAAAAAAAAAAAAAAAGGAATGAGAGTCAACTGCACCTTTTAGGAATCAGCCAGATTGATGTTTGGCAGAGCTGCTGTACCTGCCAAACCAGTGCGGGGTAATAGGGAGATCTGCTGAATGCTTCTTTATTTGCTCATTTTCTAGCCTGAGAAATTCACGAAAGTCTGTGAGGCCTTGGAGCATGGACATGTGGAATGGAGCAGCCGAGGTCCCCCTAACAAAAGGTAGAACCCGTCATCTGAGATATTTGCTTCTACATTCAGCACCTATAACATTTTTTTATAACTAGTAAAATGACAAAAAGCCTAAAGGAAAAATAGACTGAGGTGATGACAGGCAGTTCATGAAAGAAAATCAAATAACCAACAGGAAAAAATATACAATCATGCACCAAGGCTCACACCCAATAATAGGACACTTGCCCTAATGATGTTTTGTTCTCAGGGACATCCAGTAGCAGGATGTCCTAACAAAATCCTAACAAAATCTCACTATTGTAATAACTTGTGCCTTAGTAAGCTGTGCCAAGATTTAGGAAGAGAGGTACAAAGCTAACGATCAGCTTTTATTCTGTGAGTCATTTTACATCTGTGGCTTTGATGAACAACTTGACATTGCTGTTTTTCAGGTTTTATGAGAAAGCTGAGGAGAGTAAGCTTCCTGAGATATTGAAGGAGTGCATGAAGTTATTTCGCTCTGAGGCACTATTCTTGCTGCTCTCCAACTTCACAGGCCTGAAGCTTCATTTCTTGGCCCCTTCGGAAGAAGATGAGATGAATGATAAAAAAGAGGCAGAAACCACTGATATCACTGAAGAAGGGACTAGCCATAGTCCTCCTGAGCCAGAGAATAATCAGATGGCCATCAGCAACAACAGCCAACAGAGCAATGAGCAGACAGACCCAGAGCCAGAGGAAAATGAAACAAAGAAAGGTAAGCTGTTGTTAGGATTTGTCCTTACTTACCATTAACCATTCACCATTCAAACATGTATTCATTCAACAAACATTTATTGAGCATCTACTGTGCCCTAAGCCCTATTTCAGGAACTGAAGGACAAAACAGACAAGGTCTCTGGTCTTTGGGAGCTTACATTCTAGTAGAAGAAGACAGAGATTAAATGTATACATGAACAACAAGAAAACGTCAAGTAATGATAAGTGCTATGCAAAACATTGTAATAGGGTTATATGACAAGAAATGACTGAGTAGGCCAGGTGCGGTGGCTTACACCTATAATCCCAGCACTTTTGGAGGCGGAGGCAGTCTGATCACCTGAGGCCAGGAGTTCGAGACCAGCCTGACCAACATGGCAAAACCCCGTCTCTACTAAAAATACAAAAAAAAAAAAAAATTTGCCAGGCATGGTGGTGAACGCCTGTAATCCAAGCTACTCAGGAGGCTGAGGTGGAAGAATCACTTGAACCGGGGAGGAGGAGGTTGCAGTGAGTCGAGATTGCACCATTGCACTCCAGCCTGGGCAACAGAGCGAGACTACATCTCAAAGAAAAAAAAAAAAAAAGAAATGACTGAGTAGCCTCTTAGGCGAATAGATGATTTAGAAAAGTCTCTCTGAGGAGCGCCATTTAAGCTCAGATCTGAATATAACAGCCTAAGAATTTAAGAGGTAACACTCCTGTGAAAATATTGGCACCATTAAAAAGTAGCAACAAATTCAGCTTAGATGTTTCAGCACTTACTACTATGTCAGTGAGAACATCTGTCACCCAGTTTACCATTCCCTGCTTCCACTCAAATTTCTTGAGAACCCTGTGCAGTTAGGAGAGCAGAGACAAGGGGTGGATACTTGTGGAAACAAAATCAGTGGTTTGAGATGCTAACTGAAAGCAACATAACTCATTCTGTGGCCTTCCAAAACTGACTGAACAGTCACTTTGGCCACTGCAGATATTTAGTAAAACCAGACCCAGGTGGCTTTTTCTGTGCTATCTTAATACACAGGGTAGCCTTTCTTTGAAAGATTAGTTTTCCATGTTAATTGATACTGGCATTTATGCCTAGACCCTAAGAGGAACCAGAGTCAGTATCCATGGAGTCTGTCTCAAAGGGATTTTTTAAAAAACTTATCCACTTCTGTTTGTTTGTTTGTTTGTTTGTTTTGAGACACGGTCTTGCACTGTCACCCAGGCTGGAGTGCAGTGGTGCAATCACAGCTCACTGCAGCCTTGACCTCCTAGGCTCGAGCGATCCTTCTGCCTCAGTATCCCAAGTAGCTGGGATCACAGGCATATGCCACCACACCCAACTAATTTTCTTGATTTTTTTTTTTTTGTAAAGATGGGATCTTGCCATGTTGCCCAGGCTGGTCTCAAACCCCTAGGCTCAAGTAATCCTCCTACCTTGTCCTCCCAAAGTGCAGTGATTACAAGCGTGACCAATCACACCTGGCCAAAACTTGTCCAGTTCTATTCCTTTTTTGGTTTCATTTTTACGGGAACCTGCAACTTAGGATAAAATCTATATGGGCAGCCAAAAGATGCTTTATTCCATTGTTGAGCACCTACTGTATACAGGGGGCCTTGGGTGAAAGCAGAGTAGGGAATACAAAAGTGAAAGAGAAAAGTCACTGTTTACGAAGTTTACCATCTTGAAGAAAAGCTATAAAGCTTGGCAAAAGCTATCAAATTGCTGGGCATATGATAGCAGTGCTAAACATTGGCATAGCTAGGGCACATCTAGTGAGATAACATTACAGACCTGATAACTTGAAGATGATTTTAAAAAATAAAAATACGTCAATTTCAGAATGTTTAGAAAACAAGAAAAAGGAAAATAATAATCTACAAGTGGCCATATTAGCATTTGGAATATATCCTTCCACTGTTTTTTTGCTATGTAGACATATACATGTATACACATATGGGGGGTATATTTTTACACATCTATTTTTAATGAGATTATACCATATATATTGTTCTGTATTTTTTCCACTTAATATTTCATAAACCTCTTTCTGATCCTTTTACATCCTTTATAACAATAGAACAGGTTTGCACACCCTCCTCACTTAGGAAACCTTCCACCAAAGCAGTTTTGCTTTTTTTGTTTTGGTTTGGTTTGGTTTGGTTTGGAGACAGAGTCTCGCTCTGTTGCCAGGCTGAAGTGCAGTGGCATGATCTCGGCTCACTGCTACCTCCGTCTTCCGGGTTCAAGCGATTCTCCTGCCTCAGCCTCCCGAGTAGCTGGGACTACAGGCGCATGCCACCACGCCCGGCTAACGTTTTGTATTTTTAGTAGAGACGGGGTTTCACCGTGTTAGCCAGGATGGTCTCCATCTCTTGACCTCATGATCCGCCCACCCTGGCCTCCCAAAGTGCTGGGATTACAGGAGTGAGCCACCACGCCTGGCCACCAAAGCAGTTTTACATGTATCTGCTTTCCAACATTGCATTTCTAGAAGCTTTTATTTCAAGAATGTATGCCACAATTAAGTTTTGAAAAACACCGTTCTCTAGTATACTTTTTAATGCTTGCAATCTATTGGATCAGATGACCTTAACCAGTCCTGTGTTGAGCATTTAGATTTTTTCCAGTTCTTCACTGTCATAATAAACGACACATCCATTGTGTCTTCAGAATGCTTCTCAGAAGTACAGGTGATACATCAAAGACTGCTCAAAATTTTAAGGCAGTTGCCAAATTGCCTCCCCAAAACTTGTATCAGTCTGCACTCCCACCAGCATTGTACATGATGATGTTTTCATTCTTCCTAGCAAACTGTTATATTTTCTTTTCCAACTTGCTTATTCTTTAGGTGGAAATGGCATTCGCCTATCATTGACTAATGGTGCGTGGTTGTATATTTTTCCCTATTGGTTACTTGATTTTTTTTTTTCATGAGTTGCCTGTCATTACCTCAGTGTATTTTTCCTTTGGGCTTTTTGTCATTTTATTAGTTAATTTTAAAAAGTTACATATAGGAGTATTAACCTTCTTTTTTTTTTTGAGGTGGACTCTCGCTCTGTCACCCAGGCTGGAGTACAGTGGTGTGATCTCAGCTCACTGCAACCTCTGCCTCCCAGGTTCAAGCGATTCTCATGCCTCAGCCTCCTAAGTAGCTGGGATTACAGGCACACGCCACCATGCTCAGCTAATATTTTCGTATTTTTAGTAGAAACGGGGTTTTGCCATATTGGCCAGGCTGGTCTTGAACTCCTGACCTCAGGTGATCTGCCTGCCTCAGAGGAGTACTAACCTTCTGTTTAACAGATTGTAATAGTTCATTTTTTAATTTTGTTCAGCATGGTTTAAATTTTATAAAATATTTTAGTAATCAGGTCTATCTTTGCCTTTCCTCGTTTCTACTTTAGGTAATAACATGCTGAGAAATCTCTTAAGGTTAGATAAAATAATATTCATGTCGTATTTTTTATTTTTTTGCAACTAGACTTCTTTTCCATCTGAAATTTATTATTATAGAGAGAAATCAAAATTCAACTTTTTTTTTTTTTTTTTTTTGAGATGGAGTTTCACTCTTGTTGCCCAGGCTGGAGTGTAATGGCACAATCTCGGCTTACCACAACCTCTGCCACCCGGGCTCAAGCAACTCTCCTGCCTTAAGCCTCCCGGGTAGCTGGATTACAGGCATGCACTACCACGCCTGGCTAATTTTGTATTTGTAGTAGAGATGGGGTTTCTCCATGTTGGTCAGGCTGGTCTTGAACTCCCGACCTCAGGTGATCTGCCCACCTCAGCCTCCCAAAGTGTTGGGATTACAGGCATGAGCCACCATGCCCGGCCCAAAATTCAACTTTTTTACCCCAAAATAGAGCTGGTAATTCCTAACAATCTTTTATAAGGCTGGATTGGTAGAATAGCACTTCAATCAAAGGTTTGTGGGAATGGTTTCCCTGTGTTGCTGTATCATTCCTAATTATGATTCCCTTGCAATCCAACAGTTCTATCAAGGTTATTTTTTAAAGTTTCTCATCTTTTTTTTTTTCCTTAGAATCAAGTGTTCCCATGTGCCAAGGGGAACTGAGGCATTGGAAGACCGGTCACTACACTTTAATTCATGACCATAGCAAGGCTGAATTTGCCCTAGACTTAATTCTGTACTGTGGCTGTGAAGGTAAGAGGGAGGAAAGCAAGCGGTGGATTATTCCCCGTAGGAGGGGCAGTCTCTTCTGAGGGACCCTTTCCAGCTGAACCAATTCATAAGTAATTTGCCTAGTTCAGAATCTCACATCATGGGATCTCAAAGTCAAAGGGATTTTACGGGTCATGAATTCCAGTCTCCCAGCTCAAAATAGGATTTATATCTGTGACTAGGAAATGGGGAGATGGACCACACCATAATTTTCCCCTAAGTGTGCTCCCAGATCTATAGATTTTATGTAATTGCCCTTCTGGGAATATTTAGCATTTAATTCTCTCTTAATTTTCATATTCAAAGTTTATTGAAATAAGACTGCATTTCAGTTCAGCTGTCTCAGGAAATTAGGCATTTAGGGGAAGGCAATCCATGATAAACTAGATGATAAGTTCAAGCTCATAAGTCATAGAACCAGTTACTGCTGAACTCCCAGATCCCCCACTGTTAAGCAGCATGGGATCAGTGATTTAAGTAGATGGTGCGACTCTTTCAATAGGAGCTTTCTGAATGCTGTTTGTTTTTCTCTTGTAAGGCTGGGAGCCAGAATATGGCGGTTTTACTTCTTACATTGCCAAAGGTGAAGATGAAGAGGTAAGTTTCTTCTGATAGCAAACTATCATTTTTAGTTATTGAGAATGCTTTCATTTTTCAAAGACCCAATTTTTATGACCTTCTACCAGTGTCTTTAGCTAATAAATCTCTGCCAGGCAATGGTTCTAATTTCTAGTAGAAAATACTCAGGATGGAATAAAGATGCTAAAGGATACTCAGTAAGCATTTATTTTACCCTCCTGAGAAATTCCAAATTAAGAGCCATGTGGTGCATTCCCACAAATCTTACAATGTAGTAAGAAATAAATGTAATAGGTAAGTACCTTTCTAGGTATATGCTGGAATAGGGCTTGTTGGAAAATGGCTTGACAGCCACCCCTAGTAAGTGTTCATTCAGAGGACCCCTCTATCCCCAGATTAAGTGCTTGATATGGAAACCATCTGTTCCATGGTTAATCATCCAAGATTTGAGAATAAGTTCTGTGTTCTGATGTGTCACTGTATTTGTCTTTTTCAGCTGCTAACAGTGAATCCAGAAAGCAATTCTTTGGCATTGGTCTACAGAGACAGAGAGACTCTGAAATTTGTCAAGCATATTAACCACCGAAGCCTGGAACAAAAGAAAACCTTCCCAAACAGAACAGGTTTCTGGGACTTTTCATTCATCTATTATGAATGACAGCACTGGGCAAAGCTGAACAAAAATGTGACCCTTCGTAATTACTGGGAAGTCTGAAAGAGCTAAGCATGGAGTCAAGGAGAACTACATGGTAGCTTGCCTGACAGTGTTCTTAAAACTGGTTGTCTTTTACTAGGACTCATAATGATTGTCCTCAACCGAGACCTTGAGCTTGCAGCTAAGTACTTATCTCTTGATTAAAAAAAAAAAGTTGGCTTTTTTTTTTTTAACATTTAGTCCTTTTTCCATATTGGCTTCTTCAGTGAATTTTTAAGTTCAATTTGTTTTTATTGAGGTAAAATATTTATAACATAAAACTGACCAGCTTACCCATTTTTAAATATGCAATTCAGTGGATTAAGTACATTCTCATTGTTGTCCAGCCATCACCATCATCCATCTCCAGAAGTTTTCCATCTTCCCAAATTCTGTGCCCATTGAACAATAACTCCCCACCTCCCCTTCCCCTAGCAACAGCCATACCTTTTGTCTCTATCATCAACTTCACTACTCATATTTCTCATGTAAGTGGAATCATACAGTATTTGTCCTTTTGTGACTGGTTTCACTTAGCATAAAGTCTTTAAGATGCATCCATGTTTCCAGTGTTTCGGTTTTTTTAGAAAAACTCATACGTGATTGCAGCCGGGCATGGTGGCTCACGCCTGTAATCCCAGCACTTGGGAGGCCAAGGCAGGCGGATCACCTGAGGTCAGGAGTTAAAGACCAGCCTGACAAACATGGAGAAACCCCATCTCTACTAAAAATACAAAATTAGCTGGGCGTGGTGGCACATGCCTGTAATCCCAGCTACTCAGGAGGCTGGGGCAGGAGAATTGGTTGAACCCAGGAGGCGGAGGTTGCAGTGAGCCGAGATTGTGCCACTGCACTCCAGCCTGGGCAACAAGAGTGAAACTCTGTCTCAAAAAAAAAAAAGAAGAAAAAAACATAAGTGATTGCAGAATTTTGTTCTTCTCATAATTTCTGGTTTAGAAAATTATGGAGCCTTACATCCTGATCATGCTGGGCCTTAGAATTCTGACACAGTGAGTCATCACATTTCCTCCCACTGCCTGTGGCCTTGTTCCACCATGACTCTCACAGTACAGTGTAGGCTTAGTGTAGTATTATTCCCTTGGAAAGGGTCTGGCCTACCATCACATGCCCCAAGAAACTTCTGGTTGGTAAAGAAGATAGGCTGCTTATTGCCATGTGTAGTCACTTCCAAGTGCCCACTGCCTTTCCATCCTGCAATTGTGGCCTGTGTATAATTAAATGATTTTAGCCTCACGTGTTGCTTCTGTTTTCCTAAATACTGTAGGGTCAACTATATAACTAATTGCTTTTTATTTTAAGAGACGGAATGCTAAAACCACATCAGAATGCCAAGAGGCTGTGCATCTTGTTAATTTTTTTCTTGAACTGTTCCAGGGAGTTACATCATAATTACCTGTGTGTGGGTATGCATGGGTGGATGAAAGATGCTGTTCTCATTCCATCCCAATAGAGTCTTCTGTTTCCTTTCTCTTTTTTACATTTATTTTTAGCTTTTGCAGTAGTGTTTAGTGTGGGTTTTACTAATTAATAGAAAAAGCACTGGGCCTTTAAACTTCTTAACTACTCTTCTCTTTCATCTCCTAAAACTTTTGAGTATTCATTCTTTTCTGAAGTTTGCATTTAAATGAAAATGACTTTCGCTTTGGCTTTTAGGTTTAGTTTCAAAAAGGTTTAATTCTGCACCCTAGCCAGTTAAGAAATGTTTTAGCAGGTATGCCCTTGATATGGATATTTATATATTTTACACATGTAGTAATATTATTTCTATAACTTACTGTTATAAAACACTAATTTTTAAATGATGAGATAAAAAGAAATATCTAGAACTAGTTCTAACATTGTCTTCCCCTATGCATATGGTAACGAACCATTTTACACCATACTATTTTGGAGACCACAATTTTTTTTGCGTTTGAGATGGAGTCTCACTCTGTGGCCCAGGCTGGAGTACAGTGGCATGATATCGGCTCACTGTGACCTCTGTCTCCTGGGTTCAAGCAATTCTCCTGCCTCAGCCTCCTAAGTAGCTGGGATTACAGGCACCTGCCTCCATACCCAGCTAATTTTTTTATATTTTTAGTAGAGACAGGGTTTCACCATGTTGGCCAGGCTGGAGACCACAATTTTTTAACCACAGTGTAGCAACACTCAAGTGGGATTGCGAATACTGTTACTAATGGTTAATGTCACAGCTTGCCTTTTCTATATTCCAGCTGACTAAAGGTCATCTCACTCACTTGCCTTCTGATGTGTTTTCATGAGTTGAGGGGAAAGGGTGTCAGTGGCATAACTTCAGGAAGACCCAGGGAAAAGTGCTTGGGTAGGTGAAACTGTCATGTGTGCCAAGCTTGGAAAATAGTTTGAGACTCATGGCTGTAGGCACCATCCAAGGCCAATTTTCCAATTCTGGAAAGCCAAATCTGAATCTTAGAATACCTCACAAGTGTTAAAATGTGCTTTTTAGTGTCTCCTTTATCTCAGTGTGTTTATGATCTGTCAACACATAATCATCTTTTATACACTACAAAAAGGGACTCGGGTGTCTGAGGGGAGAGAATCCCTAGGAGCCCAACTCTGATGTTGCTGTCAGTTACATCATCTACAGCAGCACCTCTTAGATTGTGAAGGATGGTGTAACTTAAAAGATTGTGTTTCTGCACTGAAGATAGATACACAGTGATAGTGAAGTTTGTTTTCCTTATAGTACTTCATTTTGCATCTTGATTGCTTTTTAGGGCCTGGGGCCAATGTCAACAACTCTTAGGTAGCAAAAGAAGAATTAGAACATGGGCATCTTTTTTATACCTCTTTCAGATAAAAGCTATGATGTTCACCTGTAAAATATATGGTTTCTCTCTTTATTCTTAATAGTGAGTCTCCAATTCTTATAACTCCCATTTTTATCCCCAAAGAAAATAGCTCTATGGGCCCGGCATAGTGGCTCACACCTGTAATCCCAGCACTTTGGGAGGCCCCGAGGCTGGCAGATTACCTGAGGTCAGGAGTTGGGAGACCAGCCTGGCCAACATGGTGAAACCCTATCTCTGCTAAAAATACAAAAATTAGCTGGGTGTGCTGGCACGTGCCTGTAATCCCAGGTACTTGGGAGGCTGAGGCAGGAGAATCGCTTGAACCCAGGAGGGAGGCAGAGGTTGCAGTGAGCCGAGATCGCACCACTGCACTCCAGCCTGGGCAACAGAACAAGAATCCGTCTCAAAAAAAATAGCTTTCTGTTTTTTCAGACTATATAAATAACACATGCTCATTGTGAGGTAATAACATGTAATATCTAAGGATCACCTGAAATCCCACCATCCTATGACAGCCACTGGTAGCTTTGTCATGTATCAACTTGGCTAGACTGAACTACATTTCCCAGAACTCTCTTCCCTATGTCTCAGGTTAGGATGAGCCACAAATTCCTATGCCAGATCTGCAGGGCCCAATGCAGCAGCAGCCCTTGAGTAGCTGGCACACCTTGCTGGTGTGAACCACACCTGTGCCTGGGCCTGCAACCGCTCCACCTTCCCCTGGATGGATCTTCCTTCAGCTCCTCTGTGAAGGGTCTCAGTTTCAGCAGAATGCCCACACCATCAAGGTCAGAAGCAACAAGAACGGACAGATTTTAGCATCCTCACGGGCTCCAGCCCATGCCTGTGGGTTGCAGCTTGTTCTCCCCAACTCCACATCTTTTCTGACTACCCGCCCTATGGGCTTCAAGCTCCAGCATTGGACAGGAAGAGAACAGCCTTACAGAGACTACTTCACTACTTCTTCTTTATATGTTAACCATACTGGAAATTAGGAACGTTTTAACAAAACTTGTGAACATATTTGCATCTTTGAATAAGAAGAAAAATAAAATGTCTAAGGAAGTACCCTATAAATAACACTAGTCCTTAATCTTTAAAATTAGGTCCACATCTTTAATTTTAAAGTCCACATCTTTAAAATGTGGAAAGTTAGGGTTCCAAAAGAAAGAATCTGTTAGTTTTGAACTGGGCTTGTCTACTGTTTAAAGATTGCCTCTCAAAATTCCACTGAATGTGGGTTTCTTCCCCACAGAACACCCCCTCACACACACACACACAAAAAAAAAAAAACAAAAAAAAAAACAAAGCTTGGGTTACCTCTCCCAGACCAGTATTTTTTATTTTTTATTTTTTATTTTTTTTGAGACGGAGTCTCTGTCACCCAGGCTGGAGTGCAGTGGCATGATCTCAACTCACTGCAACCTCTGCCTCCCAGGTTCAAGCAATTCTGGGATTACAGGTGCCTAACACCACACTGGCTAATTTTTGTATTTTTAGTAGAGATGGGATTTCACCATGTTGGCCAGGCTGGTCTCAAACTCCTGACCTCAAGTGACCCACCCGCCTTGACCTCCCAAAGTTCTGGCAGTATTTCTTGAATAAGAAGTTTTGGGGTGCATTACTGCTTCAACACCATGACATACTTAACCACTACTAAACAATGAGGAAGCACAAACCCTGTTGAAAAGGGTCGAGGAGATCTAGTGAAGTGATGCCAGAGGAGGGCTCTCCAGCCTGCATGGAAATGGGTGTCCTGATGATTCCCTCTCTGATGCAAAATCAGTCCACAAAGACAATTTAAAAACGACTTGGGAACTGTCCATGTGACATCACTTTTAGGAAAAGCAGATTCTGTACTGTACAGATTACAAGATGACTTCAGAGCTAGAGCATAGAGTGTGGGCAGGGGCCAGATGGAAAAGAGGCAAAATGCGAAACACCAGGCTGTAATGGGTGTCTTACTGTACTTGAGTTTCCAAATGAAATTGGAGGTAATTTAGTTCTATAATGACAGGACTGTGCATTGGCAGATCTGTAACTGCTAATTATAAAATTTGAAACATTAATAACAATGTTGAAAATCTTTCTTGTAAAACACTTCTAGGGTTGCATAATAGTTTTAAAGTTCCTAGTTCTTTGATTTCTGAAGCTGCTGACAGGCGTATTAAGGACAGACAATCCCAAGCAGAGCGGCAGATGCTATTCTATGCTCAAGGCACTGGCTCAGCACTGGGGCGAGGGTGACGCTGGTTAAGATGCAGACACCATTCTTGCTTAACAGGGGATTAAGATTTAAGTAAAGAATTTAATAAGGGTTAAGGAGTAGACATGGGAGAGGAAAGGTCACCTAAGGAGAGAGCATTTGAGCGGGGCTTTGAGGTACTGGATAGGCAGTCATGGTGGGAAATAATACAAATTATACTCTTAAAAATCCTCAGAACCTGAATTATGGTACTGAAAGCTTTCTCTCAGATATCAAAATCCTCAAAGTCAGCTTTTAAATGACAGCTCAGTGCTCACTTAAAGCTTCAATGTAATTCAGCAGTGAAATACAGCTTTGCTGTAGCTTCTAGAAGTACTCAGATTCTATCAGGATAGAAACATATGGCAACAAAATAGAGAAGTTACTGATAAACTCATCTCTCCTTGTCCAGTTTTTCCTCACTCCTAAGCTGAACAGGATGAGTTCTAAGTTGGGGGAAAAAAGGTAGTTGCATGTTTTATGAATGTTTTCACTTCGGCCAGTCTTTACTTGCTTGGGAAGTTTGGAGTAGAAGAGGCCGTGACTACTTGTTTCCAACACCTCCTTCACACCAGGGCTTACCCAGCTGTGGGACCCTGTACAGGACACTCTGTCTTAGAGCTCAGAGCCTCATCTGTGAAACAGACACCAACATCAACAGGATCAAATTACTGTGAAAATAACCTATGAATCAGAACAACTTAATATGTCTTGCTGCAGGTCAATGCCTTCTAGCCTGGCCATGAGTATTTTTAGGTCTAAGAAGGAAGTTTTTTAGCTAAAGAACAACAGAGTGACCTTTGATGAGATTATGTTATTAGACTCCCTAAAAATGAATGGCATTATATAATTTAAAACTAGCACCAACTAGAGATTTTAATCTCAAATGGTATAAATTAGACTATGGTTAAAACAAAGACTCAACAGTAGGACTCAAGTTTCCTCTTGAGTCACTAGACAGGTCACACAGGTCACTAACTCTGTGACCTGAAAAGGAGGTTATTTATGCCTCAGTTTCCTCCTCTGTGAGGCACATTTATTTATTTATTTATTTATTTTTGTTTTGGAGATGGAGTCTCCCTCTGTCACCCAGGCTAGAGTGCAGTGGCATGATCTCGGCTCACAGCAACCTCTGTGTGAGGCAGATTTACGATGATACTTTACTACTTTGGAGATTGAAAATAATACAGTGTATGTGGATTATCTCTTGAGTTTATAGGTTGAAAATGAAAAACAAAAGTATTAGCATATTCTCATAATTAGGACTCCATAAGGCTTAAATTTCAGATATAGGAGGGGCCATCGTAAAGTGGCCACATCAAAATCAATAAAATTAATGTTTACTAACCTCAGGGAAATGCTCCACTTCCCCTAAACAGCTATTAAGATATTAAAACTAACTGAAGTTTCACTCATTAAACCAGTCCTGAAATCTACGTTAGGGCGAAATTTTTCCTAGGGAAGAGACTGCTAGCTATTGGCACAAATACCAGCGTTCCTACAGGCACACAGCTAGATTCCATCTCCCGGCCTCCCCTGCAGATGTGGTCATGTGACTCAATGGAATTCTGAATGGAAATGATAGTGTGCTACTTTCAGACCACACTTTTAAAAGAAGAAGACATGTTTCCCTCTTACTCTCTTCTACCGGCTCAGCTATATGGTCATGCTCTGCTAACAACAGCAGTACAGTCTGAGAAATGCATTGTTAGGCTACTTTGTCATCATGTGAACATTGTACAGTGTGCACTTATACACACCTAGATGGTATAGCCTACTCCACACCTAGGCTATACAGTATAGCCTGTTGTTCCCAGCCTACAAATCTGTACAGCATGGTACTATACTGAATACTGTAGGAAACTGTAACATAATGCTAAGTATTTGTGTAATTATACATATCTAAACACAAAGGTACAGTAAAAATACAGTATTATAATCTTATGGTGACCTAAACTTCATTATCTGGTACATGGCTGTAAATAACCACAAGGCCCTAGGACAGCCCTTGTCAAATAGTGTTCCAAGTGAGATAATAAAGCCCCACTGCCCTAAGACCTCCCTCCACTGTATGTACTGAATGTGAAACTAGTCACCCAAACCTTTTTCCTTAGGCTTAGTCCTTTAGTGAACTCAGGTAGAAAAGTTTGTCCTAGGGGATGACAGAGCCACATGATTAAAGGAACCTGGGTCCCTGCATAACTATGGAGAAATCCTTACATAATAAATGAAAAATGAGTCATTATGATTTTGAGGTCTATTTGTTACAGCAGCTAACATTAGCCCAACAAAGTAATCACTCTAAATTGACTCTTCCTTAATGTAAATTTGTTGTTTGCACCCATCTTTCAGTGATTAAAAAGCACACAAATCCAAATATCCACATTTTTTTTTTTTTTTGAGACAGAGTTTTGCTCTTGTCACCCAGGCTGGAGTGCAGTGGTGCAATCTTGCTCACTGCAACCTCCACCTCCTGGGTTCAAGCAATTCTCCTGCCTCAGCCTCCTGCATAGCTGGGATTGTAGGTGTCCACCACCAAACCTGGCTAATTTTTTGTATTTTTAGTAGAGACCAGGTTTCATCATGTTGGCCAGGCTGGTCTCAAACTCCTGACCTCAGGGGATCCACCCGCCTTGGCCTCCCAAAGTGCTAGGATTATAGGTGTGAGCCACTGAGCTCAGCCCAAATATTTTTTTTTTTTTTTTTTTTAGACGGGAGTCTTGCTGTCGCCCAGACTGGAGTGCAGTGGTGCAATCTAGGCTCATTGCAACCTCTGCCACCCGGGTTCAAGCAATTCTCCTGCCTCAGCCTCCCAAGTAGCTTGGACTACAGATGAGTGCCACCATGCCCAGCTAATTTTTTGTGTTTTTAGTAGAGACGGGGTTTCACCGTGTTAGCCAGGATGGTCTCGATCTCCTGACCTTATGATCCGCCCGCCCTGGCCTCCCAAAGTGCTAGATTACAGGCATAAGCCCTGTGCCCAGCCCACATTTTTGTTTTTCTCTACTACAAAATACAAATGGGCAATTCTGATTTGGTGGTGATTTTATAATCAATCAACACAAAGTTTAACATCTTTACATTTTAATGAAAAAGTAGATAATCTATTTGAAAAGTACAAACTCAATTGCAATTTCAAGAAAAAAATATGTATTTATATACCATAAATAAGCAAAATTGGACTCTGAAGCCCTAATACTTCAAAAGCATTCATCCTATTCCATAAAAACCTAGTATTATTCAGCAACAGTACTACTACTGATTTAAAAATAGAAAGCAAGTCTATCTTCACATGTAGTTCTTTGTCTTTAATTTGTACAACTCACCAAGGTTATTTTCATTCTTAGCACCCGGGGTTCACCAGGGTGTGATCCAAAGCAAACCAGCATAGGTTTTTAACAGAAAATCTTTGCCAGGAACTTCATGACCTGTATTTTCCTCACCTAGGAAGAAGCTGTCCCCACTCGCATGATTTTGAACAGTGTGTTGATGTTATTGCTTCGAATTGCATCCCGACAAGCAGTGATCACCTGGTTCTTTGGTTTTCCAACTGCATAAGAAGAAACATCAGGAACCAAAAGATTGTTAGACATGAAATTATAAAATTAGACGTCAGTTTTAAAACAACATAAAACCAGGAGGGAAAAGAGTTATACTTGAAATATGATTTATCTTACCATTCCCTAAAAAAAATAACTTGGTGAGGGAATTATTGAAAAAACTGACTTAGAGACTGTCTCAAACCTAGAAACCAACAGTCAGTTTTACAGAAAAGGATCAAAGCTCATAGTCACCTAGCAAAGATTATTTCTAAAGAAGTCAAAGCATCGACCCAAAACAGCAGAATTCAGGTATAAATCTCTGGCTATATTTCTGCTTCCTTGGGTTTATCCTATTGTTCTTTTCTAAATTTTTAAGTTAGACACTTAGCATTAATTTTCAGTCTCTTTTTTGCTAATTGGGCCTTGATGGTTTTATTTATATATATATGTTTATATATTTCCTTTGGGTTATATATAGTAGGTTTTTCTTTAGAGGATGCAGGAAGGTCTAAGAAAAGGAGCTGAAGGTTTTCTCTCCCTTTGAAGTCCGGAGACAAAAGCCAAACACTAGGCCGACTGACTGAAACATAAGTGACTGGTGCCAGCTCTGGAGTGTGAAAGGTATGCTACTTTCAGCCCCAATATGAATTATTGGATGCTACCACCATCTTCAATGAGTTCCACCAAAAACATTACAGATCAAAGTGCAGTGTTATGAAAAGAGACTTACCCCGCAGACGACCTGCTCTTTGAATTGCTTGATTTACTGCTTTGAGGTTTCCCAACAGCTCTGTGTGATTGTTACAGCGAATTTTATATCCATTTAGCAAGTCTCTATTAAGGTCATAGAGTTCCATATAACGACTCTTCATTGTTTTCCTGTGCAAATCAGTAGAAATTTGACATCATTTCATGTTGATATGGCAAGCTTAAGAAAAACTTGCAAATTTCTTAGACATACAAAGAAAAGACACCATTTTTAAGCTATATTTTCATTAAAATCGAGTAACTGCTAGTTTGCTTTGAAAATACGGATAAGTTCCATAAAAATATTCTTTTCCTTCCAAATAAACAGAAGACAAGTGGCCTTCCTTGGTTACTGGTCAATGGTTGATTTAGGTGGTTAAGAATTCTCAAGCCCACTGTGCTGGGAGTAGGGACAAGTGAGCAAGGTGACAGCCCACCTTCCAAGTTTCAGATGAATATTCATTAGACTAAAGTGGCCTGGTTGACAACTCAGCCTTGTATTTTATCAAAGGTTTAAAACAAAGTCATAAAATTAAAACAGAAATGAGATCTATACTACACAACAATGAAAATAACTAAAGAAAAATATAGCTGAAGATACCAAATGCTAGCAAAGATGTGGGACAACTGGAACTTTCATGCATTGTGGACAGAAATACAAAAAGCTGCAACTACTTTGACAGGTGATTTGGCAGTTTCTTATAAAGTTAAACACACAATGTATGACCCAGCAATCCCATTGTAAGGTATTTACCCAAGAGAAATGAAAACCTATGTCTATAAAAAACTTGTATGCAAGTATTTATAGCAGCTTTATTCTACTCACCAAAGTCTGGAAACAACCCAATTATCCTCAGTTGGTGAATAGATAAATATCATATATCCATACAATGGAATACTATTCAGCAATAAAAAAGGAACTACAAATACATGCAGCAACATGGATGAATCTCTAAGACATTATGTAAGTGAATGAAGCCAGACTCAAAAGGATATATAGATATAGATACAGTATGATTCCATTTATATGGTATTTTGAAAAGGTTGAAACTACAGGAAAAGAAATAAGATGAGTGGTTTCCAGGAACTGGAGGTTAGAAGAGGTATTGATACAAACAGTCACAAGAGTGACAGAAATATTCTTTTTTTTTTTTTTTTTTTTTTTTGAGATGGAGTTTTGCTCTTGTTGCCCAGTAAGCTAGATGGAGTGCAATGGCACGATCTCGGATCACTGCAACCTCCACCTCCCAGGTTCAAGTGATTCTCCTGCCTCAGCCTCCTGAATAGGTGGGATTACAGGTACCCGCCACCACACCTGGCTAATTTTTTGTAGTTTTAGTAGAGACTGGGTTTCACCATGTTGGCCAGGCTGGTCTCGAACTCCTGGCTTCAAGTGATCCACCCACCTTGGCCTCCCAAAATGCTGGGATTACAAGTGTGAGCCACCCGGCCAGTGATAGAAATATCCTATATCTCGATTGTAGTAGTAGCAACATGATTACATAAGTTTCTCAAAATTGATTAAACTGTAAACCTTAAAAGCATAAATTTTCTGCATGTATGAGTTATATATCAATTAATTTGATTTAAAAAAAAAAACAAATGTTGACATTTTGCAATCAAATGCCTAAAGCCAGCAACCATTTTTGACTTAAGAGAGAGATAGAGAGATAGAGAAACTAGGGACCCTACAGATAGTTGGCCAAAAAGAGCAAATATCTATCTCAATTTACAGATGATACAAGAATACATCTGGAAAAACTATAAGATAGTTAGTAAAGGGCACATTATAAAATCAACAGATAAAAATCAGTGTTCATATGTACAAACACAAAACCATAATTATAGAATAAGATAATGTAAAAAATATTTACAATTATAAAATATTTCGTAATTGTCTAAAAATACAGAAAATACCTAAGCATAAACTTAAAATTGGTAACATCCAGTATCTACAAGAGTAAACCATGAAAGCACTCCAGAAAGACACAAAACATGGCTTAAGCAAATATAAAGACATAGCATGTTCTTAGCTAGCAAGACCAAACATCACTGCAGCAGCATCAGTTCTCCCTAAGTTAATGCATTTAACATCATCTCAATTAAAATACCTATTTTTGTTACGGAGCTACAAAAATTGCTGATGAAATTCATTGGAAAGAACAAACAAGCACAAGTAGCTAGGAAAAACCATGAAAAAGAAAAGCAACAGGGGTTGGGGACGGGGCACTACCCACACCAGATATTGAAACATACAAAACATCCATACATGAAAGAATGGCACCATCACTGGTAGTTGCCAGAGCTAAAGGGAAGGGAGAATGGGTAGTTACTGTTTAACGGGTACAGAGTTTCAGGTTTAAGAGATAAAGAATTATAGAGATGCTGCTGGTGGTGATGGTTACACATTATGAACGTATTTAATGCCACTGAACCGTACACTAAAAGTAGTATACAGTAGTTAAGATGGTAAATTTCACATTGTGTAGTTCACCATGAGTGGGGAAAAAAACAAACTGTTCCTCCTCTGCTCCCACACCACAACAATCAACACAGAAGACTTCTGTCCTCAACTGTGTGGAGGTTTTTCCCACACACCAAGAAAACAATCAGTTCTATAGCAGACACCAGCTGGGTGTCCTCCAATTCCGTTCCGACACGATTCCCCCGGAGACACTGTCAGATCTCACAGATTAAGGGCTCAGTCCCACAAGACTGCCTGACTTCAGATACATATCACAAGTTCAGGCTGCCAGAATTTCTGACTGATCTGCTTCAAGTTAGGGTTCCCATGACCCCCTCTGTGGGTTTGATTAATTTACTAGAGCAGTACATAGAACCCAGGGAAACTTAATGGCATTTGCTAGTTTATTATAAAGGATATTACAAAGGATACAGATGAAGAGATGCATAGAACGAAGTATTAGGGAAGGCGCTTGGAGCTTCCATGCCCTCCCTAGGTGCATCAACCTTCAGGAAACTCTGTGTGTTCAGATGTCTAGAAAATCTCTGAATGCTGTCCCTTTGGGTTTTGATGGAATCTTCATTATTTGGGCATGACTGACTAAACCACTGGCCATAGGTGATCAACTTAACTCTCAGCCCCTCTCCACTCCCTGGAGGTTGGGAGAGGGGTGGGCAGAAAGTCCCAATCCTCTAATCCTGCCTTGGTCGTTCTGGTGACTGACCCCTATCCTGAAGCTACCTAGGAGCTGCCAGCCATAAACCAATCAATAGCATACAAAAAGACATCACTTTGGAGAGCCTAAGATTTTAGGAGTTATTATGTCAGGAAACAGGGTTGAAGATCAAATATGTATTTCAGAATATCACAATGAAATTTATATTTTCTTTTTTAGAGATGGGGTCTTGCTATATTGCCCAGGCTGGTCTTGAGCTCCTGGCCTCAAGCCATCCTCATGCCTCAACCTCCCAAAGCACTGGGATTATAGACATAAGCTACTGCACCCAGCCAAACATTAAAAAAAAAAAATGGCCGAGGCAAGAGGATGGCTTAACCTCAGGAGTTTGAGACTAGCCTGGGCAATATAGTGAGACCCTGTCTCTACCAAAAATAAAAAAAAATTAGCTGGGTGTGGTGGCACATGCCTGTAGTCCCACCTACTCAGGAGGCTGAGGTAGGAGGATCCCTTGTACCTGGGAGGCCGAGGTTGCAGTGAGCTGTGATCACACCACTGTGCTCCAGCCTGGGCAACAGAATAAGATTCTGTCTCAAAATAATTTTTTTTAAAAAAGAATGATATTGTCAAATGAAGTGACAAGTCAGACCAATGGAATAGTACAGAAAATCCAGAAATAGATTCAACTGTGTACAGAAATATGATATATGATAAGGGCAGTATCTGAAATCATTGTAAGCATGATGAACTTTAAAAGAAGTAGTATCAGGCTGGGCACAGTGGCTCACACCTGTAATCCCAGCACTTTGGGAGGCCGAGGTTGGTGGATCACCTGAGGTCAGGAGTTTGAGACCAGCCTGGCCAACATAGTGAAACTCCATCTCTACTAAAAATACAAAAAAAATTAGCTGGGCATGGTGGCGCATGCCTGTAATCCCAGCTACTCGGGAGGCTGAAGCAGGAGAATGGCTTGAACCAGGAAGGCAGAGGTTGCAGTGAGCCAAGATAGCGCCATTGCACTCCAGCTTGGGCAACAAGAGCGAAACTCCATCTCAAAGAAAAAAAAAAAGTAGTAGTATTAAAATAATGCAATGTGGCCAGGCACAGTGGCTCACGCCTGAAATCCCAGCATTTTGACAGGCCACGGCAGGCAGATCGCTTGAGCCCAGGAGTTCAAGACCAGTCTGGGCAACAGAGCGAGACCCTGGGTCTACACAAAAATTAGCTGGCTATGGTAGCACACGCCTGTAGTCCCAGCTACTCCAGCAGCTGAGGTGGGAGGATAACTTGAGCCCAGGAGATCGAGGCTGCTGTGAGCTGTGATCTCTCTGCACTCCAGCCTGGGTGACACAGTGAGACCCTATCTCACACACACACACACGCACACACACACACACACACACAAAAATAATAATAATATAATAATAATGTGATAGTCATAAGGAAAATGATAAAACTGAGTTTATTATTTATATGAACACCAGGATAAACTCCAACTGGAACAGAGACTTAATGTAAAAAAGCAAAATATACAAGTACTAAAGGAAAACAGATGAATTACTCTATACCCTGCTGTTAAAGAAAACTTTTCTAACAGTAATTCAAAATGTAAAAGTATTAAGAAAATGTGGCTGGGCACAGTGGCTCACACCCGTAATCCCAGCACTTTGGGAGGCCAAGGCGGGCAGATCACCTGAGGTCAGGAGTTTGAGACCAGCCTGGCCAACATGGTGAAACCTCGTCTCTACTAAAAATACAAAAATCAGCCAGGTGTGGTAGCGCTACTTGGGAGGCTGAGGCAGGAGAATCACTTGAATCTGGGAGGCAGAGGTTGCAGTGAGCCGAGATCACGCCACTGCACTCCAGGCTGGGCAACAGAGTGAGACTCTGTCTCAAAAATAAATAAATAAAGTATTAAGAAAATGACTTACATTTTCTTAATGTAGTCAAATTTTCTTATAATTTGACTATATACAAAATTTTAAAAGCTCTTACAAGGTAAAACCAACAGTAAAGCAAAATTTTTTTTTTTTGAGATGGAGTCTCACTCTGTCACCCAGGCTGGAGGGCAGTGGTGCGATCTCAGCTCACTGCAACCTCCGCCTCCCGGGTTCACACCATTCTCCCGCCTCAGCCTCCCGAATAGCTGGGACTACAGGCGCCCGCCACCACGACCGGCTGATTTTTTGTATTTTTAGTAGAGACAGGGTTTCACCATGTTAGTCAGGACGGTCTCGATCTCCTGGCCTCATGATCCACCTGCCTCAGCCTCCCAAAGTGCTGGGATTACAGGCGTGAGCCACCGCGCCTGGCCCATTAAAGCAAAATTTTTTAAAAATCTAAGCAAAGGGAAAACCCAAATGACAAACTCCGGAAAACATATTTGCAACTCATATCACACGTAAGAGATTAATATACCCACTATGGTTTGGATGTGGTTCGTCCCCGCCAAAACTCATGTTGAAGTTGAAATGCCAGCACAGCAGTGTTGGGAGGTGGGCCTAGTAGGGAGTGTTTGGGTCATGGGGGCAGATCCCTCATGAATAGATTAATGCCATTAATGCCATCTCTCAGGAGTGAGTTCTCGCTCATGCAGGAATGAAGTTATCAAAAGAGCAGGTTGTTATAAAGTTAGGGCACCCCTCAGGCTTTGCCTCTTCACACATGTCCCCTTCTCCTTTGACCTTTTCTGCCATGTTTTGACTTCACACATGGCCCTCAACAGAAGTCAAGCGGATGCCAGTGCCATGTTTCTTGTAATTCCCAGCCTACAGACCCATAAGCTAAATCAACTTCTTTCCTTTATAAATTACCCATTCTCGGGTATTCTGTTATAGAGGCACAAAATGGACTACAACAGTACCTGATATGTAAACAGACAAATAGTTCACACAAAAAAGAAATGGAAATGGCCCTGAATTAAAACAATGAAAAATGCCCAATACTGAACATAATAAATGGCTCCTACAACTCAACAGCAAAAAAAAAAAAAAAAAAAAACACTAGTAATCCAATTAAAAAATGAGCTAGGGACTTGAATAGAAATTTCTCCAAACAAGAAAAGCAAATGACCGACAGGTATATAAAAAGACGCCCAATGCCACTAGTCATCAGGGAAATGCAAATCAAAACCACAATGAAGTATCATTTCACCTTTGTCAGGATGAAAATTATCAAAAAAAAGACAACAAGTGTTGGCAAGGATGTAGAGAAACTGGAACCCTTGTACACTGTTGATTACAATGAAAAATGGTGCAGCCACTATGGAAAACATTTAAATATTAAAAATTTAAATTTTTAATGATTAAATATTAAAAATTTAAATTTTTAATTTTTAATGATTAAATATTAAAAATGTAATCAAAAAATTAAAAATAGAACTACCATATATGATCTAGCAATCTCACTTCCGGGTATTTATCCAAATGAACTGAAGACAAGACCCTGAAGACCTATTAGCACTCCCACGTTCATCACCACACTATTTACAATAACCAACATGTGGAAAAAACATAAATGTTCATCAACAGGTGAATGGATAAAGAAAATTTAGTACATATAAACAATGGAACACTATTCAGTCTTAAAAGAGAGGGAAATTCTGCAATATGTGACAACATGGACGAACTCTGAGGATGTTACACTGAGTGAAATAAGCCAGTCATAGAAGGACAAATATTATATATTTGCATGGAGTATCTAAAATAGTCAAATTCATAAAATCAAAGAGTAGAATGATAGTTGAAAGAGGGGAAGAAGAAATGGGAATTTGCTTACCAATAGTTTCAGTTAAGCAAGAAGAATCAGCTCTAAAGATGTGCTGTACAACACTGCACCTATAGTCAACGATAATGTATTATACACTTAAAAATGTGTTAAGAAGGTAGATCTGATGCTGTGGTCTTACCACAATAAAATAAAATTTAAAAAATAAAAATTAAAACTAAGAGACCATTTCTCATCCCCTGGAGTATGCCCACAAACTCCACTGGCAAGGCTGAAGAGAAACAGGCAATCTCATACATTGCTTATGGGAATACAAAATGAGGTAACACCTATGGAGAATTTGACAAGACCTTGCAAAATTCTGTATGCATGTATCATTTACTGCAGTAATCCCATTTGTTAAGCCTTTTTCTCAAACTATCCTGGCAAAAATATAAAAAGATTTACGTAACAAAACTATTCACTTAAGCATTATCTACAGTAAAAAAAAAACAATCCAAATAGAGGAAACTGGCTGAAAAACAGCCAGAAAATGGAGTACTATGTAGCCGTAAAGACAAATGAGATGTATTTCTCTACACCATGGTGGAGAAATCTCCAAGATATATTTTAAATGTAAAAAGCAAGGTGGAGGCTGGACACAGTGGCTCACATCTGTAATCCCAGCACTTTGGGAAGCCAAGGTGGGAGGATCAGTAGATCCCATGAGTTCAAGACCAGCCCAGGCAATGTGGTGAGACCCTGTCTCTACAAAAAAATAAAAAATTAGCCGGGCTGGTGGCTCATGCCTTTAGTCCCATCTACTCAGGAGGCTGAGGTGAGATGATCCCTTGAGCCCGGGTGGTTGAAGCTGCAGTGAGCTGTGATTGCATCACTACATTCCAGCCTGGGTGACAGCAAGACCTTGTCTCAAAAAAAAAAAAAAAAAAAAAAAAAACCAAGGTGGAGAAAAAGATATATACATACTATGACTTAATCTAAGACATGAAGAGGGGTGTGTGTGTATATATCTGTGTGTATCTGCATATATATACTTAAATGTTCAACTGGTTATTTATAGTAAAAGGGAGAGAACAGAATGAAGGTCACAGGAATGGAAAGTTAGACTTTTCCGTGCATGCCTGTCTTATAGATCTAACTTTGGAATTACAAAAAGGTTTTAGTAAATATGTAATAGAATTAAACCAAAAAGGTAAAAATGCCAATCCTCCAAAACTGAGAGCAAAATAAGACAATGAACCTAACTCTCTATCAAATCTGTGGCATAACCAAAAGAGAAATAATCTCAAATGATTTTAAGATACAGTAATTTGACGGAAACTCCCTGCTGGGATATGCCCTAAAGACACAAAGAATTAACACACAAAAAATCTTAAACTGTTTTCAGCAATCATATTGTTGATAACAACTTGGCTAATATTCTTAAATGTTGTGTCTGTGCTGTAAAATGAAGCAAATAGTTATGTTGATACTGATTGGAGCCATGATATTCCCCCACTTTTTTTTAAGAGATCTTGCTCTGTCATCCCAGGCTGGATTGCAGTGTCATGATCATAGCTCACTGCAGCCTCAAACTCCTAGGTTCCAGAGATCTTCTTACCTCTGCCTCCTGAGTAACTAGGACTACAGGCATGCACCACTATGCCCAGCTAATTTTTTTTTTTTTTTTTTTTTTTGCAGAGACTGGGTCTCACTATGTTGCCCAAGCTGGTCTCGAATCCCTGGGCTCATGTGATCCTCCCACCTCAGCATCGCAAAGTGCTGGGATTACAAGTGTAAACTACCGTGCCCAACCTGAAGCCATGATTTTCAATGTGAGAGAGAAGAGGCGCAGTAATAAAATCGAAGAGCCTATATTCATAAATCTGAATGGTAAATAGTATGAACTCATATTTTCTCATTGAAAAAAAAAATTCCTAGCTCTACGCATTGAAAAGGCCTAAAAACAATAATCAACCCAGTAGCAATGAACATCTTTAGTGGTCAGACCATGATCTCTAAATACCATTTCTCATGTAAAAGAACCAGGACTCGAGAGAAATGGCTGGTTCCATATGAAGACTGGGAAATGTACCAGATAAGCCTGAAACATTTCATCATACAAGAAAACAAAGAACCAACCAAATTAATGGGACCATGTCCAAAGGTAACTGTATCCAACCTAAAGAGACTTCCATTGCCCACAGACTGGAAAATCTAGCCGTAAAAGGCCGGGCGCAGTAGCTCACACCTGTAATCCCAGCACTTTGGGAGGCTGAGGCGGGCAGATCACGAGCTCAGGAGATCGAGACCATCCTGGCTAACACGGTGAAACCCTGTCTCTACTGAAAATACAAAAAATTAGCCGGGCTTGGTGGCGGGCGCCTGTAGTCCCAGCTACTCGGGAGGCTGAGGCAGGAGAATGGCATGAACCCGGGAGGCGGAGGTTGCAGTGAGCCGAGATTGCACCACTGCACTCCAGCCTGGGCGACAGAGCGAGACTCCGTCTCGAAAAAAAAAAAAAAAACTAGCCATAAAAATTAATAATAACAGATATAAATTGAAACACATTAAATATGTTCAAATACATGAGTATGTAAGGACTTAAAAATCTCATTGGTCACCTAGTGCATGCTGGAGATCAACACATTATTTTAAAGCTGATAAAGAAACTGTCTTTCCTGTACAAACTGTACCTCAGGGAACCAAATAATTCATTAATTCATGAGGGAACATTATTTTTCATAGAAGTATTTCAACTAATATATGAAGAAAAGAATAACAGAATTAGAATATCACTATTTTGCAAACCCCAAAAGAAATAATGAATCTAGGCAATGATCATCAATGGCTGATAATATCATAAAAAGAAACAATCAAAAATTGCATGCTTCCTCATGGAAGTAAACAACACTACTCACGAAGTATTCTTGCCAAAATTTGAAATTGAATCTAATCAAGCCTCCAGATCTACCATTATCTTTCTATACAGGGGACAGAAGAATAATACTAAACATTACCACAAGGATACCACCAGCAAAATCCAAAATGGCACCCCACAGGAGAAGGAGAGAAGAGACTGAGTGGGCAAGCAAAAGTGTGGATTAAAAGATTAAACGATTTCCAACCAAATCCAATGTATGGACTTTGATCTGGATTTTGATTTGAGCAAGCCAACTTAAAACACACATGTCCACATTTATAAGACAACTGGGAACATCTAAACAGATGAGGTATTTGTAATATTAAGCAATTATTGTAAATTTTTCTAAGTGTGATATGGCATTGTGATTTTTATACAGACGTGTGTATATATGTGTGTGTGTGTGTGTGTGTGTGTATATATATGTATATATATATATATGATATTGAAAGGCCCTTTGTCTGAAATAGTTGTGGCTAGAATTACACAATGTCCAAAATTTGCCTCAAAATTATCTAGTGCCTGGGAGGGAAAGAGGGTGAGTGTAGAGATGAAAAAAGATCAGTCTTTAGTTGATAACTGTTGAAGTTGGGTGGGTGGTATATATGAAATCATTATATTTAAGTACTTCTGTATGTGTTTGAAATTTTCAACAATACAATTATTTTAAAAACCATTTACCTCTGAGCAAAACCATTATAATTATTTGCCAATAATTCAGGCGTCTCAGGAAAAAACACAAGCAGCACTCTGAGTGAACTCTTGCCCCTAATATATACACATAAATTTCATCTATAATTTGTTAACTATTTTACTGAATTTTTTTCAGTACATTTTATTGGCAAGGTAAATTTGGCATCCTAGCAAGCACCAAGGAAGACCTGTACTGTACATACTTAACTTTTTTATTGTAAAATGTTACATATTCAGAAAAATTCAGAATATTTAATGAAGTTAAACAAGACTTCAGACAGGAAGTTTCCCAATGTGTTTTTTCTGAACATAATCCCTCCTTCTCTAGGAGAAAATACTATCTTATATGATAATCTCTTCCCTGAATTTATATTTTTATTTATTGCATGTTTCCCAAACTATAGTTTACTCTTTTCTCTAACTATACACACGGATACATTTTATAGTCTTTTAAGTCTGTCTTCTTTCAGTGTCCATTATGCTTATCAGATTTTTCCTTGCTCTTATGTGTCATGGAGATTCATGTGCTCTCACTGCTGTGTAGTATTCCATTGCATGAATATATCACAATTCATCCACTGTCGCTACACTGTTCATGCTAATTTGGATTGTTTCCATTTTGAGATTTTTATAAACAATGCCTTTACAAATATTCTTATATAAATATCCTGGTTTATAAGCATACATATAACTAAGCTGTAACTTTCCCTAAGCTATAAACCAGGAATAGAATTGCTGGGTCATAGAGGACATGCATTTTCAACTTTACTGATAATGCCAAGTTATTTTCCAAAGTCACTGTAACAATTTATACTTCTATTGGTAACATCTGAGAGTTGCTATTCCATACTGCTCACATTTTTAACCCTGCACCTGTACTAACCATGACAAATACTCACATGTCCCTCATCAGACGAGCATCCTCAGCTCCGACCAGCAAACTTCGGATCAAATTAGAATGATCAGCCATATCAGCACTGAGCTTCTGATGCACTGAATGATATTCATCCACCTGGAGACCATGAACACTCAGGAATGAAAAAGGCCTCACAAACTTCTTGAACCCAGACAAATGAAAAGACACTATTTACCAGATACAGAGACCCCCTTCTTTCCCCTGTTCGCTTATACCAATTAAGCTACTTCCCGTTATTTCATCTCTGTCTCAACAAGTTAACTCATCTGTGCTGCCTCCAATTTCAACACGACACTCCATGTGAATCTTCCCCATGCTTTAGCACCAGGAGCCCCCACAACACACATATTAATATTTTAGGGATTTGCAGTGGGAATATTGTATACTTTGGGGCCAATCAGAATCATCTTTATTTTGCTCTTTTATCTTGAATTTGGGTTTTTGGAAAGACCCAAACTGAAGAAGACCAAAGCAGATACTACAAATAAGATGAAGAGCTAACAAAGGAAAATGTTAATATTTAAATGCATCACTTTAAACCAAACAAAGCAAGCATGGTGCTCAGGAGCTAAACACTTCCTTTTATAAAATAAATCCTTAAGTAGTAAACTCTCCAATACTAGTTCAATTTTTACTTCAAGAATTGCAAAAATTCTTGAAAACATCACTATAACATAAGTACATTTGTAGTACCATTAATCTCCTCAAATATTATTAGACTACCACATTCTCACAAATGCATCTACCGCATTCCCTCACCTTAACTAGCACCTTTCGTAATTCCTCAAAATAGACAGGAAAATCCGCTTCTACTTGAAGGTCTTCAATAGCAAAAAATGATGCCATTGACTGGATGATATCACCAGCCAAATCAATATCATCAGTATTTATAGTGATCTACCCAGAGAAAAAATAGACAAGTTTAGCATCCTCAGATGTTAGACAAACTTAGCTAAAATAGTACCTGAATTTCCCCATACTCAACAAAATTATTGTGCATATATATATATATGCAGTGTTGAAAAAGGAAAGTTTAGCTCTCAAAGAAATTACAAACTGCATTATTTCCAGCAGCTAGCTAAAAGGTAAATCCTCTGGCCTTAGAAATTAAATGACAAAATCATCCAAACATTGAAAATGTTTTTGTTGACCTCTGTATTCCCAATTCTTTCCAAATTAGACAAGGAAGAGATGAAGGGAAGGAGGCAGAAAACAGCTATTCCAAATTATACCCCAGTGTCTAAAATGGTAACACTAACAGACTAAGTTAAACCATGTGAAAAAAATAAAACAAAACGTGGTTTTATGACCTTGACATTGATGTCCCCCACCTCACTTTGGACTGAATGGTAAACACCACATGAGAAATCTATGCCCCTCTCATTCCATGGTCTAAGTGTTTGAATAAATAAATTCAAAAAAGAAATCTATGCCCCGTGATATTAAACATTACCTCTCCACTAAGTTTTATTTTTATATGCAGGTGGCCGCCATTCCGTAAAGATGTGAAACACACTTGAAATGGAGCATTCTGAATGTGAGTGTCTTCTGGTAACAGAAAGTTCTGACCGAGCCATACAACAACCTTGAAAATGAACACAATGAAATGACCTCCATTTTTAAGGTACAGACGTTCTTTTTTTTAATGTGCCTCTAGATATGAAGGTACAGCCATTCTTGAGGGAAGAGTTCTCCTTCTTTCTAGTTTTACTGCTTTGTTGAGAAAAAAAAAAAAGAATTATACTTCATCCCACACCAAGAAAATACTAAAACACTAGTCACATTCCCTTTTCTCACCTCACCTATGCTCTTAAGTAACATTCATAATTATGCCTGGCCCCACAGCAGACATGATTTCATAGCATCTTCTACTTAGACATAGTCTTATATGCAATGTACAAATGATTCAGGTATGATGCTGATTCTGTTACACAACAGCTCTTCTGTGGGTATAACCTGGACAATGTAGCGTGCTTAAAACCATTCCATTCTATTCTTTAAGAAATGTAAAATGAAGTATACATGGGCAAACACCACAGATATATCCACACAATAAGGAAAATATAAGTTTTAATGTTAATAGCAGTAACACCATGCAGTGGCTTGCAACACAGGTTCCACATGAGAACCACCCATGAGGCCTTCTGGAAGGGCCCACCTATAGAGTCTGTGGTTCCACAGGCCAGGCAGGGGCCTGAGAATCTACATGATTAAAAAGTCCCACCAAGAATTCCAAAGCCCAGCCAAGGTTAAAGTCCACTGGTATTAGTCCTTTCAAATGTACAAGGTGCTACTGTTACACCAATCATGTAATCCTCGGGCCCCCGCAATAAGGTGGGTAAGATTATCCTTACTTATTAGATAAGAAAACTGAGGCTCACACTGGTGAGGGGACTTCCCCAAGATCACTAAGAATTTAATGAGTTAACGTAGCACTTAAAGCCAAAAACGTTCTTAGCTCCAAGTCCCACTCTCTTTTCATCTTGCTGCAGGTTCCTCTTGAAATACTACACCAGGACAACCACACTAAGACCATAACGGAAAGAGAGGAATTAAACACTGGTAAGAATTCACCAATAACTGAGGATTGCTCAGATGCTTTTTCAAAGTGAGAGAAGGTATTTTAGCAATATTTTTATTACAGGTTACAAGCCACCCCCAAGTTAGAGAATTCTTTCATATCATATTTACTGCTACCAATATAACACATTAATGTAATTTTCCCTTTCTATGAAATAACATCTAAAGGATTCTACTGTGTAAAAGCATTGAAAGAGAAAAGCGAGATACTCACCCTCTGTGCCCGTTCTGCAATGGTAAAGTTAACATAACTGATTGGCTCACTGGCAGGGTCCAGGCTGGTCAGCGCATACATGGAGAATCGAGGGAGCTGTCTTGTCGATTCAAATACATGAAACTGGGTGCTATGGCCAATCAATGAAACACAAGAGAATTGTTTTGTATAGAATGTTCTTTCAAAATGCAAGGCCCAGAAAATAAAGCCACTTCTGGGTCATCAATTGATATTTAAGGGTTTCACTTAAGAAGGAACCCCCAAAACACTTGAGGGTTAAAGTACTACAGTAATATATTAGGTTTGGGATTTAAAGACAGCATGAGTCTACATATATACCTGCATGCACTAAGGGTTTAAAATATCATAAAGGGGATGTAAAAAGTATCTTATCTTCCACAAATAGAGCAGTTTTTCTTCACTAGCTGAGGTTATGTATGACTGTAATATAAAGGTGCATCCTAACTCTTGTAGTTTTAGTGGCCAAAACTACAAATTGACAAATCATCAATTAAACATTTTTTGATTATGAGATCACCTGACTAAAAACAGAAAATAATGATCTTAGCCAGGCGTGGTGGCTCATGCCTGTAATCCCAGCACTTTCGGAAGCCAAGGCGGGTGGATCACCTGAGGTCAGGAGTTCAAGACCAGCCTGGCCAACATGGTGAACTCCTGTCTCTACTAAAAATACAAAAATTAGCTGGGCGTGGTGGTGGGCACCTGTGGTCCCAGTACTCAGGAGGCTGAGGCAGAAGAATTGCTTGAACCCAGGAGGTAGAGGTTGCAGTGAACTGAGATTGCCCCACTGTACTCCAGCCTGGGTGACAAAGCTAGAATCTGTCTCAAAAAAAAAAAAAAAAAAAGAACCATCTTAAACTTACATATCAGTTTTTCCATTTTCTTTTTACAGGTTTCAAACTGAGGAAATAAAAGGTCATGAGAAACTTTGGGTAGACAGAACCATTAAATGGTTTCTCAGGCCCCCAAGAATCCACTGGGCATATGGAAAATTTATACATCTTGCCCTCCTCTAAGTGCTGTCCTGAAATGAACTGTGACTTGCAAAGGGTCACCTGCTTCTGTAACCCACGAATGCCTTCAAGTGCAGATCCACAGGGACATCTTTGGGAGGCACAATAGGGATGCAGATGGAACTGGAGAGGTTGTGAATGCTGGGATGTACCACGTGGCTTTCACCTGTAAAAATTCCTTCTGCAAAAATCAATACTGCTCGGATGATGGTGTCTGCAGGGAAGAGTAAAAACAGTTTAAGAACAACTCCAACTTTGGGAAGCTGAGGTGGGCAGATCACGAGGTCAGGAGGTCGAGACCATCTTGGCTAACACGGTGAAACCCTATCTCTACTAAAAATACAAAAAATTAGCTGGGCGTGGTGGTGGGCGCCTGTAGTCCCAGCTACTTGGGAGGCTGAGACAGGAGAATGGCATGAACCCGGGAGGCAGAGCTTGCAGTGAGCCAAGACAGAGGAAGACTCTGTCTCAAAAAAAAAAAAAAGAATGACTCCAAGATGGCACAGGTGCCTCTAAATACCAGCTGTGAGTACTGTCTTACCATTAGAAGTGGAAATGCGTAATTCTGTATGAGCAGTTTGGGTCTCATTCCCCAGGCTGACTGAGAGCGTGGTGTGGAGCCTGGTATTGGCTGGGATTATGCCCCGATGCCCATCAGCCTCGTTCAGTGGACTGGCCAATTCAGCCTGCAAAACACCCCACCCATTTCCTACTCAGTCACCAAAACACTGAACTAATATCAATTTTAAATAATATTGCTATTCAGCTTCAAAAGACAGAGCCTCCAGCATATTATTATTATTATAGTAATCTGATTCTTTAGAATTCAGAGAACTCACCTCATTAGTGCTCCCTTGCTCTATCTGGCCCTGTGGGAAAATACCCTTGCATCTTTCTATGGGTATGGTCCACTGTATCCCATCATGACTTTAACATTTTTGAAGTATTGTTCTTTTAAAGTAAGCAAACAAATTCCCTTGTTACATCAAATTCAAATACAGTAATGCATTACAGGACAAATTAAAGGAATATTTCAGCCAGTTTGCTGTATGCACACACACAGTTTTTACAGTTGTCTGTTTTTAACATGTTTGTTTTTGAAAAAGATAAAAGACATTCTATATTGTTCTTGCCTTTTGTCACTTGGTAAGACGACAGATATCCTTCCATATCAGTCCAAGTATTCATTCTTTGAGCTGCTTAATATTCCTTAGCACATACTCCCTACTGCTGACGAACATCTAAGTTTCTTCCAGCTGTTTTCACTGCTATAAATAAATAGTGCTGCAGGAAATGTCCTTAAACAATCAGGAAAACATTTCTACAGTTTAACTACCTGGAAATGAAATTTCAAGACGAAAGCATATATCCCCTCTCAATTCTGACAATGGCAAAAAGGCCACACCCTGGCAATGACACTCTCATTCTTCCATATTTGCTGATCCTCCCGGTCAGTCTCAACATTTCAGCCTCCATTACCTGGTCACATTAGGACCTACACCTACCTTGGCATTTTCCTCATAGTTACGGAGTTCCAGCAACAGATTCTGCTTCTTCTGACTCAGCTCTCGGATCAGGTCCTGCTCTGCACTGGTGTCCATGAGGTTGCCCCTCATCTCAGCCGTGCCAGGCAGGTAGCCCCGGACTGAACAGAAGGAAAAAACCGCAAGTATAACCAGGTATACTTTTAGGTCATCAATTACCTGCTCTTAAAAACAAAAACCTAAGTTCTCCCCAACTTTGGTGAATTTATTAGAACTACAGGATCTCGGTACAAATACTTCAGGTGAAATTTCCTGATATTTTGACCCAATCAAATGGAAAACGTGACTTTTTAAGGATTTTTCTCATCCCAATTTACTTTCCCCATCCACTGAGCAGCAGATTAACTGTATGTGGCCATCCATCCGGTAATCTCCCTCTACCACACCGGCAATTGCAGAAGAAAAATTGTCCTTAAAGATGACCTCCCCAGTTCGGTCACTTCGAGCATCAACCTACAAATAAAACACAAATTTAAAAGTTGCTTATGCTACATGTTTAAAAACCACAAAATTTAAAAATAAAAATCAGCTTTAAAGGTCATTTAGTCTAGCAGTTTTCAAGAGTATTCTATGAAGCCCTACAACTTCTCAGGAGATACCTATGACTGCTGGGGCCAAGAGGGACCCTAAAGAGCCTCAACCAGCTGTGCTTCCTTCTTTTTAAATAAAAGCTGTTTTTCATAGGCCTTCACACAATGCTTCACTTGAAGAAACGGGTCTGCTAAGAGCCAGTACATATAGTACACACAGCACAGTGCAAAAGGGCATGGGCTTAATGGCCAAACCGCTCAGGTTCAGAATCTAGCTCTGCCACGTACTATCCACAGCATCTTGCAAGTTTCTTAACCATTCTGTGCTTGGTCTTTTCATCTGGGGTTCAATAACCAGAACATGGAGAAATTAACAGTACTATATCCCATTGGGTATAACTGAGGCCTAATGAAGTTAACATATATCAACAGGGCCTGACACACAGAAGTACGTAATAAATGTTAGCTCTATATAAAAATTGTATCTTTATTATATATAAATGTATAAAGTATGTTGAATCTGAAGTTCAGAAACTACGGAGTTAGCCCAGTCTTCCACCATGCAACCTTTTACAACAACCCTGTTAAGAGTTCCTCTTCCACATAAAAACTATTCAGATACTTTAGAGAGCTCTCCTATCCTCTAAGTCTCCCATTTCCAAGAGAGAGAACAAATAAATAAATGACTGATCAGAAACAAATGCATCTCAAAAGTGATAATAAGTGACCATCACTTAAAATGAAGATTATGAGGCCGGGCACAGTGGCTCACGCCTGTAATGCCAGCACTTTGTGAGGCCGAGGCAGGCGGATCACGAGGTCAGGAAATCGAGACCATTCTGGCTAACATGGTGAAACCCTGTCTGTACTAAAAATACAAAAAATTAGCTGGGTGTGGTGGTACGCACCTGTAGTCCCAGCTACTAGGGAGGCTGAGGCAGGAGAATCGCTTGAACCCGGGAGGCGGAGGTTGCAGTGAGCCGAGATTGCGCCACTGCACTCCAGCCTGGGTGACAAAGCGAGACTCCAGTCTCAAAAAAAAAAAAAAAGATGATTATGTTCCAGGCAAGGACACAGGTATTATCAACAAAAGGCTAGCTACAGAAAATCTAGCATAGCAATCATTTCGATGACCAATGCTACTCACTAGTTTTGTCTTTTCATAAACAATCTTCTGGGCAAAACTTTGCAACCAAAACATAAAGTAATTTAGGTTACAGCCTACCCCTTGTCTACAGTATATCACTGTCAAGTATTAATGCTATTAATAACATCATGGAAGCCTGAAAATTATGAATGCTAAAGCCTGTGAAAGAACGAATGACCTGCATTTTTAACAAAGCACATTAATGTAGCCCTCTAACTCAGACTGACCTGAACTTGCTTCTTTCTAGTTAAAGCCTAGCTACCTAATGGCTTCTACCACTGCATTTCCACAATATTTAGCAAATAAGAAGGCTCATTTGCTAACTAAGAAGCAGGACTACAAATTAATATTTCTGTGGATATTCTGATCTTTTGCTTAATCCAACTGGGAGGTTTTACCCTGAAAGGAAAGGATGGCCCTCCAACTCATCAAATGACATACAAAAGACAAAGTTAATTGTCTAGCAGCATTTATTTAATATTTTCACACCTGTATTCACAAGTTGGATCTGTATATTTCCTTTTTGTATATTTCTGTTAGATGTAGATAATCGGTTTTTCCACTTATATAATTTTCTTATCTTTTTCATGCTCAGGAACGCATTACATAATAGAAATCCCTTAAAATTTCAAAAGCATTTAACTATAAAAACATCTAGGTCAACAATTATATTTCAAGGTAACCTGACAAGTTTTCAAGTCTAGTAGTTTTCTAATTCTTAAGTCAGTCATAATAATTTATATTCCCTCAAAATATGATCCACTGCTATGATCTGAATGTTTTTGCCCCCACAAATTCCTATGCTGAATCCTATTAGCCAAGGTAATGAATGGTATTGGCAAGTAGAGCTTGTGAGAGGTGATTAGGTCATAAGGGCAGAGCCCCCATGAACAGGATTAGTGCCCTATAAAAGAAGGCCCAGAGAGATCCCTTGCCCCTTCCACCCTGTAAGGCTCCTATGAGGAAGTGGTCCCTCACCAGACACTGAAACTGCCAACACCTTGATGGGGGCTTCCCAGCCTCCAGAACTATAAGAAATAAATTTCTGTTGTTTATAAGCCACCCACCCTATGGTATTTTGTTACAGCAGCCCAAACCAACTAAGACACCCATTTCACAGACTTTCATATTTCTTAATAAGCAACTATACAGTCTTATAATTTTTAGTACCCATACTAATGACAAAACTAAGTGAAGAAGCAGAAACCAACATAACAGCTTTTTAGAATCCGTTCTTCACGTAACACCAAAGGAATGCTTACAAGGTGCTAGAGAAAAGTAAAGATAAATCAAAGAAGAAAAGATAAGAATTTGCTGATCCCCTTCAGGCAATCCAACACTGACAGACAAGAAAGCGAGGGCAAATGGTATCCATGGAGATCTGGCAGCTACCTAGGCAGCTTCTAAGAAGACAATCCTGACTTGCCAAAAGACTGTAAAAAATTCTGATTTGAAGTTAAAAAAGGAAAGCAAGCAAAAGGATTTTATTTTAAAGTTATAGCTCAGAAAACAATATGCTAACATGATTCTTCCTATTAGTGCTAAGTTTTCAGGCAGTTTTGAAGATGTATTGGAAAAGAGCTATTCAAACAATTCCTTAAAACTCCTTTTTTACTGTTGTACTACCTAGAATCAATCTGGCTGATGGATTCTCAGCACTTCAAATAAGAGATTTAGACAGAATCTCCCCGAAGATTTCCCCCAAACACCGCTTATAAGACTTACACTCTCTCACTGTGCAGCTCTTGACAATGATAGCAGGAAGAATGTGTCAAGATTATTAAGTTAAATGTAAAAACATTGCCAAGGAACGAACTGAAGTTTACATCCCAATGTTACTGTTCTAAGTCCTACAGCCAATACACCTTGGACAATTACTACTCTGAATTATACCTGAACTTTGCTATTCAAACTTACCTTCCCATTGGACCAACCAGTTATCAGTTCATTCACTCCATCAGAATTAAGGTCAAAAGCATGAATGCTCATGGCATGATTTTTCGACTGAAAAAGAATTTTAATAATTAGCACAGAAGTCTCACAATAACTATCAAGCGCCTGAATATCAAAGGCTAAATTATACTAACTTTAATTCTCCAGTATCGGGATGTTTTGTCATAAACTCCAACTGTGCCATTGGAAAGGGCATAACCAAATCGACTGCCATACATGGGACAAAGAGAGGTGACTATCTGCAAAACAATCCACAAAAACACAACATCTTTTCATTAAGACTCAGTTTACTGTCAAGTACGGCTTTATAAGACTTCACACTCCTTGTTACAACTATGTTAAAATTAGATTTAAAAGCGCTTCCAATCCATTAGTGGGGAATGTATTCCTCTTCTCTACGATACATGTCATCTACTTCAGAGTTGTATAATCAGATTTAAATAAACTCACAGGGTTTGGTGTTTTAGAGCAACCTTATGTGGCAAGTTTCACAAAATTATTTTTAAAAAACACATGAAAACTGAAGGACTAAGGAAAACATAAGCTAACTACACAAGATCGAAAATATGCATATACAATAGATATTATATATGTTCACCCAAGAGGCTTTAATGATTATTACTTAACTTATAACATCCTACAGTCTCAATTTTTAAAAGACTTATAACAATACACAATTGAATATCTTACTTCATGTATACACTTTTCTTTCTATGACATAATTTGTTTGCTAGAGGTAAAAGAAAGAACACATAATCCTTTGAAAAGTAAAAACCCAGGCACGTGGATTTGTGTAGTATATAACAATATACAGAATGCATATATGATACAGAAATATTTATAGGACTGTTCAAGGATTTGACATCCTTAAAAGGATAAAATTTTAGGTACTGAACAAAACTTTCCTTTAAAGTTAAAACCAAAGCTTAATGATATCCATGATCCTGCAGATCTACTTTCTAATTCTGTTCCTAATACAAGAGATATTAAGAAATAAATTGTATAAAGCAGAGAATAGTTATATAATTTCCTTTACACCTACAGCTTTTCTACAAAACCACCCACTTCACTTAACTATGAATACAAAGTGCTGTGTAGGATTCCAGAATTATTTAGCTCAAGGCATTCTTCTGACAATACTTCATACTGTTCAACTGCCAAATGAATCATGATTTTGCTGATCTGGGAAATGATATTTGAGCTAGGAGCAAAACCTAACAAAGAGAACAGGAAAATGGCCCTGCAAGTGAACAATGTTATGAAGTCCATATTTTCATAAATTTAGCCCCAGATTCCTCAGCTCTTTTACTGCTTCCTTAGTTCACCAGTTTCTTCCTTTTGTGGACTAGAAGATCAACAAGTCCCCTCAAATCCCTAACTCTATTCCAGGTTCTTGTCCTCTTTTCTAGGATTTAGGAAAGAGATGTTTCAAAGAATTCAGTCTCCTCAAATCTAATATTAACAAGCAATAAAAATCCAACAAAATCTGAATGATTCCCACCAAAGGAGAAAAGATTTACCACAAATTAGAATGAAAGGGATATGAGAATTCGGGACACACCATCTATCAGCCAGGGATTCTCAAGTTGTTTTTTTTTGGTGGTGGGGGAGGTTGCAAACCCCTTTAAGAATGTAATGAAGGCTCCGGGCCCTCTCTTCAGAAAGCACATATAAGCACATACACACAAAACAGACTCCCGGGCCAGGCATGGTGGCTCATGCCTGTAATCCCAACACTTTGGGAGGCTGAGGCGGGTGGATCACCTGAGGTCAGGAGTTCAAGACCAGTCTGGCCAACATGACGAAACCCCATCTCTACTAAAAATACAAAAATTAGCTGGGCGCGGTGGCAGGTGCCTGTAATCCCAGCTACTCGGGAGGCTGAGGCAGGAGAATCACTTGAACCTGGGAGGCGGAGGTTGCAGTGAGCCAAGATCACGCCACTGCACTCCAGCATGGGCGACAAGAGCGAAACTCCATCTCAAAAAAATAATAAAATAAAAAACAGACTCCCTGTATAAACACACATCCTCAGACTGCTCCTTTTGGCACCCATTTCTCCTCTTCATTTCTTCTCTGTCCACAACTATCATCTTACATCATGATAACTGTGAATATATAAAAAGTATAGTAGGACTAAATAAAAACTGATGACTCTTGCTATAGGATAACTTAGTTAAAATCATTGGTAGCACTGTATGTCAATGTGTAGGTTTTGCTTTTTGTCTCCTTTTATAGTTAGGAGAAAAGAAGTCTGACCTTCTTAGGCAGCTTTTATGAGTGACATGAAGCAAGTAATTTAAAGACAAGTGGCCAAGGTCAGTTTTGAGACTAGTGCCCTCGAGCTTTTCTGATACAGACTCCTAAATACCACATAACTAAATTTTGCAAAATCCCACCATTCTGATCTCTAAGACTCTCTTTTACTGGTTTCTTTCTGTCCACTTACAACGTTCACAAGCTATTGCTCCTTTATCCTCTTATTCCTTAATTAAGAATATCTTATTTTTTTCTGTTTGAGTCTTGCCCAATCCTGGAAAACCAGCAGCAAATAAATATCCTAAGAATGTCAAAACCATAAAGGATACAGGTAATCTTTAGATAGTGCTTTTTGCTTTATTTTTGTCTTTATTTTCCTAACTCTTAACACTGTTACTTCTTAAAAATTTTATTTTTGAGACAGAGTCTTGTTCTCGTTGCCCCTGGGTGGAATGCAGTGGCGTGATCATAGCTCACTGTAGCCTCAAGCTCCTGGGCTCAAGGGATCCTCCTGCCTCAGTCTCCCAAGCAGCTGGGACTACAGACGTGTGCCATCACCTTCTGGCTAATTTTTTAATATTTTTTGTAGAGATGGAGTCTTGTTATGTTGCCCAGGCGGGTCTCAAACTCCTGGCCTCAAGTGATCCTCCCACCTTGGCCTCCCAAAGCACTGGGATTACAGGCATGAGCCACTGCACCAGGCCTAAACATCAGGCCTAAACAACCTGGGATATTAAGAAATATCTCAGGTTCAGTTACATGAGTGATTCTAATCACAAGTTCTATAATTTTTAAGTTTACCTACAGAAATGTGCCAAAGAAGTACTGAATTTGCAGGAAGAAAAAAATATAGACATCTCATTTATGCACTTCAGCCCTACTGAATACACATGATGAGGAGGAAGGGGCATAAAGGTTCAAATGCTGACCATGCCATTTCATAGCCAAGACTACGTACAAGTAACTTAACAAAAAATACAGGCGCGGTGGGTCACCCCTGTAATCCCAACACTTTGGGAGGCCAAGGTGGGCGGATCACTTGAGGTCTGGAGTTCAACACCAGCCTGGCCAACATGGTGAAACCCCGTCTCTATTAAAAACACAAAAATTACCCAGGCGTGGTGGTGCGTGCCTGTAGTCCCAGCTACTCAGGAGGCTGAGGCATGCGAATCACTTGAACTTGGGAGGTGGAGCTTGCAGTAAGCCGAGATCGCACCACCGCACTCCAGCCTGGGTGATGGAGTAAAACTCTGCCTCAAAACAAACAAACAAACAAACAAAAAACCAGAACACCATTTTCCTCATCTATAGAAATAATAATAATTTATCTTCCTATTAGGGTTGTTGTAAGGATTCAATATGTTACTTCATATAAAGTACTTAGAGCACTACCTGGCATACAATAGGTACATAATAAATGATTGCCATTATTATTATTTGCATGTATTAACTCATTAAAAGAAATGCCTTTATGTATTCAACTATATGCAATAATTTTTCTCTATTTAATCAGTCTTTTCAAAATATATCTTAATTAGGATTTTTATTGCTTTTCTTACCATAACATACAGCTCTGTCTGACCCCCTCCCCAAGCTTTTATCCTAAAACCACCTGGGTTTGGAGATGCCCCAGCACTCTCACTTGATGTTTCATCTGACAGTACTGATCTATCTTGCTCAAGGTTACCATAGTTCGAGGTGGAGCTTCTTACCTCTGTTTCTGTCATTTCTGCCACAATCTCATCTTCCTTAAAAACTCGGATATCAAAATCCTCAGATCCAACAAGAAGCTGAAGGGGAAATATCATACATGTTCAGGTGAGTAAGTGCAAACAACAAAATTTCTGTAAACAAAACAAAAAATTGCACAGTACTTTGCATGCTGCTTCTGCCACCCAAGATTGACAACCTCATAATCGTTTGATGCTCAGAAATGCTCCCTCTAATGGGAGGATCAGCAGATTCAATCAATGAAGGAACAGGGGCTACTGCAGCTTTTATCCTGCCATGGGAGCTGCACATCTTGCCAGAATACGTTATTTCCCTGAGTACCTGAAAAGGCTCCCTGGATCAGCAACTTTCTCTGCCTACAGATGGAAGCCCTGTTCAAACACCAGAGTCCAGTGTCCATGGACAAGAGAGGGGCAAGTCGGTGCCCAACACAGCACGTCACACCTACTAACTGCTCAAGAAGCTAATTTCTAGGGTAACCATAAGAATAATTTCAAAGGCTAAAAGCCAATCTCTAAAACATTTAGATTCCTCAAAACAGTTGGCCAAAATTGAAAACTATATACTAATATGGTTTCAAAGCATCAGGAGCAATTCATAAGACCGTGAATATGACTGAAATCCCAACTCTTCTACCCTCTCTGCCCTCTCCTGTGTCTCTGAAACACCATGGCTTTGATCTTTGTATTTATTACACAAGCACAAGTGATTTATTGTTCAAAAGAGAAGAGAAAGACGAATGGGGCCAACTGGCTGAGCATTTAGGCAACAGAGCACCAAAATCAGCCAGGAGAAGCTTACACTTCTGTCAACACTAATGTCACTGTCATGGCAAAATTCATTTGGCTGAACACACAAGAGAGATATCTCCTCCCCCACATACCTCTTTCTTTCCATCACCATCAAAGTCACACAAGGCCAAGGAATTAACATTGTCTCCAGTAACCTGAAAATAAAACCCCAAACCATTAGCATGCCATCGTTTCTCCATTTACTCCAAATATATTAGCTACATGAAGGAGAGGATTACACAAAACACGAATGAATGCTATTCGAATTATTCATATCCTTTTTTAATGCACAGAATTATAAATATTATTACTCAGTAGAGTTGGTGGTTAAAAAAGAACATTAAAAGTAAAAATGCTTAAGGGTACCAAAAAGAATGTTTTCTTCTTCATACCGTCCAAAAGAGATCACTTCCTTCATGATTGAAACCTTGCAGAGCACAATTGCCACCAATAATCGCAAGAGGGGAAGAAATGTCTCCCAATGTCCCCAGCACAATTGCATTTGCCCCATCTGCTACCTAAGAAAAGTAAAAGGACACATTATCTTAGACACGATAATATGCAGGCCCACATATTAATTGGGCCAAATTTTGAGTAAACTGAGCAGATTTTGAGTAAAACAGATTATTATCCATAATGTGGGTGGGCCTCACACATTAACTGGCCCACGCACATATGGATAATAATCTACTTTACTATTAAGTCCTTCAATACTTTCTATTAAGAACTTTCTATCAAGTATTGAAGGACTTAATAGAAAAAAGACTGACCTCCCCCAAGGAAGAAGGGATTCTACCAGCAGACAGCCTTTGTACTTGAGCTTCAACATCAATTCTCTCCTAGATCTCCAGCCTGCTGGCCCACCATGCAGATTTTTGACTTGCCAGGCTCCACAACTGCATAAGCCAATTCCTGAAAATAAATATTTCCCCCTCTAATATGTACATGTCCTATTGGTTCTGTTTCTCTGGAGAACCCTGACTAATACAGTCCTAAACTCGATTTCACTTCTGAACAAAAACGATGTGACCTTGAAATAGGCAAAGGGCAGAAAAAGTCCTAACCACTAAAGAAAAAATGTGATCAGCTGGACTTCACAAAAATGCAAAACTTTTGCTCATCAAAAGACACATGCCTAGTGGAACAAGCCACAGGCTGGGAGAAAATATTTATTATATATAAATCTGACAAAGAGTTTGTATCCAGTATATCCAAGAAATGTCTACAAATCAATAATAAAGAGACAAACTACCAATAAAAAATAGGCAAAAGACTTAAGACACTTCACGGAAGACACATAAATGTCCATTTATGCACAAGAAAAGGTGCTCTGCATCAATGATTATCAGGGAAATGCAAAATGAAACCACACCTAAGATATCACTTCACACCTTCCAAAATGGCTAAAATTAAAGACTGGCAACAACAAATGTTGACAAAGGATGTGGAGCAACTGGAACTCTCCTACACTGCAGGCAGGAGTATAAAGTGATACAACCACTTTGCAAAAACAGTTTCACAGTGTCATAAAGTTCTTATAAACCACATAGCCCAGCAATTCCACTCTTGGGTATTTACCCAAGATAAATTAAAACATATATCTACAAAAAGTCTTATATAAAAAAGTCTTATTAAAAACAAGTCTTAAACAAAAATGGTTGTTAAAAACTGAAACAATCCAAATGTCCAGCCACTTGTCTATCACCAAGAGAGTGGATAAACAAACCATAGTATATTCACACAATGGAATATACTATTTTTGTTGCTTAGCAACAACAACAAAAGACTACTTTTATATGCAACAATATGGATAATTCTTACAAGTATTATGTTAAGTGAAAGAAGCCAGACACTATTTGTATGGAGTTCAACAACAGGAAAAGCTAATCTAAGCTGACAGAAGTCAGAACAGTGATTGTCTATGGGAGATAGAAATTGACTGGAATGGGGTACAACAATATTTTCTGAGGTGATGAAAATGTTCTCTATTTTTATTGGGGTATTGGTTATAGGGATCCAAACTCATTGAACTGTACACAGAAGGTCTGTGCATTTTCATGTATGTACATTTTACCTCAACAAAAAATAGACAAAGAAGAAAACCAGCCAAATGCAGTGGCTCACATCTATAATTACAACACTTTGGGAAGCTGAGGCAGGAAGACTGCTTTAGCCCAGGAGTTTGAGACCAGCCTGGCCAACATAGTGAGACCCTATCTCTCTAAAAAATAAACAATTAGCTGGGTGTGGTAGTACACACCTGTAGTCCCAGCTACTCAGAAGGCTGAGGTGGGAGAATTGCTTGAGCCCATGAGGTCAAGGCTGCAGTAAGCCATGATCATGCCACTGCACTCCAGCCTGGGTGACAGAGCAAGACTCTGTCTCAGAAAACAAAAACAAAAAGAAAGAAAACCATCTGCATTTTCAGGAACTTATCCTCAGGAAATAATCAGGGAAGTGGTCAAAGAGATACAGTTATTACACTATGAACTGTAATACAGAAACAATGGAAATAACATAAATGTTCAACAACATGGAACGGTTAAACAAATTACATTAACACAATGAAATACTACAGAACCAATAAGAATGACATAACGGGTATGTAGTAACTTCATATAAAGATGTTCACAACATATTATTGAATGAAAGAGCCACACATAATAGCCAGGGAGTGGAATGTCCATTAACTGATAAATGGATAAATAAAATGTGGTATATACATACAATGGAATATTATTCAGCCATAAAAGTGAATTACTGACACATGCTACAACATGGATCAACCTTGAAAATATCATGCTAAGAAAAAGAAGGCAGTCACAAATGATTACATATTATATAATTCCATTGTTTATGAAATGTCTAGAATATGCAAACTTCTAGAGACAGAAAGTAGATAACTGGTTGCCTAAGGTTAGGAGGTTAAAGAAAAATGGGGAGTGATACTAATGGGTATGGGTTTTTTAGGGGGTAATAAAAATGTTGAAAATTGATGATGGTGATGGTTGTACAGCTCTCTGGATACACTAAAAACCACTGAATTGTATACTTTAAGTAGGTTAGTTGTACATGTGAATCATATCTTAATAAAGCTGCTATAGGGTAAAAACAAGTAAAAGGCTACATGTATATATGACCCCATTTTACTACAAAATGTATTCATATATGCTTGGTAAAAAATCTGGATTCAAAAACTCAACAGTTAAGTGCTCTTTCTAGATGAAAAAATAGGTGTAATTTCTTTTACTTTTTACTTCCTTATCTTTTCTGTAACAAATATGAATTGCTTGGGTATTAAAGTTGCAGCAGCCTGTAGGTGGCAGGCTACAGTAAGGGCTTCTACAAACTATTGCACTAAACTTGAATGCAAGTCCACCAGGAGACCTGTCTATTGGCTTCCCAGCTCTTGGCTGAATTCTCAACAGATCTTGACAGATGGCAGTATCACAGATATACCTCATAGAGATAAGCTCGAGTGTCACCAAGCGATTAGCAACCATAACCAAATAAATAAGTTCCGAGTACATAAAGCAGATGTTAACAGCAAAATCTCCATGTTGTTTACCTATACTATAACAGTCATACAACAAACAGACCAAAATAAATGATCTGATCTCTTCTAAGCATAAAAAATGGACATTAATGAGTAATGACAATTTTATGGTTATAAAGGTTATACTTGCCTCTCTGTAGAACAAATCCGAATTATTGTAGACATCATAAGCCAAAAGATTAGTCTGTGTCCCCACTAAAAGGGCATCATAGCCAAGCTCAGGGTTCAATACGCCTGCAGTCAGACAGCTGACTGCCTGGTTAATGCTGAGAAGAGAAACATCAGATTCCAGGGGGCTCTGGAAGACCCTGGATGCACTGACATGCTGGTTCCGTGTATGAGGATTATGAATAAAAACCTGAAACAAAAATAACTAATTACATTCCCTTAAAATATAAAAAATTAGTATCATACATTTTTTTAAAAAAGAACCAGGTTATTAACACATCCACATTAACAAGAGGTCACTTTAATCTCCTATGAAACTTAAAACACTCGTACATAGTTCAATGCATGGACAACTTTCAGTCATTATGAAATCACGGAAATCCAGTGGTTCTTAGCCTTGTAAGGAACAAGGTAATGAACAAGATCTAGTCACTGCTTACCAGGCCAGCTTACATGCTACCCACCAGCAGGATGTCAAAGCACTCTTAGGAGCTAGCCTTTTCCCGATCAACCTAGAATAAGCTGCTACCACCTTCAATGTGATTGCCACACACCAAGAAGATCATGGAAAACAGAATAAACACTTCCTTTATTATCTTTCATCCAAGCACCTAATGAATCACTTCCTAGACCTTAAAATGGTCTGCTAGTTAGTAAACCTGTTTCACAAACTTAAACCGAGTCATGCAAATCAAGTATCTTGAAGGCTTTCACAGTTTATACCAGTGACATAGAACTAAGTAATTAGCCCAAAGATAATAAATTCAACAGTTTCAACTATCATAAATATAATCTGAGTGTCTGCATAAATTATTCAACTTTCCTAGACTTCACCTGTAAAAAGGAGGTTTGGACTATAAAATGCAGTCTTAAGAGGGGCGAGATCACTCCCAGGACAGGTAAATGGGTTTGCGATGGGGAATCGTGTAGCCCTTCGCAGGACCACAGTACAAAAAGAGATACAAAGTATATCTGAGGTATCAGAATTTCACTGGGAAAATTTTCTTGGTCTAAAAAAGTTCCAAGGTGGGCAATATGACCAAAAAGGTTGGGAGGATGAAAAACACTGGACTAGGGATCCCTCTAGCCCCTTCTAGTTCTAAAATTTTTAAAATTTACATGAGTATTTCATCTCTTTCACATAAATCCAAACAGAATTAATTTTAAATTAACACCTACCCAAGGCAGCCTATTCAACAAAAAATAATTTTCAAAAGAATTGACTAAAAACATAGAAAACGTGCAGCCACTGAACACTGCCTTCATGTTCCGTTTGTGTAACACTTTATAACATGCCTTGGTCAATGTTAATTGCATTTGAACCTGACACCAACCCTTCATTTCCATATGAGGTCGGAAGAGTTAAGGCCCTTTGCCAAGGTCTTGAGACTGGTGACAGGGCTAAGACAAGAGCCTGGTGTGCTCCAGGCCCTGCGCTCCAGCCACCACCACATCACACTTCCTTTTATAACAGTTCTGAACAAACCAATTCTTACAAAGTTTTCCAGAAATCCAATATGCTGAGAAAGTACAGGAGCAGAAATAGCTTACGGGCTCCATATTCATTCTTACCGGAATGGAAAGAGTTTGCAATTTTTGTCAAGAGCAACAAGGATCTCAGGAGTCAGACTTTCCCCCAGTTCCCTCCTGCTGTTCTCTACACTCAAAGAGAGTCCACAGGGAGACAAGTCTGTCCCTTCAGGCAAGGAAAGAAAGCCAATCTCAGTCATACGACAAAAAGACCACTCCCAGGGCTTTCAAAGGACTTGCTGAAGTTCACACTTTTGTTCTAGCTGAGGAGGTGCTGCAAACAATATAAATTCAACTGACCCCTAAGCATTACCATGAGAGAAAAAATGTCCCCAGAGGAAAACTCTAATATTCACCCTGCAAGAGATTCCTTTTATTTATTTATATGTTTTTTGAGACGGAGTCTTGCTCTATTGCCCAGGCTGGAGTACAGTGGTGCAATCTCAGCTCACTGCAACCTCTGCCTCCTGGGTCCTAGGGATTCTCCTGCCTCAGCCTCCCGAGTAGCTGGGATTACAGGGGTGCGCCACTACGCCCAGCTAATTTTTGTATTTTTAGTAGAGACAGGGTTTCAGTCGGCCAGGTTGGTGTCGAACTCCTAACCTCAGTTGATCTGCCCCTCTCAGCCTCCCAAAGTACTGGGATTGCAGGTGTTGAGCCACCATGCCCGGCCAGAGATTCCTTTTAAAAAAATATCCTTGCTAAGGCTCAGAGTCAGCTCCATGTTCACAACAGGGTCCCAGCTGTAAGGATAAAGTCCTGTTTCTAGACATGCAGGCTTTAACCCTAGCTGGAATGTTTTAATTGCTTTTAAGAAAATATATTCATGGCATTACTTGAGTCATAAAATACTACTAATTCTTTTTAAGGTCTCAAGATAAAAGATCAGGTCAGAACTTTTTAGATTTGTTTACAGAGCTGAACACAAAGTATCCATCCAGTTACACAGGACAAGGGATCTCCTTTATTTTATTTATTATTATTATTATTATTATTAGGCCATTTTCGACAACAGCCCTACAATCAAGCATTCCTGCCTTCCACTCCAGGTCACACTCTATCTAAGGGCTGCCCTAGGGACCTCTGCCCGATCTCCCTGCTTCTACTCCGACACCTACCTCCCTACATCCCGTCACAGAACATCTGTTCTCCACATACCAGCCAGTTAGCCTTTATCTAAAACATAAAGCAAATTCCAACACCCACTTTATCAAAATCCTCAGGGACTTCCTAACTTACTCAGTATAAAAACCAAGGTCTTTGCCATGGCCTACAAGTTCCTATATGATCTGGCTTGTGTCTACCTCATGACCACCCTCATTGCCTTCCAGCCCCAGCGGCTTCCTTGTGCTCCTGAAACACACCATGCATATCTCCAGCTCAAGGCCCTTGCACCTGCAGATCCCTCTGCCTGCAAGGCGCTTATCCCACAAATCTGCAGAGCTTGTTTCCTCAGTTCCTTCAAACCTCTTATCAAATGTTATTAGAGGCCATCTGACCACCTGTCTAAGACACCAAGCTCCCATCACACTGAATCCCTTATTCTTTTTCTCCTATGAAAACACTTGCATATTCAGTTAACTACCTGGTTCCCCCTCTCAAATGTAAGCTCCAAGGGGGCAAAAACTTGTCTGTCACATTCTCCAATGCACCTGCAGAGCTAAGAAGACTGCCCAGCACATAGTAAGCCCTCAAATTAGGGGCTGAGTTAATACCAATGGGATATTTTCAGCCCATTTATAAATCTGCTATGCACCTACAGCACAAGCAACATGAAGTTCTTTTTGGCATTTGTCAGTGCTTTTTTTTTTTTTTTTGAGACCGAGTCTCACTCTGTCGCCCAGGCTGGAGTGCAATGGCACGGTCTCGGCTCCCTGCAACCTCCACCTCCTAGGTTCAGGTGATTCTCCTGCCTCAACCTCCCGAGTAGCTAGTATTATAGGCACCTACCACACCTGGCTAATTTTTGTATTTTTAGTAGAGACAGGGTTTCACCATGCTGGCCAGGTTGGTCTTGAACTCCTGACCTCAGATGATCTGCCTGCCTCAGCCTCTCAAAGTGCTGGGATTACAGGCATGAGTCACTGCACCCAGCCTGTCAGTGACTTCTAACTGTAACAATAACTAACATCATGATGTGCCAGACCCCGTATTAATAGCTTAACTCTGTTATACTACTTAATGAAAATGAAGCCTTATTTTTTACTTCTGTATCCCAAGGCATATAACATACAATATACATGGAAGTGTCCTAAAAACTATAAATTGTTACACAAATCCTAGCTTATTAAATCCACACTGGATCAGAGAACATGCACTCTGACCACATTCCACACTTTCTAGTTGAGTGGCTCCAAGCACTGTATTGAACCTCTCTGAACTGCAATTTCTAGTCAATAAAGTGAGAACCATAAAAAGAAAATAACAGGTAACAATCAGTGACCACTTCCTATATGTCAAGCACTTTACATGTATTAACTTTTTTAAAGCTCATGACCCCACGTATTAGGTACTATTATTAAGTGCCTTGCCCAAGGTCATGAAATTAGTAGGTACTGGAGCCAAGAAACACCATCCCTATGCCATGCTGCTGCCGTTGGCCTTGTGACAACGACGCTGAGATGACTCATGTAATAAAGTTTTGTGCCTGTTATAAGTTATTAGCGTTGTCACTACATTCCATGTATTTTGGGCATGCCTCCGTCAAATACACAGGGCTCTGATTTGCCTTGTCTGTTAGCTTCTGGACTATAAGCTTTCTGAAAGTAGGGACTCCTTTTACATCCGAGTCTCCAAAATCTATACAGAAGGTGTTTAGTAGAAGTCTGGTGAATGTTACATGATTTCTCTTTTATCTCTTTGACTCTCACATCTTGCCCAGTAATCGCACATAGTAAACACCTAATACTTAGTGAATAAATTACGGGGAAAGAACTGAATGTACATGGGCAAGGATCAAAAGTGCAATTTGAATAAGTTAATTTTTGTATTGCATTCTTTTGTCGTTGTTCGGTAAAGGACTGTGAAAGGCTGGGTGCAGTGGCTCACGCCTGTAATCCTAGTACTTTGGGAGGCCGAGGCAGGTAAATCACTTGAGGTCAGGAGTTCGAGACCAGCCTGGCCAACATGGTGAAATCCTGTCTCTACTAAAAATACAAAAATTAGCCAGGCGTGGTGGCGGGCGCCTGTAATCTCAGATACTCGGGAGGCTGAGGCAGGAGAATTGCAGGAACCCGGGAGGCGGAGGCTGCAGCGACCCGAGATTGCGCCACTGCACTCCAGCCTGGGCGACAGGGCAAGACTCCGTCTCAAAAAAAAAAAAAAAAAAAGGAAGAAGAAGCAGTGTTAGAGAGTCAGAGGAATTCCGAGTTCCAAGTGACAAGCAGAGGCCCCTGGCTTGAATCTGGGGTCGGTTATTACTGCTAACCCGAACCAAACCCCTTCCCTCAGGAGACGTCTCTTTTCTAAGCTCCCTATGTCCAGGGACCCCGACCTCGCCTGACTCCAAGTGCCTGATGACAAGAAAACGTCAACTTCTCAGAAAAGCTCTTCCTCTAAGACCCCACTGTCCTCTGCAGGATGGAGCCACAAGGTGCTCGCCGACCGGTTGCCGGGCAACACGGGCTGGGGGCGGGGTCGGAGAGGGGACGGGATCCCAGGGGCGCGGCCGGCGGAGATCCTGTGGTTCCCTGGGGCCCGGGCTCCCTGCGGGTGGGAGCGGTTACCTTGCCCGTTTGGGTGGCGGCCGCCAGGCACGGGTGAGTCCCGTCGTAGCGCCCTATGGCCACCATTCGGGGGCTGATTTTGTGGCGCAGTTTCAGGGTGAACACAGGCAGCAGCATGATGGCGGCGGCTTAGGGGAGGAGGGCTGGAAGCTGGAGACAAGCGCAGCGGAGCTGGCCTCACGCGCCCGGGCAAGAAGTGCAGGGACACTACCTGCGCGGCCCCAGCCGCCTCAGGCCGGACGCGAAACAGCCCGGGACGAACCCGTCCAGGTACCGCCTGCTCCTCCTGCGGCGGCGCAGACCCGTCCGCTCTTTTTGCGGCTGCGCGGTGGAGCCTCGGCGCCTTCTGTGGCTGCGCAGTGGAGCCTCGGCGCCTTTTGCGGCTGCGCAGTGGAACCCCTGCTGGGCCGCGGGTGCGGTTGTTTCCCACTGCAGTAATTTACTCCTGCGGGTTGAACTCTACTGACGAGCCTACATGCTCAGCCCAGAGGCTTCCCCTTCTAGCACCACATCCAAGCTGCACCCTGCAAACTTGACACAATGCTACCCCACTCCAGAAGGTCATTAATTCAAGAAATATTCCTTGAGTGTCGGCTCTGTCCCTTGCTTTAGCCGTTGTATGGAGGAAAACCATACCAATCCTTAGACTCACGTTCGGTCTAGGGCTCCTGGTAAGGCTCCCTATATATTTTTAAGTGCAAACCAGCAAAATTGAAAAGTGACCAACAGAATTTCCTTGAGGGCCTATTGTGTGTCAGACACTGTGCTAGATAATAAATAGTAGTAAACAAAAGACAAACCTCTGCTTTCCTGGAACTGACATACTAGTCAGGGGAGACAAGCACTAAACAAGAAATGCATGTCATTTGGTAGTGAGCACTAGAGAAAATTAAGGGAAGGAAGAGGGGAGAGAGGATTGGAGGGAATGCAGTGTTAAGTAGGGTGGTAGGAAAGAGACCTCTCTGAGAAAGTGACCTTCAGCCTAGGACTATTAGGAAGTGAGGAAGCCAGCCTCGAGGGAGGCTGTTCCTGCAGAGGAACTTCAGGTGAGGCCCCCGGGGCTCACTCTGCTGCCTTCTGGAAATGGACAATCTGGGGTGGATGATGAGATGAGCAAGGACCACTAGTGGAGACTTGGAGTAGCCAGCAAGGAAGTACAATCAGGAGAGTATAGTGTCCTGGAAGCTCGAAGAGAGGGTGGCCAGAAGGAGGAAAACAACTGTGTCAGATGCTGCGGGCCAGTTTTGAAAGATGAGTTCTGGGCCAGGGGCGGTGGTTCACCCCTGTAATCCCAGCACTTTGGGAGGCCGAGGCGAGCGGATCACTTGAGGTCAAGAGTTCGAGACCAGCCCGGCCAACATGATGCAACCCTGTCTCTACTAAAAATACAAAAATTTACTGGGTGTGGTGGTGGGCACCTGTAGTCCCAGCTACTCGGGAGGCTGAGGCAGGAGAATCGCTTGAACCAGGAGGCGGAGGTTGCAGTGAGCTGAGATCTTGCCACTGCACTCGAGCCTGGGTGACAGAGCGAGACTCCATCTCAAAGAAAAAAAAGAAAGATGAGTTCTGGAATATTCTTGATACTTGCATTTTGTAATTACAGTTATACAAATGAGCATTTTTTTCAACCCTGTTGGTGTGTCTGTGACTATTTGTAACCTCTTTTGGAGATAATATCAAAATACTAAATAATGTTAAAAGACTAAGTTTGAAAGTTGTTACTTTTTAAAAGTTGATTTTTATTTTATTTTATTTAGAGACGAGGTCTCATGCTGTCACCCAAGCTGGAGTGCAGTGGTGCCATCACAGCTCACTGTAATCTCGAACTCTTGCCTCAAGTGATCCTCCAGCCTCGGCCTCCCAAAGTGCTAGGATTATAGGTGTAAGCCACTACTCCCAGCCTAAATTTAAAGATCTCGATGGAATGTAAGACCTGAGTCAGTGGCCCTCCAGGCCCCCTCTGATGGACCATGCTTCTAAGACCCAGCCTCTTTCTATCCTGTCTCCACCCCCACCCTTCTGTCACCTGTCTACACCCAAGTCCTATAGCAGCTCCCTGACCAGCGGTGCCATGGAAATTACCCTGGGTCATTGGAACTTACTTCGTTTTGTGATGTCCCTTCTCTTTAGTCCCCAGATTCTACCTACACAAAGTCATCATCTCACTGAATTCACTCAGCTGTGTTACTAGCTGATCACAGCTTGATCAGCTACCTCTCCCAGGAATAGCTTGAAAGGAATGACTCTAATAGACATCATTTCAGATCCTTTATTTTTTCCTGGAAAACATTTATTGAGGGTATCCATGTTCTAGACGGTGTTGAAGGACCTAGGGATACAGCAGTGAACAAGAAAGATATAATTCATACACTTATGGAGTTTACATCCTCTAGGGGATAGGAAGCAATAGACACTAAACATGAAAACAAGTAAGATCATTTCATTTGGCGAGAAGGCTGATGTTCTAGGGCTCAAGAAGTTCTCTTAGAGGAAGTAACATTTGAACCAAGAGCTTTGTGACAAGAAAGTGGCAGCCATTCAAAGATGTGAGGGATGGACAGTCTAGACAGAGGGAACAGCAAGGACACAGGACAAGTTTGGACATGCTTGAAGACCAGAAAGAAAATAATGTGGCTGGAGCCTAACGTGTGAGAAGGGGCCAGGTCACCTAGTGCTTTTGAGCCACGCCAAGGAGCTTGGGTTTTACTCCAGCAGGCAGTCAAGTCCATGGACTGGCATGGACTGGATTTCTATGTAAGGCTGGTCTTGGCCTTCATCCACCCGGCCACGCCTTACTTACTGTATGGACTGCCTAGGTGGCCTCTAACTTTGCGGTTTCTCTTCCTAATAGGACATTACAGTCATCAGCATCAACATCATTAACATTTACTGAGCATTTTTTAGGTGCCATTCTAAGAACTTTATATGCATCATCTCACTTAATCATACAATAATTCTACAATCCTACATAGGATTATTGTATGATTATAATATATAATGTATAATAATGTATGATTATACAATAATCCTACAATCCTATGCAGGATTGTAAAATGGGATAACCAAACAATAATCCTACAATCCTATGATTGTAGGGTTACTGTATGGTTATCCCATTTTACACCTGACAAAACTTTACCATTGTTATCTCCTCTGTAACTCTTCATTGGCTCCCTATTTTCGATCAAAAAAAGTCCAAGCATTTCAGCAGATTATACAAAGATTTCCAAATTCTGACCACTGTTGACCTCTGCAGCCTCATCTTTTGCTGCTTCTTTCTTCAGACTTGATCCTTCTCAGATACCATGTCTAGCCTCTCTGCTCAAATTGTGCCCTCTGCCCAGAATGTCCTTCCCCTCCCTTCATAACTTCCCCCCATCTTTGAAGACTCAGGTTGGACATCACCACTCCAGCAAATCATGTTTGACAGCCTCCTTCATTGCTATTTCCACCCTTAGGAGGCAGCCACACTTCCCCTATGCTTGCGTCAGATCCTGTATCATAATGAGGGTACTTGAGTTTAGGGTATCCCTAGAAAGATAGGGAATCCCCCATCCTCCCTGCCAAGCACCCATCAGGGCAAGGGACTTACAGGCTTTCCTCCGAGGAGAAAGGCCCAGGGCTAACCATCTTCTGCCAAAAGTCCAAGAGTCTTCTCTGCCTCCCATGACTCACCAGGAATCATTGGTTCTTCAGAGGAGACACGTGTCATCCTCACATCAGTGACAGCTGGGACTCCCGAGGATCTAGGCCTTGAAGGTGGGAGAGGAGTTGAGAGCCGGCAGGCTCTAGGGAGACAGCACTACATAGCGGGTAAGCCCTTGACCCTCAACCACATCAGACCTGGATTCAGATGCCTTCTCCATCAGCCACTAGCTGAGACTTAGGCCCATAATTTAATCCCAGTTCTCATATTTATTGAGCATCTTCTCTGTGCCAGGCACTTGACACATACTCTTTTTTTTTTTTTTTTGAGACAAGGTCTCACTCTGTCACCCAGGCTGGAACACAGTGGTGCGATTATAGCTCCCTGTAACCTCAAACTCCTGGCTCAAGTGATCCTCCTGCTGCAGCCTCCCAAAGTGCTGCAATTACAGGCATGAGCCACAATGCCCAGCCACATAGTAACTCATTTAATCACCACCCCCCTTGGAGGGAGACACTGTCATCATCCCCATTTTACTAGAGAGGAAACCAAGTCATGAGAGACTCCATAATGTAAGTCTGAGGTCACACAGCTGATAAGCAGCAGAACCAGGATGGATGACCAGGTGGTCGGGCCGCAGAGCCTGAGCTCCTCACCACTGCACTCTCCTGCCTCCTGCAGTGAATCTCCCTGAGCACCAGTGTCCTCATCTAGAAAAGAGAAATATTAGCAGTCCTCACTCTTAAAGCAAAGCCCAGCCTTCAATAAGGGCTCCCAGAAGTGGTTATTATTATTACCTCTAGGTGAAAGCACTGCCTTTGACTAGTTAGGGTCACTGTTCTAACAAATTTGGTTTTTTTTCTTTTGCTAGTAGGTAGCATTGTTCCCAGTTTCCTTTTGGCCCTGGAATTGGAAAACCAACCTAGTAGCCAAGTTTTAGTGGGACTTGGTCAGGACCAAAATTTAAGATCCTAATTTCCAAGGGTGGGGGAGCCCGATGGGAGGATACCTTAGGCCACACCTGCCACTTGCCATTCCATCTGCTTGTCCTCACATTGAGTTTGCAAAGTACCCCCACTAGAAGGTGTGCAGGTGTACAAAACAGAGATTCGGGCACCTCAAGACTGGATTAAAGGCCTGGAGGGAGGCAGCGTGGAGGGCTCCCCAGCACAGGAGACTCCAGCAGCCTCAGGGCCCACCCTGAGGAGCAGATTTGGGCAGGGAGGCCACCTGGAGAAGGACTTCTGCCTTTTTCTTTATGCACTGTATATGGTTTTTGTTTGTTTGTTTGTTTGTTTGTTTGTTTCCTGAGATGGAGTATCATTCTGTCGCCCAGGCTGGAGTGCAGTGCAGTGGCACGATCTTGGCTCACTGCAACCTCCACCCCCGGGTTCAAGCGATTCTCCTGCCTCAGCCTCCCGAGTATCTGGGATTACAGGTGACTGCCACCATGCCCGGCTAATTTTTGTATTTTTAGTAGAGACAGGGTTTCACCATCTTGGCCAGGTTGGTCTTGAACTCCTGACCTCGTGATCCACTTTCCTCGGCCTCCCAAAGTGCTGAGATTACAGACATGAGCCACCGAGCCCAGCCTATGCACTGTACATGTTTATGCTATTTTTACAGCACGCTTGTTTTACTTTTGTAATTTAAAAAAAAACAAAACCTTTAAAATAAAGTAGTGTAAGGGCAGGGTTTTCTGTGGATTTCAGGAATCCAAATGCAGGGCCTCTCCCCACCCCTCTTGATCCAGAACCTGCCTATAAAGGACCCCAGTCTTCAGTTTCCCCAAACTCTTTAAGGCAACTGGCAATTAGGACCGCTCCTCAATTCGCGGAGGGACAGGGGCTGGGAGACCCCCAGGGCAGAGCAGGCGGAACGGGGCTGGACTCCGTGAGAACTTTCCACCCAGCTTCCCTTAGGGAGCAGTCCTCCCAGGGTTCCCATCCTTCAGTCTTTCATCACTTGACTTCCTTTCTGGAATTCCTGGTAACTCTGTGATGTGTCTGCTGTGGGCCGTGGGGGTGAGGCTCTCCATGTTGGTCTCTTCTGTCAGCTCATTTCACACTTGCAAGAAATGAAATTAAGAATCATACGTTCAAAGTCACTTTGCAATGTGTCATATGAAAAACAGAAACAGCACCTTCCGGTCAGTAGACAGGAGGAAAAGCTACGACTGCTACTAATAGCTAACATATGTTGAGCACTTCCTACGTGCCAGACTGCTAAATTCTTTACGTATATGATCATCTCAATCTTCCCAATAATCATGTGAAGGAGGTAATATTATTATCCCCAATTTATGGATCAGAAACGAATTCAAGCCCAAATTCCATCCCCCACACACACATATCCCATGGAAGTGGTAGGAAAAGCCACTGAAATCAGTGTTAGTTACCTCCCACCCCCACCCTCAGAGACCCATCAGAACCCTGGATATCTAGTGGTGCCAGAAAAGGGGCAGAGGGTCTCAGACCTCCAGTTTCATGTTTGCCACAAGCAACCTTGAGATATCCAACCACACGACACCCTTGGCCAAGCTCCCAGTGGCCTCTTGTTATGGGGGATTTTCTGACATTTTCATGGGCTCGAAAATCCCTGGAGAGGCCACACATCCCAGTGTCCAGGATCCCCTATCACTCAAAGCATCGTGCAGCCCTCCTCTCAGGCCCTTGCTCCACCCCCAGGTGAAGCCAGGGTCCACGGTGTTTCCTAGATTCATGTAGATCAAGCCTGTAAATAATCTTGGAAAAAGTTGCTGAAAATGAGACTAAGTGAGAAGCACTTACATTAAAATGGAATCACTGCACATCTAGAATGTGTCCTGTACAGGCCAGGCTCAGTGGCTCACACCTGTAATCCCAGCACTTTGGGAGGCCGAGGCAGGTGGATCACGAGGTCAGGAGTTCAAGACCAGCCTGGCCAACATGGTGAAAGCCGGTCTCCACTAAAACTACAAAAATTAGCTGGGTGTGGCAGCACGTGCCTGTAATCCCAGCTACTCAGGAGGCTGAGGTAGGAGAATCGCTTGAACCCGGGAGGTGGAGGTTGCAGTGAGCCGAGGTCATGCCACTGCACTCCAGCCTGGGAGACAAAGCGAGACTCCATCTCGAAAAAAAAAAAAAAAATAGAATGTGTCCTGTACAGATAATAGAACTGTTTCTAAAGCTCCCCCACTGTAGAGTTTTTGAAATTGTATTTTGTTATTCTCCATTCACCTCTCCAGATCCGTCCTCTCTCTCCTCTGTCCTGGTCTATGCTGAGAAGGCCAACCTTGGCAGATTTCATGGCCCGTGTAGTCAGATGATGGGAGGGGAGAAAGGTCAGAAAATTGATTCCTTTCCCGCTGCTGGGTATAATTTTGGCAGTGGTTATATTCCTCTACCTACCACCACTGCTTCTGTTGGGCAATTCCTCAACCTCTACTCCAACTTTCCCTGGGCCCTGTAATGCCACCTGTCTCTCTCCTTCCTTCAGGGCTAGGGACAACGACAGTTTCCACTGTGCTTGTCTCTAGGTGCCCCATCATCTCTCCTGGATGTCCCTAATCCTGCCCACACCTCTGTAAATCGTCCCTTCATTAAACTCTGGTTCTGTTGAAAGGTAGCAGGCTCTTCCACACCAAATATACCATTTGACATGAGGATTATTTTAAGCTGAAAGCAGTTGAGAAGAAGCAGATATAAGAAAAGCTTGCTGTTTGCCTCTATTTGCCTAAAGCAGGACATAGGTGTCCTCCTCCCCTTTCTACTGGGAAGGACAAAGGTTGATCAATGAAGATGTCTTCAGGGCCTTTTAGACCAGAGGAATCTTCCTAACAAATTTTACTAACCAGCCTTTACCTACCATTAGTTTCTTGTATATTTGCCTTCCTACAATTTGCGATCCCTTAGAGACTCAAGGTCCTTTTTGTCCTGTCACTTCTCTAAAAATTTATTGTCTTTTGTCAGAGATACTATATAAGCTGGAATTCTAAATCATCTCTTTGAGAATTACTCATTCCCTGGCTGTCTCCCATGCACATATAATATATACATGTTAATACAATCTTGTTTTTCTCTTGCTAATCTGTCTCTTGTGGCAAATGTTAGCAGGGGTCCCAGCTAAGAACTCAGAAGGGTAAAGGGAAAATTGTTTCTCCTCCCCTGTAAACTGTAAACACTTTGTACCCCCTCTTTCCTGCTGGAAACTGACTTGATACACAGACTATGCTTTTGACTTGGCCTTTGTAAAGGAGGTTCTTTTTGGAGTTTAGCATCAGTGTTTCCTGTGAGGGTCGTGTGGCTACAGCTCACCTCCACCTTTCCCCCAGAATGGCAGCATGGTCCAGCATCCTCTCATGCTCTCTCCTGGTCCAAATCTCTGCCCAATCACAGTCACCTCTCAGCAGTCTCTCTGTTCCCACTTTGCCTTCACAAAGCAGCCAAATATCTTTATTTTAAAAGGAGAGAGAATAACTTATTTTGCAAGATGTTACCATTAGAGGAAAATAGGTAAAGAGACTTAAGGTCTCTCTATATTATTTCTTATAATTGCTTGTGAATCTATAATTATCTCAAAATGAGAAGTTCAATTTTTAAAAGTTCAAAGGTAAGAACAGAGGAAGATCAGGGAGCAGCGTGAAAGGCACTATGAAGAAAACACAGAAAGAAAACATGACTATGAAATCACCATGCTGGGAAAGGGAGAAGAATTGTTGTCACAATTCAAGGTACTTAGGTAGCTAGCACTCAGCTTTATCAGTATCCAAAACTGGCACTTCAGAATTTTGATATCGGGGGGAGATGGGGATGGTGAATGGGTACCAAAAAAATAGAAAGAATGAATAAGGCCTACTATTTAATAGCACAGCAGGGAAACTATAGTCAATAATAACTTAATTGCACATTTTGAAATAACTTAGAGTGTAACTGGATTGTTTGTAATTCAAAGGAGAAATGCTTGAGGGGATGAATACCCCATTCTCCAGGATGTGCTTATTTCACATTGCATGCCAGTATCTCAACATCTCATGTACCCCATAAATATATACATCTACTATACACTCACAAAATTTTTAAAAATTAAAAAATAAAATAGAGAAAAAGTAAAAATATCATTTTAACTACAAAAAAAAGTCACTATCAAGATGCTTCCTCAACATGAACTTTCAGGAATTGCAGTCACAGAAATACAACAAAGATGGTAGAGTTGAGAGACTGGGGACTGGAGAATGAAGTGCACACTCACCAAGATCCTGGCCTGCCCTGCACTGGTTTCAAAAAGATCTAGAGCTGTGCTCTCCAATATGGTAGCCTGAGTCATATGGCCATTGAGAACTTGAAATGTGGCCAGTTCACTGAAATAAGCTGTAAGTGTAAAATACAAGACAAGTCTGCAAGAATTCACATAAAATAAGAATTTCAAATATCTGACTAATATTTTTATATTGATCATATTTTGAAATCATAGTATTTTGCATATATTGTGCTAAATAAGGAATATTATTAAGGTTTTTATAAATGAGAAAAGTCCTGGTGTGAAAACATTTTCAGCACTTACTGGAGAAACCAAAGAAACTCTCACAGGTATTTTGTTCCCTTTTGGATCACTTCCAGCAAAATACAAATATGCTATTTCCCCTATCGGGGAAAAAAAAAAAAGCTTTCTCCACCAGGCGTGGTGGCCCATGCCTGTAATCCCAGCACTTTGGGAGGCTGAGGCAGGTGGATTGCTTGAGCTCAGGAGTTCATGACCAGCCTGGGTAACATGGCAAGATTCTGTCTCTACCAAAAATACAAAAATTAGCTGGGCGTGGTGGCACATACCTGTGGTCTCAGCTACTAAGGAGGCTGAGGCAGGAGGATTGCTCCAGCTTGGGAGGCATAGGTTTCAGTGAGCTGAGATTGCACCACTGCACTCCAGCCTGGGTGACAGAGTGAGACCCCTTTCTCAAAAAAAAAAAAAGCTTTCTCTATGAATAAATAACTCTAAATAGTATATGTATACTTCCTCCACTCCGGAGGTGGAGCTTAACTCGCCTCCCATTGATAGATGGGCTGGACTTCACGACTTGATTCCAAAAAGTAGATTATGGAAAGGGAAAAATAGTGACTTCATAGGAGGGAACCTGGCAGACACCATTTTAACCAAGTGACCAAGGTTAACATCACCAGCGATAGAATTTGGTATCAAATACTCCCTGATATGTTGGGATGAGAAGGGCACGTCATCTCTGTGGTTTTCTTCCCCAAATCTATAAACTCTAATCATAAGAAAACATTAGATAAACCCAAATCAAGGGACATTCTACAAAACACCTGACCAGTTTGCCCCAAATCTGCCACGTTTGTGAAAAATGAGGAAATTCTGAGAAACTGTCACTGATTGGAAGAGATTAAGGAGACATGATTACTAAATACAATCCTGGGTGCACTCCTGGGATGGATCCTGGAGCAGAAAAAGGACATTAGTTAGAAAATTGGTGAAATCTGATTAGAGCTGATAGTTTGGTTTGTGATACTGTAGCAATGTTAATTTCTCAGTTTTGACAAACGTACATGGTTATGCAAGATGGTAACTCCGGGAAGTTGGGTGAAGGGTCTGCAGGATCTCTTGCCTAAGGCTGGAGATTGGGGTAGTAATAGAAGAATCAATTGTAAAGAGAACTTTTTGGGGTGATAAGAATGTTCTATCTGTATTTTGATTGTGGTGGTGGTTATATAGCTGGATATATTTGTCAAAACTCACCAAACTGTACATTTAAAGTAACTGTATTTTATTTGTAAATTATGCCTCAAGAGAAGTGATTTAAAATATTTTTTAATAAAAAAATGGCCAAGCGTGATAGCTTACACCTGTAATCCCAGCACTTTAAGAGGCCAAGGTGGGTGGATTGCTTGAACCCAGGAGTTTGAGACCAGCCTGGAAAACAAGGTAAAACCCTATCTGTACAAAAAATACAAAACAATTAGCTGGGTGGGGTGGTGCCCACCTGTAGTCCCAGCTACTTGGGAGCCTGAAGTGGGAGGATGGCTTGGGCCCAGGAGGTCAAGGCTGCCGTGAGCCATGATCACACCACTGCACTCCAGCCTGGGCAACAGGGTGAGACTGTCTCAAGAAAATAAGTTAATTTTTTAAAATAAGATCATGTCAATCCCATATATAAAATTCTCCAGTGGCTTCCCGTTACCCATGGAATAAAATCCAAACTCCTAACCTGGCCTACAGAGCTCTGGTGTCTGGAAATCATCCCAACATATCAAATTTGGTCTCATCTCCTGGCCTTGGCACTTACAGTTCCCTCCACCTGGAATCCAGCTGAAATGTTCTGCCCCAAATCTTTTCAAGTCTAGCTGTGAAGGGGTGGGGTCTGAGCCTTCTACACCAATCTCAGCCTGAAACTAGGCACCTCCTACTCCAGGTTCCAGAACTCAAACTCCAGCCTAGGCTTCTCGGCTCATCTGAGAATCAAGACTCAAGCATCCACCCCTGACTCCTGCCCATCCCCAGTGGAACTCAGATGGCTCTGCAGGCCCTCCTAACTTTGGCCGAACTCAAAAGTCTCACTAAGCATCACTCCCAGCTCCACATCCTAGCTCAGCATCAGCCTACCCCTCCTCCCACACTTCCCTGGCCTGGCTTCCCCTGCAAGAAACATTCTAGCCTAACATCATCCAAGCACCTTCAACAGTTCCTGGCACTAGTGGGTGCTCTTTAAATATTTGGTGAATGAATCATTTCCTATTCCAATAAATCAATATTCACATCTTGAATAACTCATTTGGCAGGACCTACTATACCATCTTACAATTCTCTCCACCTGGAATGCTCTGCCCCCAGATTGTTTCAAACCTGGCTCCTACAATTGGATCTCAGCTCAACACTCCCTTCCTCAGAGAGGACTGCCTTGCACCCCTAGTCTCTCACATCACCCTGCTCTATCAATCCCAGCCTGTAGGATTCACCTACATAACTTCTCCCCATTGAAAAGTACAGAATATATGGGTTTGCACTAATAAGCATTGAGAAGTGATGCTTCTTTTTCTTGTTTTGCACCATTTACCACCTCTGTATCATGTAGATAACCTGACATTCACTAAATGCAATTCTGGGTACAATCCTGGACTGGATCCTGGAGCAGAAAAAGGACATTGGTGAGAAAATTGGTGAAATCTGATTGGAGAGTATAGTTTGGTTAATAATATTATAGCATATTATTACCTGCTATAATACAATGGTATCCTTAAGATTCTAGGCCACATGAGTGAGCCAGAGACTGCAGAAGCAAAGAAAGGAAGCCATGGGAGAGTGATCACCATTTGCACACATATGAGGACCAGGACTTCATGTTTTGTTTTTTGTTTTTTTTTTTTTTTTTTTGAGACGGAGTTTCGCTCTGTCGCCCAGGCTGGAGTGCAGTGGCGCGATCTCGACTCACTGCAAGCTCCGCCTCCCGGGTTCACGCCATTCTCCTGCCTCAGCCTCCCGAGTAGCTAGGACTACAGGCGCCCGCCACCATGCCCGGCTAATTTTTGTATTTTTAGTAGAGACGGGGTTTCACCGTGTTAGCCAGGATGGTCTCGATCTCCTGACCTCGTGATCTGCCCGTCTCGGCCTCCCAAAGGGACTTCATGTTTTAATAAATAACAATAAAGCATCGCATCCTCAATTATTCAAAGGTTTATTCAGTCAATTAATCTTAGGAAAATAAATAAGAAAGATTTGACCCATCAGGATGCAAATATCATAATAGCCTTACTAAACAATTCCCTCAAAGCATTTTGATTAATTTTTGTTGATATGGTTGTTACTTTTCTAACATTCTCTGGCTTTTGGCATAAGCTTTTTTTTTTTTTTTTGAGACAGAGTCTTGCTCTGTCACTGCAACCTCCATACCTCCCCATCCTGGGTTCAAGTGATTCTCCTGCTTCAGCCTCCCGAGTAGTTGGGGTTACAGATGTGTGCCACCACACCAGGCTAATTTTTGTATTTTTAGTAGAGACCAGGTTTCACCATGTTGGCCAGGCTGGTCTTGAACTCCTGACCTCAAGTGATCCACCTGCCTCGGCCTCCCAAAGTGCTAGGATTACAGGCGTGAGCCACCATGCCTGGCCAGGCAAAAGCTTCTGATTTTGAAATGACTACATAACTTATATGAGTTGTGATTGTTTTCAATCTACCAACCTACTCTTCTTAATCTTTTTGTTGTTAGGATCTGTGAAACACTCCTCCCACTTTCATCTCCACCTGCCAGACCCACAGTAATAAATGAAATTGATGGGAAGGTGTGACCTGAGATGTGCTAACAATGACAAGCCTGCTTTGCCAGAGCAACGAAGAGCTAAGAGATCTTCAAATGATTCTGAAATTAGAGGAGGCCACACCTGGATGCAGTAAGCCCAGGTCTCAAGGGGCAGAGGAACCGGCTTCTGGACCATCCTGTCCTGGGTTCAGATCAAAGCTGATAGCTGGAGTCTGTTCCATTTTCCAAGGAGTGTGCTCTTTACAGCCCCCTGGAGCCATTCCTGGGTGTGACCAGCATCAGACGCTGGCTCAGGCTTGACTCAGCTTTAGTAACTACCTATTTGAGCGGGAAGCCAACCTCTGGAGCACCTGCTTTGGAAGGTTTGAGTTTTTCTACTTTGGTACGAACTCCTATAGCTGAAAGCAATATGCAGCTTTGTGAATCTGAACATCATGTCCTCAGGGGACACAGAAGACTAAAGGAAACTCCAAGTTCCATTTCCCCACTCATGGCATTTCCAAGTACTAAGTGGCGAGAGAGATCACCAGCCCAGGCTTCTGCCCAAGGCGAGAATAGCCATCCTGCCCCAGTTTGAATACTTCCCGTGTGCGGGTGGCTCACATCTCACATAGAGGCCATTACATTTCAATGCAGTTCCCAGGTTGAGACCAGCCTGGACAATAGAGCAAGACCCTGTCTCTACAAAAAAATACAAAAAAATTAGCTGGGCATGGTAGCGTACACCTGTAGTCCCAGCTACTTGGGAGACTGAGGTGGGAGGATCGCTAGAGCCCAGGAGGTCGAGGCTGCAGTGAACTATGATCACACCACTGCACTCCAGCCTGGGTGACAGATGAGACCCTGTCTCTGGAAAAGAAATTCTCAGAAATGCCCAACTTATAATGAGCCACATTATCAGTCTGTCTGTGGAAACGGATTGGCTTCACCACTCTGCCCATGTCAGCTTCTCAGGTATTTGAAGATGTATCATCTTCCCTCCAAGCCTTCTTGATGCTGAAACCCGCATGTGGCCCTTTCATGGGATCCTGGGGAATGCAATTCCTAGTTTCTTTATCAACCTTGGCACATTTTAGCATAACATCTTCCTTAAGGGGCCAGCTCCGAGGGAAACAGAACTCTAAAACAGATGTGGACTTGTCGTGAGACCCCCCTCTGGCTCCCTACACCCAAAGTCTCCCTTTCCCTCTACCTGCCTCAGCTCCCAGGTGCAAGCAAGAGGTAACACAGAGATCAGGGCTGTGCCAACACTGTAGAACTCTCCAGAGGAAGACACCGAGAAACAAAAATCAGCACTCCTTTTTTTTTTTTTTTTTTTGGCAATTGATTAGAGGTTTATTTTGCCAAGGTCGAGGATGTGCCTGGGAAAAAGAAACACAAGTCACAGTAGGATCTGAGACCTGTGCTTTTTCCAAATAGGATTTTAGGAACTTTGATATTTAAAGGGAAAGAGCAATATCCCCTTTGATACGTAAAGGAGAAAGAGCTTTCCTCTTCCTCAAGGAGAGGAAGGGAAATAAAAAGGAGAGAGGGTAGGCAATGAAGCCAAGTGATTACATTTTTGTGAGACTCTGATTAGCACTCAGTGAATCTATACATTTTTTATGTGGAAAGAGGGAGTAGGGGAAAAGTCAATGAAGCATTTTCTCATGTTCAGTAACTCTCTATTTTACATAAGATAACGTAAGCATGCGAAATTATAGCTATCTATTTAGGAACAAAAAAGGCAGTTTCTTGCATGACTCAGTTTCCAAACTTAACTTCCCTCCAGTGTAGTGAGTTTGGGGTCTCCAGATTCTCTCTTCTTTCAGCAGCAGCAACTATGCCCAGCTTGTCCTTGGCAGTTGCTTGCTACCACTTAGCCCTGCCATCCTGGGATCCAATTACTCCCACTGGATTTAGGTTTCCTAATTCAGTGACTACAGTTCCCACTGTTAAGTTCTGGCCTGCAGAGAAATCACAGTCCTGCTGCTTTTTTTGTTTTTGTTTTTAAGACAGGGTCTCGCTCTGTCACCCAGGTGGGAGTGCAGTGGCACTATCACGGCTCACTGTAGCCTCTACCTCCCAGGCACAAGTGATCCTCCCATCTCAGCCTCCTGAGTAGCTAGGACTACAAGTGTGTGTGCCACCACACCCAGAATTTTTGTATTTTTTGTAGACATGGGTTTTTTTCCGTGTTTGTCCAGGCTGGTCTCAAATCCTGGGCTCAAGACATCTGCCCACCTCAGCCTTCTCCCAAAGTGTTGGGATTACAGGCGTGAGCCACCATGCCCGCCCTCACAGAGCTTCTTAAGGATGCGGGGGCTTCCCTTACAGATTTATTTCTCACAGTAATGGAAAAAGCATGTCTTTTGGACCCTCCCAGTGTGGTTGACTAGGTTTTAAATGACAAATCCATTGACAAAAGTGAACTGGCCGAGGTGCTGAGGCTTGATGGATCCCTGCAGAACACAGAAAAGGCATGCTTACCTGCAGAAGGCGTGCTCACCTGCAGAAAGCATGCTCACCTGCAGAAGGCGTGCTCACCTGCAGAAAGTGTGCTCACCTGCAGAAGGCGTGCTCACCTTCAGAAGGTGTGGTCACCTACAGAAAGTGTGCCCACCTGCAGAAGGCATGCTCACCTGCAGAAGGCGTGCTCACCTGTGACTGTGAAGACATGAAATGGAGAGTAGGATTTGGGACACCACACAGGATGAACAGGCAAAAGGGGAAGCTGGGGCCACCTGTTTTGGGGTGACTCAGTATCTCAGAATGTAAGTTTTTTTTTAAAGTAAATTTCTTTTTATTGGAGAAAAAAAAAAGAAACAAGCAAAACTCAGGAGTATGTTGTTTAGGCATAGATACCAATGAAAGAAAAACTGCATTTTTAAATTTTTTTTTTTAATTTTCTTTCCATAGGTTATTGGGGAACAGGTGGGGTTTGGTTACATAAGTAAGTTCTTTAGTGGTGATTCGTGAGATTTTGGCGCACCCATCACCTGAGTAGGATACACTGCACCTAATTTGTAGTCTTTTACCCTCACTTCCTTCCCACGCTTTGCCCCTGAGTCCCCAAAGTCCATGGTATCATTCTTATGCCTTTGCATCCTCATAGCTTACCTCCCACTTATGAGTGAGAACATATGATGCTTGGTTTTCCATTCCTGAGTTACTTCACTTATAATAGTCTCCAGTCTCATCCAGATTACTGTGAATGCCATTAATTCATTCCTTTCCATGGCTGAGTAGTATTCCATCATATATATATACCACAGTTTCTTTATCCACAGAATGTGAGCTTGTTTAGAGATAGGGGCTTTGCAGACAAAATCAAAGTAGGGTGTCATAATCTAATGCATTATCCAATATGACTGGTGTCCTTATAAAAAGGGGAAATTTGGACATGCGACACACACACAGGGAGGGTACCACGTGAAGATGAAGACAGAGATCAGGATGATGCTTCTACCAGCCAAGCAATGCCAAGGATGGCCAGCAAACCACCAGAAGCCAGCAGAGGCGTGGAACAAATTCTTTCTCATGGCATCTGAAGGAACCAACTCTGCCAACACCTTGATCTTGGACTTGTAGCCTCTAGGACTATGAGAAAATACATTTCTGTTGTTTAAGCTGCTCAGTTTGTAGTACTTTGTTAGGGCAGCCCAAGCAAATGAACATACCACCCCTAGGCCTAATAAGGAAACTCTGTCTCAGAAACCCAGTGAGAGGGCACTTGGCTGGAGCTGTCGGAGGCAGCAGTGTAAGGAGGGAGTGGGCACGGAAAATCTCAACCTCCCTCTCCTCCCACCCTTGTCTCCTGCATTGCCTAAGCCAACTGGAAGCCGGTGAGGAAAGGAGGTGGGGGATGCAAGCGAAGAGTATGCACCCACTTGGAGGGGGGCGTCGTCCACGCTTCCCTTCTAACCTATCTATGTGGGGTCCTTAGTTAATGGAGCAGGAAGGGAACTCAGGAGCACCTGATCCAAACCTTTCCTTTGACCCCTGGGGAAGCTGAGTCTCAGAGAGGAATGTAACAACGCAGCCAATCAATGCAGAGTCAAGACTAAGTCAGTTCTCTTGACTCCCAGCCATGCGCTCCTTCTGAATAGCGGGGCTGCTTTTCATCATTGGTGTCTTTCTCCTTCCACTCACCCACCTGACCTCTTTAGCCCAGAGCCTTTAAAAAATATTTTCTTTAATTTCTTATTTGACTAGGTAATACTTTGATATACCAAATTAAAAGGTATAAAGGCAAATACATGAGGTTGTGGAGAAATTGGAATCCAATCTTTGTGCATTGCTGGGGGAACTGTAAAATGGTGCTGTGGAAAACAGGACAAGTCCTCAAAAATTAAACAGAATTACCATATGATCCACCCATTCCACTCCTACATATATACCCAAAAGAAATGAAAACAGGGACTCAAAAAAACACTTGTATCAATGCTCACAACAGCATTATTTGTGATAATGCTTCCAGCCCAAACGCAGAAGCAACACAAGCGTCCATCAGCAAAAGAATGCAGAAACAAAATGTGGTCAGTACATACAGTGGGATATTATTCAGCCATAAAAAAGGAATGAAGTTCCGATCCCTGCTATAATATGGATGAAACTTGAAGACATTATGTTAAGTGAAATAAGCCACTCACAAAAGGCAAATATTGTATGGTTCCACTTATGTGAGATACCTAGTCAAATTCATAGAAGCAGGAAGTAAGATAGAGATTACCAAGGGCTGGGGAGAGGAGGGAATGGGGAGTTATCATGTAATAGGTACAGAGTTTCTGTGTGGGATGATGAAAAAGTTCTGGAAATAATGGTGATGGTTTCACAACTTTGTGGCTTAATGCCGCTGAATTGAATACTTTAAAGTGGTTAAAATGGCAAAATTTTTGTTATATATATATTTTATCACAATAAAACGTATATTTACTTTTTTTTTTTTTTTTTTTGAGACACAGCCTCTATTACCCAGGCCGGAGTGCAGTGGCATGATCTCAGCTAACTGCCACTTCCACCTCCCAGGTTCAAGTGATTCTCCTGCCTCAGCCTCCCGAGTAGCTGGGATTACAGATGCCCGCCACCACACCTGGCTAATTTTTGTATTTTTAGTAGAAACGGCGTTTTACTGTGTTGGCCAGGCTGTTCTCGAACTCCTGACCTCAAGTGATCCGCCCTCCTCAGCCTCCCAAGGTGCTGGGATATTTACTTTAAGGCCAGGCATAGTAGCTCACACCTATAATCCCAGCACTTTGCGGGGGTCAAGGCGGGTGGATTACTTGAGCCCAGGAGTTCGAGACCTGCCTGGGCAACATGGGAAAACCCCATCTCTACAAAAAACAAAAGTATATTTACTTTAAAAAGGACATAATCATAATATGTACAATGAAAGAGAGTCCCCCTCCCATCCCAGTCCTCACCACAAAAATCCCCTCCTTGGAGACCCCCCACTGAGATAGTTCCCTGGGTCTCCTTCCACAGATGGTCTGTGGTTACACAGGTAAGTCCTCCCTTCTTATACATATGCCCTCCCTAGCTTTTGTGTACTCCATAAATGGTAGCATACTACATGCACGGTTTTATATTTTTCTCTTTTCATTTCATATGCTTTGGAGAGCATCCTCATTTTTTTAAGGCCACATAGTATTCTTGCACAAAGCCTTTTATGCAGGAAGTGTTCAAATAATATTTGAAGATGACAACACTTGCATTTTAATAAGTACATTGTCTTAACTCCAAAGAATGAATTAGGAATGGTAGAATTTCAGGCCAGGCGTGGTGGCTCATGCCTGTAATCTCAGCACTTTGGGAGGCCGAGGCAGGAGGGTTGCTCAAGTCCAGGAGTTCGAAACCAGCCTGGGCAACGAGCGAAACCCCCACCTCTACCAAAAATAAAAAATTAACCAGGCATAGTGGTGTGCGCCCGTAGCCTCAGCTACACAGGAGGCTGAGGTGGGATAATTGCTTGAGCTCAGGAGGTCAAGGCTGCAGTGAGCCATGATCTCACCTCTGCCACTCCAGCCTGGGTGATAGAGCAACACACTCCATCTCCAAAAAAAAAAAAAAAGAAAAGAAAAGAAAGAAGGAAGGAAAGAAAGAAAAGGAAAAAAGAAATGGTAGAATTTCATAAACCTGCAAAATATGTGTATGCATGGAGAGAGGATGAGATAGAAGTCTAGTCTCTTAGGTCAGCTTTACAAAGTTTATGGGGGCCACATCTGGAAAAAGGCCCTGTGCTAGATGCTAGTTACAATAAATAACAGCCAACAACTGTATGGCTGTCATCCCACAGCAGCTACTGTTATAAGCACTTTAAGCATGTTGACTTATTTAATCCTCGCAACAACTTGATGTTGTAGGTGCTATTACTAATTATCCCCATTTTACAGGTCCGGACTCTGAGGCAGAAAGAGGTTAAGTATCTTGCCTAAGATCACTTGGCAATGAAGGACAGAACAGGGGATTGAACGCACGGAGTGGGGCTTTAGGGCCCTTGCTCTTGTTTACTACATGAGCTGCCTCTCAGGCACACAAACATTTACTGAACTTTGTGCCAAGCCCTGGGCTTCCTAATGAGAGGGATATAATGATGCCTTAGCCATAAACTTCACCCTTGAGGAGCAACAGGGACACAGTTCACCCCAATACAAGGCAGACAACTGATCTGTGTTATACGAGAGGAACATATAGAATGTTCTGGAGGCTAGAGGAGGGATGGTACCGAACGCTGAATGCCATGTGGAGGATGTGACACTTAGATGTGAAAGGGAGCAACAGCCATTTGTTACATCGAGTCTTCCTGACAATTCCATTATCATCCCCATTTCATAGGTTTAAAAAGATTACTGTAATCCTAACACTTTGGGAGGCTGAGGCTGGAGGATTGTTTGAGCCCAGAAGTTTGAGACCAGCCTGGAAAATATAGTGAGACCCAGACTCTACAAATTTTTTTTTTAATTAGCCGGTATAGTGGTGCCTACCTGTAGTCCCAGCTGCTTGAGAGGCTGAGGCAGGAGGATCACTTGAGCCCAGGATATCAAGGTTGCAGTGAACCATGATTGCACTACTGCACTCCAGCCTGGGTGACAGAGTGAGACCCTGTCTCAAAAAAAAAAAATTATTTAAGGCTCCCAGAGATGCATTAAAGTGGTGGAGCTGGGATTCTCTCCCAGGCTCCTCTAACTCAGAGCCGTGCCTTGCCAAGACAGCCTGGCAAGGTCTTCCCCATGCTGTTCACATCAGCCTTCCTCCATCAGGACGAACCACATCCTTGGCAGGGCCACACTGGGCAATTAATGAGCCAAAAGCACTTTGAAGATAAAATTATCCATAAAAAGGGTTGGTTCCCACAGGTGCAGGCAGCGAGGCAGGGACAGTTTGTGGGGAGGATTGTGGTGATGACAACGTGGGATCCTTGAGAAAGGAGGCTGAGTTTCCAGGCCCTTCCAAAAATTTCCTTCTCTGGCCCAGAGGAAGCTACGATTTGAAACCATCCCTATAAAGTTTATAAAATTAATCAGCTGACAAGGGAGGGAGAGAAGTGAAAATAAACCAAGCTTTCGGGACATTCAGCATTAATCACTAGGTCACCTTGCTCCCTGGCCTCCTTCCTCATGGTCATTCACTGCCTCTTGCCCTAGAATGACGTAAACCCTGCCACCCCTTAACTGCTCTATAGATAACAACTGGAATGTTGTGAAACGTTGTTTTCCATTTGAGATAGTCTTCCAGTCCTGCGTAACAGTGAAACTACTGACGTCAGCTGATCGGAAGGACTCCGCTGACATCAGCTGGTCAGAAGGACACCATGAGAAGCTGACTCACCAAAAAACGCAGTTTCCACATCCTGACGATTTCATTCCTCTTACCCCAACCAATCAATGGCCCCAATTTTCCAGCCCCTCACCTGTCATGATCCTCTTAAAAACCCCAGCCCAGGCTGGGTGTGGTGGCTCACACCTGTAATCCCAGCACTTTGGGAGGCCGAGGCGGGCAGATCACCTGAGGTCAGGAGTTCGAGATCAGCCGGGCCAACATGGTGAAACCTTGTCTCTACTAAAAATACAAAAAAATTAGCCGGGCGTAGTGGCGGGCGCCTGTAGTCCCAGCTACTTGGGAGGCTGAGGCAGGAGAATGGCGTGAACCCGGGAGGCGGAGCTTGCAGTGAGCCGAGATCCCGCCACTGCACTCCAGCCTGGGCGACAGAGCAAGACTCCGTCTCAAAAAAAAAAAAAAAAAAATACAAAAGTTAGCAGGACATGGCGGTGCACACCAGTAGTCCCAGCTACTTGGGGGACTGAGGCAGGAGAATCATTTGAACCCGGGAGGCATAGGTTGCAGTGATCTGAGATAGCGCCACTGCACTCCAGCCTGGGAGACAGGGTGAGACTCTGCCTCAAAAAAAAAAAAAAAAAAAAAAAATACCCCAGCCCAGCACTCCTCGGAGAGATGGATTTGAGTCTTCTTCTATCTCCTCATTTGGTGCTCTGCAAAAACTTTCTCTGCTGCAAACCCTGCTGTCTTAGTGTATTTGTCTGTTACTGTACCATGGACATACGAACTTGTTGGTCCCATAACAGATTGAAGGCAAAACATTCCAAACTTCAGCATGAAGCACTGTCCTCTGAATTTTGCCATAACTACATTCCACCTGTGCTATAGTTTATTTAGTACTATCTTTATTAAATTAACTCACTTAAAAATTATTCATCCTGGCCAGGCACTGTGGCTTACCCCTGTAATTCCAGCACTTTGAGAGGCCGAGGCAGGCAGATCACCTGACGTCAGGAGTTCAAGATCAGCCTGCCCAATGTGGCAAAACCCCGTCTCTACTAAAAATACGAAAAATTAGCTGGGTGTGGTAGCAGATGCCTGTAATCCCATTACTCAGGAGGCTGAGGCAAGAGAATCGCTTGAACCTGGGAGGTGGAGGTTGCAGTGAGCTGAGATCGCACCACTGCACTCCAGCCTGGAGGACAAGAGCGAAACTCTGTCCCCCCCCAAAAAAAATTTTTCATCCTAAGCATTTAATCTTTGTGAAATTATTTTCAATGCATTTATAATTTCTTTTTCATATACATAAGTTAAAACTATTAAAACAACAACAACAAAAAGTTTTTCCATGGATCATCTAAAAGCCTCTCCCTTTTGGGAACGCCAGTCTAGGGCACCTCTCTCCCTGTTGAGAAAAGATTCACTAACCCCACACTTCCTCCTGCTCCATGACTTTTGGCAACTTTCTCTTCTTTCTCTGAGCCACAGTTTCCTCATCCCCAGATTCCTTGCAGCTCTTATATAAGGAATTGGTGAAATGCAGCCTCAAGCCAGTCAGCCTGGGTTAGAATCCTCGCCCTGCCCTTTCTTGCAGTGTGACCTCAGGCAAGTTATTTAGCCCATCTCTGCCCCAATTGCACCCTCTGTGAAATGGACACCACTTCACAGGGCTGTTGAAGGGCTTTGCATCTCCTCTAAGAAGCCCACTTTGACCATTTGATTGTATACACCACATGTTGCCTACCCCAGCAACTTCTGGGCCTCTTTATTGTACTTTTTCCCATAGCATGTATTACCTTCTAACAAACAACTGCATGGTCTGACAAACTGCATGATTGATTGGTTATGTTTACTCTATTTCTTCCTGCTCTCTCTAAGAATGTAAATTCCACGAGGCCAGGGATATTCACCAGTTTTGTTTGCTGTTGTATCTACTCCAAGTACCTAGGTGGAAGACTGCCTGGCCCTCAATTAATCTTTCTTGAATGAAGGGAACAACTGAATGACTCCTGAGTCTCATAGCCGCCCACATGGGGTAAGAACCCCACATCCCAAGAAAAGTCAATAAAACCCCTTACCAAAGAAAGCATTCCCTTCAGTTTCATAGTTTGAAGGAATAGGGGCTATTAGGGAAGAGTCTCTGACTCAAAGGAAGGCAGTATTTTGGGCTTTCTAGAAGTACTAATGATACATCAAAGGAAGTGAAATTGTCATTAAAATCAATGCCTTTCAGCAAGTCCAGCAGATGTGGGTGGGGCTGCTGTCCTGTGGGTTTTGAAAGGGGTGTGTACTGGGAGAGCCCCCACGGTCACCTGCTGGCTGTGATTTCTACCTCCCTGTTGGGTTGGGAAGTTGTAGTTACTTTTACTAAGTGCCTGCTAAGTACCAGGGGCTTCCTACAGATTAGTTCATTTATTCCTCAAAACAGCTAAATGTTGGCTGAGCAGGCATGGTGGCTTATGCCTGTAATTCCAGTGCTTTGGGAGACCGAGGCAAGAGAATCATTCGAGCCCAGGATTCAAGACCAGCCTGGACAATATAGAGAGACCCCATGTCTACAAAAATAAAAAAATTAGCCAGGTGCCATGACGCCCACCTATAGTCCCAGCTACTAGGGAGGCTGAAGCAGGGGGACCGCTTGAGCCCAGTAGTTCAAGGCTGTAGTGAGCTCTGATGGCGCCACTGTACTCCAGCCTTGGCAACAGAGTGAAGACCCGTCTCTAAAAAACCAACCAAAAAACAAAAATACAAATAAATGTAGTGGTAGAATTATGCCTATTGTACAGATGAGGAAAGAAGGATGAAAAAAGGAGTGAGTTGCCCAGGGTCACCCAGCTAACTGATTAGTAGCAGAGTCTGGCTGGAACCCTGGCCTGCTCAGGCTTAGGCTTATGGTCCCAGTCTATAGCTCCTGCTCATGGCGCTCCCAGACCCTCCCTCCCACTGCTTGCCTCTGACGTGTGGATCTTGGGCTTCCCTGAAACAGGACTGAAATGAGCCTCCTTAGATGCTGATGTGGAAGTATATCTATTCACCATGGAAAGATGGTTACAGCATCACTTGAAACCCAGACCTTGCTTTCTGAGCCCAAAGGAATGTCCCATCTCATCTACTAGGCTGGTCTCCAAGAAATCTTGGCTGTTTCCAGAGGGATCAAAGGAGCCTGCTGGCCAGGTGCGGTGGCTCACGCCTATAATCCCAGCACTTTGGGAGGCTGAGGTGGGAAGACTGCTTGAGCCCAGGAGTTTGAGACCAGCCTTGGCAACATAGTGAGACTGTTTCTACAAAAACAAAAAACAAAAAACAAAAAACAAAAACACAAAACAAAACAAAAAAAGAAGAAAGAAAGAAAGAAAGAAAGAAAAGAAAAAAAATAGTTGGGTGTGGTGGCACATGCCTGTGGTTCCAGCGACTATACCATATGACTATATTACCTATTCAAAAACAATAAAACTGGCCGGGCACAGTGGCTCACCCCTGTAATCTCAGCACTTTGGGAGGCGAAGGTGAGCGAATCACCTGAGGTCAGGAGTTTGAGACCAGCCTGGACAACATGGTGAAACCCCGTCTTTACTAAAAATACAAAAATTAGCGGAGCATGGTGGCGGGCACCTGTAGTCCCAGTTACTCAGGAGGCTGAGGCAGGAGAAACCCTTGAACCCAGGAGGTGGAGGTTGCAGTGAGCCAAGATCGTGCCACTGCACTCCAGCCTGGGCGACAGAGTGAGACTCCATCTCAAATAAATAAATAAATAAATAAATAATAAAATAAAACTAAAAATGGTTAATGTTAAAAAATAAAAATGATGACCGTCTGTGATTGGGGAGAGGGAAAGTTGCAAAGTAGCTTGTTTAATATAAGCTAACTGTTTTTGTGTTTTAAAAATGTATGTATGTCACCAGTAATGGGACAAACTGACATCACACACCTCTCAGCAGGATGGACTGAGGACATAGCATCATTTCTGTTGCTGACAAAAATGCAGAACCTGTTGTATCTAATTTTAAGAAAGTATCAGGCAAACCTTGAGGGGCACTCTACATAATAACTGGCCTATACTCTTCAAAACTGTCAAGGTCAGCCTGGCTTGGTGGCTCTCGCCTGTAATCCCAGCATTTCGGGAGGCCAAGGCAGGCGGATCGCTTGAGCCCAGGAGTTCCAGACCAGCCTGGGCAACAGGTGAAACCCCATCTCTATTTAAAAAAAAAAGAAACCTGTCAAGGTCATGAGGAAAAAGAAAAGCTGAGGAATTATTTCACGTGAACAGAGAATAAAACACAGGACAACTAAATGTAATTGTTGGTACTGGGTTAGATCCTGAATGAGAAAAACAATTGCTGTACAGGCCACGAGTGAGACAATTGTGGAAATTTAAGTAAGGTCTGTAGACTAGATGGTAGTATCATATCAAAGTTAGATTTCCTGATATTGTTAATTGCGTTATGGTTGTATAAATTAATATCCTTGCCTTTAGGAAATATATAATGATGTATTTAGTAGTAAAGGGGCAATGTACTCTCAAATAGTTCAGAGGGAAATATAATATATATGTATATATATGTACTGTATATATCTACATATATGTAGAGAGTGAAATGGGAAAGAGGAATGACAAAGCAGATGTGGCCAGGCACACATGTGAGTAAAGAGATCTTTTTATTGTTATTGCCAGTTTTCTTTAAGTTTGAAATTAATTCCAAAACAACAGAAAATTCTGAGTCAAAATCTTACCAGGGCTTATTTCTGGGTGATGTTATATTTTCTTTTATTTTTGCTTTTTTTTTATCTTTTTTTTCGCTTACTTTTTTTTTTGAAAACGTTAATACAAGCATATAGTAAAAATAATCCAAATGCTAAAAAAAAAAAACACCTCCAGTGTAAGTTTCCCTCCCAGCTGAGTGTGCCTTCAGCTCCCTAGTCCTCTCAGAGGCACTACCACTACCTGTTTGGTTCAGAAGTACACCTCTATTCTGCCAGGTTCTGCATTTATTTTCCTTTTTTTTTTTTTTTTGAGATGGAGTCTTGCTCTGTTTCCCTGGCTGGAGTGCAGTGGTGCGATCTCGGCTCACTGCAACCTCCACCTCTCAAGTTCAAGCAATTCCCCTGCTTCAGCCTCCCAAGTAGCTGGGATTACAGGCATGCACCACCACCTCCGGATAATTTTTGTATTTTTAGTAGAGATGGGGTTTCACCATGTTGCCCAGGCTGGTCTCGAACCCCTGACCTCAGGTGATCCGCCCACCTTGGCCTCCCAAAGTGCTGGGATTACAGGCGTGAGCCACAGCACCTGGCTGGTTCTGCGTTTCTGTACTAAACAGGTAGTGGTCTCCCAGTAGATATATTCTGTTCATAAACAAACACATATGGTTAGGTTGCCTCTTCCCACTTCCCTCATCCCCCCAGCAAAAATAGTGGTATCCTGATCCATACCAATCTACACTTTGTTTTTCCTCTAACATAATATCTTCATGATCCTTCCATTTGGTGACACATAGAGCTACTGTGTATTTGCAGTTGATGTTGTTGTTTTGTTTTATTTCTGGGACAGGGTCTTGCTCTGTTGCCAAGGCTGGAGTGCAGTGGTGTGATCATGGCTCACTGCAGCCTCAACCTCCTGGCTTCACGCAATCCTCCCACCTCAACCTCCCAAGTAGCGGGGATCACAGGTATGTGCCACCACACCCAGCTAATTTTTATTTATTTTTATTTTTTGTGGAGATTGGATCTCACTCTGATGCCAAGCTGGTCTCGAACTCCTGGGCTCAAACGGTCCTCCCATCTCAGCCTCCCAAGGTGCTGAGATTACAGTTGTGACCCACCGTGGCCAGCATACCTTATATTTTTATGGGCTATTTAGAATTCCACCATACGGACGTATCATAACTCATTGAACCCATTCCCGTTGTCATGAACATTTAAGCCTATTCCAGTCTCTTACAAACAAGATTGCAATGAATGACAGCCACTTTTTTGTGCACAATGTGTAAAGAAATATACAGAATAATCTCCCACAAGTGGAGCTGCTTTGTGAACATACATGTGCCTTTTACATTTTGAAAGCTACAGTGGTCACCCTCCAGTTAGCACATCACCATCAGCACTTGATCACACATACCTTCTCACAGCCACCCTGCACAGTACAGTTCACATTTTTTGATCTTTGCTAATCACGTGGAATTTTTTTCTTTTTTTTTTTTTTTTGAGACAGAATTTTGCTCTTGTTGCCCAGGCTGGAGTGCAATGGCACGATCTCGGCTCACTGCAACCTCCATCTCCTGAGTTCAAGTGATTCTCCTGCCTCAGCCTCCTGAGTAGCTGGGATTACAGGCATGCGCCACCACACCCAGCTAATTTCATATTTTCAGTAGAGATGGGGTTTTGCCATGTTGGGCAGGCTGGTCTGAAACTCCTGGCCTCAGGTGATCTGCCCGCCTCAGCCTCCCAAACCGCTGGGATTACAGATGTGAGCCACTGAGCCCGGGTCACATGTGTTTTTTAATGCTATCTGTTCGTAGTTTTAATTCTCATTTCTATCATTAAAAGTGCAGGTGAAAATCTTATCATTTGCTCTAAAAGTCACTTGTATTATTTTTTTCCTCTGTGATCTCTTCCTGAGCTTATAGGAATGGTCTGATTTTCTACCGTGGACCCAGCCCTTCTACAGGGAAACCCACCGTATTAATGCCAGGCTGAGCCTTTCTGGTCCTCTCTGGGTGCTGGAAAGAGGAGGATCTGTATCTTCTGGTACATTTGGACCAATGTGTGTCTCAACATGTCCAGTGACTCACGTCTCCTTTCAGGTTTTCTAGCTATAAGCCCAACAGCGATAATTTACCAAAGGTGCTGGGTACATGATGGCAGCCCATGCCAAGGGCAGCCTCCCTATCCCACGGCAGGCCTGTCCCGGGACGTTGCAGGGCGTCTATCTGCCCATCCCTGAGAAGCAGCACTTCTTAGTCACTCTGGGTTTGTTTTCTCCCCACGTCTTTCAAAGCTTCGATGGGAACAGAACACTTCGTTCAACAGGAGGCCCTGAAAAGCCCCTTTGTGCTGCATCCGTCCCAGGAACCAGCTCAGTGTTCTCTGAAAGAAAAAAGCCTTGGATAAAAGCTGGCATTTTAAGAACCCTGGAGGTCAGGCCCTTGGTAATGAGCCTCATTAGTATGCAAACACACACAGAGCAAAGCTTCAGCTCCTCCTGAACCTAGCTCTTTGCAGATGCTGATTTTAGAGGTGGGATTTTTTTTTTCCCTTCAGCATCTGTGGGGTTGCGGCACAGGTAGGAGATTTTTTTCTACCTGGAAATGTAGCTGAGACAGGTCACTTCCCAAGCATTCTGCCAGGTTCTGCATTTCTGTACTAAACAGGAAGTGGTCTCCTGGCAGATGTATTCTATTTATAAACAGATGAGTATGGTTAGCTTGCCTCCTCCCACTTTCCTCATCCCCCTACAAACGTAGTGGTAACCTGATCCATTATCTTGACCATCCCTGCATTGTTCACAGAGCCTGGGTTTTGGAACCAGATAGACTGAGGTTCAAATCCTCACTCTGCCTCTTCCTGGCTGGGAGACCTTTGCAGATGACTTCTTTGAGCCAGTGTTCATCTCAAATACAGATTTACAATAGTACCTATTTTGCAAGTGAGGTGCCGGTGTCTTAGGATGCAGAAAAGATGCAAAAATGAGATTTGGTGACCAGAGAAGAATACAATTAGAAGCAATTCATTGGCCAAGATTTTCCTGTAAGGAGATGAAATCAAGGAAGTAACCACTGAGCTCTGAAAAAAATGCAATCAAATCCTAACATTTCCTTTTGGGTTGAAACTCAGAAACTTCCTATTACCCTCAAGGTAAAAACACACACACGCAACAACAACAAAACAAAACAAAAACAAAAACACCCTTACTCTGGCTCCGAAGGCTCTGGGAGTGTGTGATTCACTTCCTAGCTGCCAGTCTATGGCTTGGCCTTGGGCTCTGGGGCTCTGCCAGTGTAGACATCTCTGAGGTCTGAGACTCCTTAAGCTCCCTCATCCTCCCTCCAACCTCTGATCCTGGAAGCTCCCTCTCCCTGGGATATTCTCCCATCCTCTCCTCCCCGCTGGCTAACTCCTGCTCAATGTTCAGATTTCAACTGTAGCATAACTTACCCAGGACTAGGGGGTATGAAGCCCCTAAAAGGGTTATTTGCTTCTGTGGCTTCTAGGGCCCCTACAAGTTCCACCTTGTAACACACACTATACATGGATTTTTTTTTTTTTTTTTTTTTTTTTTTTTTTTGAGACAGAGTCTCGCTTTGTCGGCCAGGCTGGAGTGCAGTGGCTCAATCTCGGCTCACTGCAAACTCTGCCTCCCAGGTTCAAGGGATTCTCATGCCTCAGCCTCCCAAGTAGTTGAGATTACAGGCACATGCCACCATGCCTGGCTAATTTTATTTGTTTGTTTGTTTTTGTATTTTTAGTGGAGACAGGGTTTAGTCAAGTTGGCCAGGCTGGTCTCGAAATCCTGACCTCATGTGATCCACCCGCCTTGGGCTCCCAAAGTGCTGGGATTACAGATGTGAGCCACCGCACCCAGCCATGCATGTGGAATTTCTGACTCCCTATTTTCCTTGCTGGGTTTGCAAGCTCCGTGGGGATGTATTTCTGCCTGGTACTGTGGCTGGCACACAGAAGGGGCTCACTGAGTACCTGGGTGAGAAAGAAAAGGGAAACTAAAGGAAAAGATAGGGTGATAGGAGAGATGTGAATACACTGGTGTGCTCCCCAGGTTCCCACAGCAGAGTGCAGCCACTTGTTCATATACCCTCTGGATCAGGTCCCCTGGACATGGGATGAGATGAAGCATATGGTAGCACTTTAAGGAACAAGCCTTTGAAATCCCCTTCTGAGCTTTACTGGGTACTTAGCTCTTTCTTCTGCTTTGGAAAGCTTCAAAGTTATTTCCAAGCCCTAATTACCCCACACACCATAGCCCCAGGCAGCTGCCAAACTTGGCCAAACTTGGCCTCAACACTCCCAGTTGCAAATTAGAAAACTAAGCACCAAAGTAAAAGCTTGCCTGGGTCCCAAAGAGAAAATCCACCTGAAATGTTCCTTGTTCCTCAGGAAACCACCTATGGAACAAGGGCTGAGGGCTGAGAATTCTTTGGGCCTCAGTTTCCTCACATGAGTGTGAGACGTTCCCTGCTGTACAATTCCTTGATTCTCCCCTGTGGATTTACCCAGTTCAGGGGCTGCAAGGAGGTAGCACCCAGGCTGTCAGATGTGTTGTGAGGTTCTCAATGTTGTTTTTTTAATTGGAGATTTTGTGTAAAACTACCTATTTAGAGGTTCTTTTGAAAAATCAATATATCTGGCAACACTGGACTCACTGTTTCCATCTCCATATGTGTAAAACTGGCTGCAGTTGAACAGTAGCTGCCTCTTTTCTACAGGTCATGTTTTCTCCAGTTTGCCACAGTCCCCACTCCTCCCTGTTGTCTCTGACCTGGCTCACATTACTCATTTGTGAAACCTGCTAAACCCTGTGGGCATTCGATTCATAGCTCTTGCAGTAAATGCTTTCCCCTTAGTCACTACTTCTAGCTACACTGGTGTTCTCTCAGTTTCTCAAAGCCAAACTTTTTCCAGCCGCCGGGCCCTTGCATATACTGTTCCCTCTGCCAGGAACGCTCCTTCCTCCACAAGTTGCAGCTGAAGGGTCACCTCCTTTGTCTGAATTGGGTTTCCCTTTATGCATCTGTATTCTTCCATGTCACATGTCACACTTTGTGATTACTCATGGGTGTGATGATTCGTCTGTCTTCTCTCTCCTCTATTAGAATTAGGAGGGCAAGGACTTGCTTAGTTTAAAGGATTGCTACCTCTGAAGCATACAGTCTAGAACCCAGTACATCTTAGGACCTTGGTAAATATTTGTGAAATAAATGAATGAATGAATACATGAGTGGGTCTCTGCCAGGCATCCATTCTGTGAGAAGTGGCTCCTAGGTGCAGTGGCTCACACCTATAATCCCAGCACTTTGGGAGGCCAAGGTGGGTGGATCACTTGAGGTCAGGAATTTGAGACCACCCTGGCCAACATGGTGAAACCATGTCTCTACCAAAAAAAATAAATTACAAAAAATCAGCTGGGCGCGGTGGCATGCCTGTAATCCCAGCTACTTGGGAGGCTGAGGCAGAATTGCTTGAACCTGGGAGGTGGAGGATGCAGTGAGCCAAGATTGCGCCACTGCACTCCAGCCTGACACTGCACTCCAGTAACAGAGCGAGACTCCGTCTCAAACAAACAAACAACAACAAAAAAGAAGTGTCCAGTCATCCCATCTTCCTGCTTCCTGTGGGGTTGGTAAAAGGATGCCACTCTCTGGCCTCCCTATGTCCTCGGGCCCGTGTCAGCAGGTACATGTGTTCTACTTTTCCAGAAGCCCTGGGATGAAAGGTGGGTGAAGACACTTTAGGAGCATTTGCATTCAAACCTGGGTATATTTGTCAGGCAACTGCAGATGCCTACAGAGATGACAAAGCTATGAAATGAGGCCTCTTCCACGTGGAGAAAAGGAGGTTTGGCTTGAATTAGATCTATAAAGTCCCAAAGTGGATGCAGAGGGATGGAAGCTTTGACAATTAGAAGGATTCGAGGTCTCCCTTGAAGTTTAAAAGCGTTCAAGGCAAAGAAACATCTCCTCCAACTGACTTGACTCAGAAGGATCTTATGAAGTGTTCTGCTCCTGAAGTGTCAAATCCCAGAAGGAACAGCTCCTTGTCATTGTTTAAAACTTGTCCATGTTTAAAAATTGCAATATTACCCTGCCCCCCTGCCCCGGCACACACACAGTCCTGATTTTCAATTTCTCTATAAAATCAGAAGAGCTAAGCGGGGCATGGTGGTTCACAACTGTAATCTCAGCACTCTGGGAGGCTGAAGTGGGCAGATCACTTGAGGTTAGGAGTTCAAGACCACCCTAGGCAACATGGTGAAACCCCATCTCTACTAAAAATACAAAAATTAGCCAGGTGTGGTGGCATCCACCTGTAATCCCAGCTACTCCGGAGGCTGAGGCAGGAGAATCGCTTGAACCCCAGCGATGGAGGTTGCAGTGAGTTGAGATTACGCCACTGTACTCCTTCTTGGGAGACAGAGTGAGACTCCATCCCTGCCCCAATCCCCTCCCCCACCCCCAAAAACTCAGAAGAGCCAGCAAAATTCGATCCTTATTCCCAAATCCCAATATTCAACTGAAGCTCAGACAGTTTGCCATAGTCCCCGCCACCCCCTTTTACCTACAATCAGCCTACTTCACTCTTGTGTATTAACCACCTAGCCCCTGAATGCACCTCAGTTTGAAATCTTTAATTCAAAGTTTCCCAAGAATTCATCAGCTCTGGATATTGTTGACTCTAAGGTGATTCCCAAATTGAGACGGGGCCGTTTGCTCCTGGCTGAGCTGGGAACTGAGGGGCCTAAGGTCTACACTTTCCCCAGCCCCCTGCCTCCCAACCGCTGACCTCTAGGTCCTGTAATTCTAGCACTGGGGCCAAGCACTTCAAAGCCAAACAAGATCTAAATTTAGTTGGCACACATCCTCTTTGGCCTCGACCTGTTTTCTTCTGCCAAGCAGAGGCTTCTGGACTCTGCTCACTTCCTATTAAAATTAACAAGCGTTGCAGGCAGGCATCAAAGGCTGGGTTGTGCCTTTAATATTCTAGGCAGGCCCAGGCTGTGATCACAGCCCCTCCCGCTTCCTCTCTTCCAACTGAACTGGGGAAAGTGGTTCGGCTGGGAGTGCCAGAATCAGAACATTGGCCATCCTTGTCTGTTTGATATCTGCACGAAGGAAAATTCCAGGGCCAGTAGAACATCCCCACAGCAATTTTCTTCAAAGTGCCCTGCAAAAACTGGCCAATTATTCTTAAGAAGCACCCTTAAAGGGATATGTTATTACCCTATTTTATTGGCAGAGAAACTGAGGACAAGTAGCTTGCCCAAGGCTACAGAGAGAGAGAGAGAGAAAGAGAGAGAGAGAGAAAGAAAAAGAGAGAGAGAGAGAATCAAAGCAGTGACAGCATATATCTGTGTCCATCCCAGGCTCCCTCAGACCTGTATCTGGCCCAGGAATTCTAGCACACCCAGGCCTTCATGCCCAGCCAGGGTTGTCGTGGCCACCCTGCCTCATTCTCAGGCTGGGCTTCCCAGATCCAATCTGTGTGAGGACATTAGGTCAGTAACCCACAGGCACTACTGATGGGGGCAACAAGCTCTGTCAGCCCCTTTACAACACACGAAATGAAAGCTGTGGGTAATTCTTCTCCTTCTATTAATGCTCAAACTGTCGCCTTTGTTTTTTCTACCTAACATTAATTGGAGATTATCTGATTTTTTTAATTTGTTTTATTTTTTTGAGACTGAGTCTCACTCTGTCGCTCAGGCTGGAGTGCAGTGATGCTATCTCGGCTCACTGCAACCTCCACCTTCCAGGTCAAGCGATTCTCCTGCCTCAGCCTCCTGAGTAGCTGAGATTACAGGCACATGCCACCACGCCTGGCTAATTTTTTTGTATTTTTAGTAGAGATGGGGTTGTTACCATGTTGGCCAGGCTGGTCTTGAACTCCTGACCTCAGGTCATCTCAGCCTCCCAAAGTGCTGGGATTACTGGCATGAGCCACCACACCCAGCCTGAGATATATATTTTAAGAAAGGGTCTCATTCTGTCACCCACTGAACTGCAGTGGCATGATCATGGCTCGCTGCAGCCTTGACCTCCTGGGCTGAGGTGGACCTCCTGCCTCAACCTTCCAAGTAGCTGGGACCACAGGTGCACACCACAATGGCCTGGCTAATTTTTTAAACTCATTTGTGGAGATGGGGGTCTTGTTATGTTGCCCAGGCTGGTCTTAGACTCCTGGGCTCAAGCTATCCTCTGGCCTCAGCCTCCCGAAATGTTGGGATTACAGGCGTGAGCCACCTCACCCAGCCAATGATCTTATTATTTTCAGAGAACTATATATTCATACTGGAGAAATCAACACACAACCAGTGTACAATGGTCTGGGTTTGTAGTGAAATCCCTGCTAGGTGGGTAAGGACTCTCTGGTTTGAGCCTTGGTGCCGCTACCTGAGGGTTGTTCAAACAGAAGCTCACAGACCCCAGGGATTTCAGAACAGGAGGAAATGGTGGAAATCTGGCAAACCCACTCTGTGTCGAGCACCCTGCAAGGGCTGCAGGGCCTGAGCTGCTGAATTCACACCCATATCTTTGGGGGAAAAGCATGGGCAAAAAGTGCCTAGGGACAAGGAACAATCAGTGAAGTTTCTCCCAAGAGGGTCTATGATCCCAATGCCTCCTATACAAACTGGTTTTGGGGAACATTGGCTGGGGGGTTGCCCCTCTGGAAATCTTAGGAACAGGCATCCTCCAAACGGTTGTTTTCTTACTCCAGCAACAGTGCTGGGAGGGGCCTGAGCAGTCTTCCAGGTGTGAACCCCTCATTCTTTCAAGGAAATCGAGGCCGGGGCAGGGAAGTGAACTCGTGAGTGAGCGATGCCAATGGGTAAGTCTGGAGGATTTAGATGCTCTGAGTCCCAGGCTGGTGTTCTTGCACTAGGAGAGAGAAAAGAAGAGACAGGAGACAAATGAGAGGTGAGAGGGTAAAGGAGGAATGAGAGAAAAGGAGGAGGAGAGAAAAGGGAGAAGAAGGAAAAGAAGAAGAGATGAGGCCAGATGCAGTGGCTCATGCATGTAATTCTAGTACTTTGGGAGGCCGAGGCGGGCAGATCACCTCAGGTCAGGAGTTCGAGACCAGTCTGGCCAACATGGTGAAACCCCATCTCTACTAAAAATACAAAGTTAGCCAGGTGTGGTGGCGGGTGCCTGTAATCCCAGCTACTTGGGAGGCTGAGGCAGGAGAATTGCTTGAACCCAGGAGGTGGAGGTTGCAGTGAGCCAAGATTGCACCATTGCACCCCATCCTGGGCAACGAGAGCAAAACTCAGTCTCAAAAAAACAAAAACAGAAACAAACAAACAAAAGACAGATGGAGTGCAAGAGAAGAGATAGAGACTCTTTTTAAGGTGCACAGGGGTGCCTTAGTTAATTTCACATCTGAGCGCACGGTTCTGTGATGCCCGCCAATGGCTTCTTCTCTGGGTATCTGAACTCTTCAATGACATCATAAAACCTTCTTCTTTTTACCATGGGTTGAGCCATATGGCACTTTGTGGGGTCCTCGCGGTTGCTTCATCCAAGAAGTTGGTTCTGCGAGGGGCCACACTCCATAGCCGCCTAAGAGGTTTCAAAGGCACCTGGAGTTTCCTCCCCAATTCGCCAGCCCACTCAGCTGGGTCGCACTGGGGTGGAATGACAGGCAAGACACTTCCCCTGTAGGGCCTCAGGCTCCCAATCTGCAAATGGGGTTGAGACTAAGAGAAAGTTTGGACCACGTTCCTGCTCTTAGAGCTCTGGCATTCTAGAATTATGTCAATTCCAAGTTATTCTGCTTTCCTCTTTCTTCTTCAAGTATTTGTGAGAGGCATTACAGACTGTGTCCAGAACTCCTTGCTATGAATTAATTACAACCGGAAGGAAAAGGTTCTAAATGAACGGGGGATAAAGTGCCAGGAGCCTAATACCGACCTTGCTCAAGTCAGTAAGACCATCCCCCATGGGGTTAGCAACTGCTTTCAGTGGACATGAAGGCCAAGGGTGCTGATCCAGGCTGCCACCTCCCTCCACTCCCCAGCTACCTTGGACGACCTCCCTGGGGATATACCAGTATGTTCAGCATCTTCATCTTCCAATGGCATTTTTGAGCTTCCTGAACTGGAAAGTTATTAAAAGTCAGAAGCGTGGAAAGACAGAAACACCCAGTGTGTCTGAGAAAATGATATAAATTGGTCCTAAAGTGGGATTGGTGAGTGCTGTATCCGACTAAGCAATCATGGGGTGCAGCATGTTAGAAACAACACTGGACCACAGAGAGGAGGTCCACATGGCCAGAGAATTTACGATAGCATGCTCAGCCTCAGTAGTAATTAGGGAAATGTAAATCCACAACCAAAGAACTGACATTTCATATCTGTTGTATCTGGTTGGGCTAACCCAAAACCTAGCACACTATGTAACTGGCAAAAATTAGAATCCGGGCATGGTGGCTCACACCTGTAATCCCAGTACTTTGGGAAGTTGAAATGGGAGGATCACTTGAGCCCAGGATTTTGAGCACAACCTGGCCAACATAGTGAGACCCCCATTTCTGCAAAAAAAAAAAAAAATTAGAAAGTCTGATTATACCAAGTGTTGACAAGGATGTAGAGAAATGGATACTTGAGTACTTTGCTTATGGGAGTGTCAACATCCACAGTGAGCGATTTGGGAATATCTAGTAAAGTAGAATAAGCACATTCCCTTCAAACCAGCAAGTCCACTCCTAGGCATGCCCCCTAGAGAAACTGATGCATTTCAAATAAGGAAATATGTCTATGTGGACATTCATTGCAACAGTGTTCATCATAATGAAAAAGCAGAAATGTCTACATGCCCATCAACAGGGAAAAGGATAAACTGTGAAATAGTTCTACAGTAGAATACCATAAAGCAGTTAAAATCATGGGTAAATTTTGAAATTTCACACTGTTGTAAGATCTCTGGCCACGCGGGGCTCCTCTCCCCTGTGGTCCAGCGTTCTTTCTAACATGCTGATGCTGCAGCCTCTGATTGCTCAGTGGGACACAGCACTCGCCAGTCCCACTTTGGGACCAGTTTATATCATTTTCTCAGACACACGGGATGCCTCTGTCTTTCCACACCTCTGATTTTTAATAACTTCCCAGTTTAGGAACAAAAAAGACAAAAAAAAAAAGGTAATAAGCTACATGGAGAATGATGCCATTTTATACAAGGTTTATAAACCTGTAACACAAGACTATGTAATTTTTATAGATACATACATATGCAGTAAAAGCAGAAAACTGTGCATGGTCTGGAGACAGTATAGGTCATAAAAATAAAAGAAAACTATGTGTGGGCATGATAAACATATAATTTGTAAAATTGGTTCCCTGGTTTGGTGGTGGGATAAGAACGAGATCAGGAAAGATTACGCAGGGGGTTTCCACAGTCTTTGACTTTTTCCAACTGTTTAAAACATTGAAATGAATAGAACTTAATGCTAATATTTGATAATGTGAGAAGGTTTCATATTTAATTCTCAATTCTGGTCTGTTTTAAAAATAGTTGAGAATAAAAAAATAATTTCTATTCTATTAAAAAATTTCTTAGAGACATGGTCTCCCTCTGTCACCCAGACTAGAGTGCAGTGGCACAATCATGGCTTGCTGCAGCCTCTTGGCTGGACCTCCTAGGCTCAAGCAATCCTCCTGCCTCAGCCTCCAAAGTAGCTGGGACTACAGGTATGTGCCACCATGCCCGGCTCATTTAATTTTTTTAATTTTTTTTTTTTGAGATGGAATATCGCTTTGTTGCCCAGGCTGGAGTGCAGTGGCATGGCTCATGCAACCTCCACCTCCCAGGTTCAAGAGATTCTCCTGCCTCAGCCTCCCAAGTAACTGGCATTACAGGCGGGTGCCACTGTGTCCGGCTAATTTTTTTTTTATTTTTAGTAGAGACGGGATTTCACCATGTTGGCCAGGCTGGTCTCGAACTCCTGACCTTGTGATCTGCCTGCCTCGGCCTCCCAAAGTGTTGGGATTACAGGCATGAGCCACCACGCCCGGCCATCATTTTAAAAATTTCTTATAGAGACAAGTTCTCCCTATGTTGCCCAGGCTGGTCTGGAAGTCCTGGGCTCAAGTGATCCTCCTGCCTCGGCCTCCCAAATTACTGGGATTATAGGCATGAGCCACCACATTGGCCGAAAAAATAATTTGAAAAAGAAGAAAAAACATAGAAAAGCACTGGGCCATGAGCTCCCTCCACTTGGGACTGCAGGTGCAGATCTGCTACAATCCCTCTGTTGTCCTGGGCAAGTCCACTAACCTTGCTAGGCAGGGCTTGTATTCAGCAGTTTTCCAACTGGTTCTCACTCAGCACTATCTCCCCTGGTACCATAAAAGCATTATGTGTGAGGGGGGGAAAGGTGGGATGTACAGGATAAAATGGATTTTTGAAAGAGGAGTTGCCTGTGTAAATAGGGAAAGTGGGGGACAGATGGACCTAGCATCCCATCCGCAGCAGCCCCTACCATTCTCCATGAACCCCTGGGGCTCTGAGCATGCACAGCTTGAATACCCCTAGTCCAGCCCCAACATCCCATGAGGAACCTGGAGGCTACCTAGACTGGCAGAAATGAAGGGACAAGATTAGAGTGAGATGGGTGAGGTGCCTATGAAACAGCATTTCAGGAGGTGCTCACTCTTGGGGTAGTTCAAGTGCCTACTTGCCCTTGTGTGCCCTCACAGAAATCCTGCCTGTGTTCTCCTTTTCTGATGGTCATGGACATACTCATCACCCCTACTAAAAAAGCAAGCTCCTAAGGACCACGGCTCAGCTCTGTGTCTGATTCATTCACCCCATCCAGAGGGCAAGCTCAAAGCCTGGCATGCAGTAGGTCTTAAATATTGTTGCTGAAAGATTGATTAAAGAAGGATAGAAGAAAAAAGAAAGAAAGGAAAAAAATGGCTGGGCAAGGTGGCTAACACATATAATCCCAACATTTTGAGAGACCAAGACAGGAGGATCATTTCAGGCCGGGAGTTTAAGACCAGCCTGAACAACACAGCAAGACTCTGTCTCTACAAAGAATTTAAAAACAAAATTGGCTGGGCCCAGTGGAGCACACCTGTAGTTTCAGCTATTCCAGAAGCCAAGGCAGGAGGATCCCCTGAGCTCAGGAGTTTGAGGCTGCAGTGAGCTCTGATTGTGCCACTGTACTCCAACCTGTGTGACAGAGTGAGACCCTGTCTTTAAAAGAAAGAAAGAAAAGAAAGAAAAAAAAAACAGAGGAAGGAGAAAGCAAGCAAGGAAGAAAAGAACAAAGAAAAGAAAGAAAAGAGGAGGGAAGGAGGAAAGGACGGACAGGGAGACTCCTCACCCTCTCCGAAGCCTGCATCTGGGCTGCCAGCCAACCTGGACCAGTCACTTTGCTGCTGGGGGCAATGAGTGTGGGTAATTGTTGGCTTCAGCCTTACTCATCCTTCCTGGGGGCCGTGTGCAAAGCAGAGGATTTCACTTGCCCAGTGGGTACTGAATTATAGCTGTGGAGCCGAGTCCCATGTAATTAACCAGCAGCCGCAAGCCCCGGAGAGTCTGTGAAGGTTGCCAAGTGCACAGGTGGTTTGGGCCCTGAGCAAGGCAACTCCTAATTAGCCTTGGCCTGGTTTTTACAATCCACAGCGCTGAGACCCACCTCCTGGGAGGCTGGCTACACATTGGCTATGGAGTTCCTTACTGGGGCTCCCAGAGTGGAATAGGGGCCCAGAAAAGCAGAATTTTGTGTGTGTGTGTGTGTGTGTGCATATATTTGGGTTGGGGAGAGAGGCTTTCTTAGAACTACTCTAAGACAGTAGTTCTTCCATTTATAATCATCTTCCTTTTAAAGATGACACACTGTGTTTAGAAAGGTGATGTGCCTTGTTGAGAGCATTGGGGCTGAACTCCAAATATATGTGACTCCATATCAAGTTGCCTTATCCCTCCGCTATAAACATGAAACCTTAATATCATCTGCCATTCCTTGAACACTTGGTGTGTTAAACGTCAGACCTTTATTTTCTCAATTCTCACCATAACTTCATGAGTAGACCCACTTATCCCCATTTTGTAGTTGAAGTTCACAGAGACAAGGGGGCGTGTCTGAGGTTGTACAGCAAACAGAGAGAGGAGCCAGGATGAAAACCAAGTCTGAAGGTCTGCAGCCCATGATCTTCACTGTGCTGTCTCTTGCTAGGGAGTGAAGGGCTGACGAGATACGCACAGTCAGCATGGGGAAGACTGGACCATGGCTCACTCTCCAGATGTTAATGGTTGATGAAGCTGGGAGGCAGAAACACACACATTGTACCTCAGTTAGATACCATTGCACTTCTTCACACTGATTAGATGGGCACACTTTTCAAAGTCTGAATAAAGGAAGTATCGGAGGAGGTACTGGGGAAATAGGGACTCTCAGAAATTGCTAGAAGGAGCATAAATTGGCATAGGATCTTTGGAGATCAATTGCCCCATACAACCTAGCCATCCTTCTAGGGAGGAATGAACACTCATCTGCGTGGCGTGAACGAGGCTACTCCTTGCAGCATTTTTGTAATAGAGGATACGTGGAAGCAAGTTAAATGTCAGTAGGGGAATGGATAAGTAAAATATGGCATATTCATACAATATGATATTATAATCAGGCATCAGCATAGATAGATCTCAAAAACATAATGATGGGGCTGGGCATGGTGGCTCACGCCTGTAATCCCAGCACTTTGTGGGGCTGAAGCGGGCGGATCACCTGAGGTCAGGCATTCAAGACAAGCCTGGCAAACATGGTGAAACCCCGTCTCTACTAAAAATACAAAAATTAACTGGGCATGGTGGCTGGAGTCTGTAATCCCAGCTACTTGGGAGGCTGAAGTAGGAGAATCGCTCGAACCTGGGAGGTGGAGGTTGCAGCGAGCCGGGATTGCGCCACTGCACTCCAGCCTGGGCAACAGAGCGAGACTCCACCTCAAAAAAGCAAAAAACAAAAAAACCATAATGATGGAAGGAAAAAACAGTTGTGGAACAATATTTATGTTATGGTACCACTTATGTACTTTTTAAAAACCTATAAAGCAATACTGTATATATGTATACACATATATAAGAAAATAATAAAAACAAGAATGGGGAGAATACACATGAATTTTATCATTGGCTTCCTTTGGAGAGAGAGGGGAGTAGTCTGGGAAGAAATATAAAAGGAACTTCAATATATTACATTCAACAAATTGAGCCCCTGCTTTTTTCCAGGTACTTTTCTGGACACTGAGTGTATGGCAGTGAGCAAAACAGACCCAAATCCCTGCACATGTGAAGCTCACATTTTGGAAAAGGAGTCAGACAATAAACAAGGAAAATAAGCAAAATATATAGTATGTTTCATGGTGATAAGTACCAAAGAGGAAAAAGAAAGCAAAATGCCATGCACATAGTGTGGACATTTTAGATAAGGTGGCCAGAGATTACCTCACCTGAAGGAGAGGAAAAATATCTTCAGATAGCTCAAGCAGATATCTAGGGGAAGATGTTTTAGAGATGTGCAAAGGCCCTGGGGCTGAGGCATGATTGACAAGTTCAAGGACTAAGCAGGCAGAGAGGCTGGGAAGTGCCAAAGGCAGAGAGGGAACAGGGGCTGACCCGGTGGCCAAGAGCTTTTTTGTTTACTGAGTGAGATGGAAAGCTTCTAATGGATTCTGAGCAGAGCAGTGACACAATGTAACTTTTTTTTCTTTTATTTTTCTTTTTTTTGAGACAGAGTCTCGCTCTGTTGCCCAGGCTGGAGTGCAGTGGCAGGATCTCAGCTCACCACAACTTCCGCCTCCAAGATTCAAGCGGTTCTCCTGCCTCAGCCTCCAGAGTAGCTGGGACTACAGGCACACGGCACCATGCCCAGCTAATTTTTGTGTTTTTAGCAGAGACGGGGTTTCGCTATGTTGGCCAGGCTGGTCTCGAACTCCTGACCTCATGTTCCACCCACCTCGGCCTCCCAAAATGCTGGGATTACAGGCATGAGCCACCATGCCTGGCTGTAACTTTTATTTTAATAGAATCACTCTGAGTGTTGTGTGGCTAATTAGAGGGTTTGGAGAGAGGTAAAAAGGACAGAAAAAAGGGCAGAGGTGGGCAGGCCAATTAGGAAACAAGTGCTGAGTCTAGGGGGGATGATGGTGGCTGGAATCAGGTGGCAGCCATGGAGGCAGACAAGACTGTGGGAGGATCTAGCAGGAGGTAAGCAGGAGCAGGAGCTCAGTTGGGGACAGGAGGAATTTGAGATGCTGTTTGACATTCACATGGAGGTGTGGAGTAGCAGCCAGGCTATGAGATTGGAGATCGGAAGAGAGGCTGGGTTGAAAGCATAAGTTGGGGGCAACCAGCCCATAGGTGGTGTTTAGAGCCATTAGCCTGTTAATTTATTTATTTAGTTATTTATTTTTGAGATAGAGCCTTGCTCTGTCACCCAGGCTGAAGTGCAGTGGTGCAATCATAGTTCACTGCAGCCTTGAATTCCTGGGCTCAAGCAATCTTCTCACCTCAGCCTCCCAAGTAGCTACGACTACAGTCACACGCCATCACACCTGGCTTTTTTTCTTTTTTTTTTTTTTTTTTTTTTTTTTTTTTATTTAGTAGAGACAACGTCTTGCTATGTTGGCCAGGGTGGTCTCGAACTCTTGAGCTCAAGTGATCCTGCCGTCATGGCCTCCCCAAGTGCTGGGATTACAGGCATGAGCCACCGTCCTCAGCCCTGTTAAATTTTTATTTCTTATAATTAAAAGAGCTGAAGTAAATAGGGCAGTGTCAACATCTGTTAATTCTGGGTGGTAGATACAGTGGTGTTTGGAATACTTTTCTTTGTACTTTTTAGTATCTTTGAACTTTTTTCTAACAAAAAATTAATTAATAAACAGCTTATAAAGCCACAGAGGCTTTAATGTGCTGAACCATTCTGTCACGAGGGCTTCGGACGTAAGGCATGACTGCCAGCAACAAGTTGAGAAGTCAAATTCAAATATCCCCTGTCACCAACCTAAGCTCAGTGGCAGGGCTTGGCCCCATCTCTCTGGGCTCCTGTTTTCCTATTTGGACAACAAGGGGCTGACTTCCGACTTATCAGGGTTCTTCTAGTGCTGATCATCTAGGAGTCAAGCTGGTGCCCCACAGGCCACTCTGCCCACTCTGATTTTACCCCCACGCTCTCCTGCCTAATCCTATATATAAGGCCAGAAATACCCCCAAGAGAGGCCTCTGTAGGTGAAAGGTCAACTTTGCCTCCAAACAAACAGAAACTGCAGCAAAGAGAATCAGAAAGGACAGTGCCCCGTGCTCTCTTGGCCCTGGGACCCAAAAGTTAAGTTGAGTGTAAAAGCTGGGAGCCCCGAGACTAAAAACGCCACAGTATTTATGGCTGATGAATGCATCCTGCTCAGGACTGCAGAACCATGTGGGGATCTACGAGCCTGAAACATACAAATGGGTGGGTGGCCAAACCAAACTACCAATTTGTATTAGACACAGATTGTGATAATCATATTAATAGTAATAATGTTGGTGATAATAATGTTGCGCCAGATTTTGAACTCAGTGCTTAATATATGTTCTCTCATTTGACCTCCACAACAACAGTGCTGTAGGGTTGTCATTTGCACGAGCTAGATTTTGCAGATCAGGAAACTGAGACTCAGAGAAGTCAAGCAGCTTGAACTCCTGGGCTCAAGCAATCCTTCCGCTTCAGCCTCCCAAGGTGCTGGGATTACAGATATGAGACACCACATCTGGCCTGGTTTTGATATTATCATTTAGTTGGGGCCTTAAGCAACTTCACACTGTCCATCATCCAAGGAAAAAGCGATTCCTGGCCTAGGCAGAGGAGGGAGAAAGATGGCTTCAATAAGGGTGAAGGGAAATCGCTTCCTCTCTCTGGTCTCACTTGGTTAGGCCAGACCCTCTAAACCATTAATACTTGCTGGAGGGCAGCCCAAGAGGTGGAGGAGGCTGGGCCTGCCACGAGAGATGTGCCGGAACTGGGCTGGGGGTGCAAGCCCGGGAAGATGGATCCAGCTTCAAGACTCTGGGAGCAGCCACACCTGGTCATGGGTCTCCTGGACTGAGATGTCCTCCCAAACTTCTGAACCATAAACTACTTTTACTCATCATTGGCTCCCCAGTGCCCAGCACAGTGCCTGGCCCTTGGAGGGTGATAAATGAATACATGTCCCCTACTAGGCTGTGAACTCCTTTAAGGGAGGCACCACTTGGGGATCACTACAGTATTGCCCCCTCCTCCCCTCCCCAGTGCCTGCCACAGTGACCTGCTGATGACCATGGATCCAAATCCCTTTCTCCTCGTTAGAAGCTCTCAGTCCAAAATCCGTGGTTCCATGGGTCAGACTGAGGCCCAGGTGGTCCTTATGGGTGAATGATGGAGACCCCACCAAGCTGAGAACTGGGAGGAATGATCTCCACTGTTTATGGCCAGGCCGGTTTTTTGCCTTTCTGAATGGCAACGGCATATTTCAGCAGAGGTCCTCAGTAGAGCCACATGCAGGAGATACATGCATTTGTCCACTCGTCACTCACTTAGTCATTTGTTCACTTATATATCCACTCTCTCACTCATGCCTTCAGTCATTTGATTACTCATCTGATTAATTCATCCATTCATCCAACATTGTGCAGAACATTGAACAGGTTTAGAGATGCTTCAGGCACAGTTTTTTTACCTGAGAGCTCCCAGATTGGGGCGAGAAAGGTAAGAGCCATGAAGACAAATAATCATACAGCAGCTTAGCAAGTAGTAAATGTCATGAGAAATGTACAGACACATCAGCCAAGGGATACAGAGAGAGAGATTTCTCCCAACTAAGAAAGGGAGTGATCAGAGGTAGCTTCCTGGAGGAAGTATAATCAGCACCAGCTCCAGAATTTCTCCATGGCGATTGGGTACGGATGGCAGCTTGTCAGGGAAGCTAGTAGCTGCATCCTCTACAGGGCACTTTACAAAAGACTGAAAGATAGGCCGGGCACAATGGCTCACGCCTGTAATCCCAGCACTTTGGAAGGCCGAGGTGGGCAGATCACTTGAGCTCAGGAGTTCAAGACCAGGCTGGGCAACATGGCAGAACCCCATCTCTAATACACAAAAAAATTAGCCAGGTGTGGGGGCTTGTGCCTGTGGTTTCAGCTATTCAGGAGGCTGAGGTAGGAGGATCCTTTGAACCCGGGAGGTAGAGGTTGCAGTGAGCCGAGATCGTGCCACTGCACTCTAGCCTGGGCAACAGAATGCAACCCCAACTCAAAACAAACAAACAAACTGAAAAGTAGTCAGCTGCCCATACCAAAGATTGGGGTTATAATGGAGATGAAGAGGTGGTTAAATCTCTCCCAAGTCCCCTCTTGCTGCTTCTGCTTTGTGTGTGGTCTAGAAGGAAAGGTTGCATGTTCTGGATGGGCACAACTCCCTGATTTTCCACCCTCTCACTCATGGGGAGGGTGCAGTCAGTAGAGGTTCTTGGTGGGAACTTCTAAATCTCAGGGCCAAGGATAGAGGCCCCTGCCTGCCCATAGTAAGGGCTTTTACAGTCAACCAGGGAGATAGGATGAGGCCCCGAGCCGAGGCAGGAGGAGCCCCTGTGAAGGAGGGAACAGAAATGGCAGATAATAGAATGCATAGGACTTGGAGACAGGGTGGACGTAGCTGCCAACCTGAGCTCCATGTGTGCATTTCAGCCTGAGCCTGGTTCCCTGAAACCTTGCCAGGCGGGCAGGTGAGGTGGGTGCAGCCACCTGCACCCCTGGTGAAAAGCCACCCAAATGACCGTACTGCTCGGCCTCTCCTCTGCCCTCCTCCGCCTGCTCTTCCCAACTCCCAGCCCAAGGCATCTGGCTGGGCCGTGTGCAGGGCGTCTGGCCCCAGGGAGAGGTGGGGTGAGCTGCAGACTACACCCACATGGCTATAAATGGGGAGCCTCTGGCTGCTGCTCACTCAGCCTCCCTTCCCCAGCCGTGACAGCACTGGAGCCTTTCGGACACCTGGACCATGGACCCCAGGGAATGTGTCTGCATGTCTGGTGAGTAAAGAAGCCCTCCCTGGGGTCTGGGAACCTTGGACCAGCTTCCTACAGGGAGCCTGCAGGTCCCTGATGAAAACTTCTCTTCCCTCTAATTAGGAGCCACCAATGGGGTTCGTCCTGGGAGCCGACAGGTGGACTGGCCACCTCTGGGGCAGCTCCCACTCTCTGTTGGCTCCCAGCCTGATTTTCTAGAATCGATATCCTAGCTCAGGGAATGGCTGAGAGGGGGACTTGCAAACTTTGGTCTTTCTAGCGTTGGCCCCTAAGGGCAGTCACCAGGGTGAGGAGAAGAGCTCTAAACCAGAATCTGGCAACCTGGTTTGGGTCCATTGCTGCGGTCCCCTCCCTGGCGCTTATTCTTTCTGGTCCTCAGTTTCCTCACCTGTAGACTGAGGTTCCTTATTCCCAGCCAACCACATCCCAGAGCTGCTATGAAAGTGCTAAAACCATTAAGCACCTGCAGATGTCAGGGGAGTTGTGGACTCCCCTAACTTATGTGGACTCTTGAGTCTCTGAAACTGCTTAATTCCACGGAGCATGTTAGCCAGAAGGAGAGAAATCAGGGTTCAAAGCCATCCTGGGCTTTTACAATCATGGAAATGGTATGAAGAAGTCTCACAAGTCTGGGTGGTGTGGCTCACAACTGTAGTCCCAGCACTTTGAGGCTGAGGCAGGAGAATCACTTGAGGCCAGGAGTTCAATACCAGCCTGGGCAACATAGCGAGACTCCATGTCTACAAATTTTTTTTAAACTTAGCTGGGCGTAGTAGGGTGCACCTTAGTCCCAGCTACTCAGGACGCTGAGAAGGGAGGATCACTTGAGCCCAGGAGTTCGAGGCTGCAGCAAACTAGGAATGCACCACTGCACTCCAGCCTAGGTAATAGAGCAAGACCCTTTCTCAAAAAAAAAGAAGAAAAGAAAAAGAAAGAAAGAAAATGAAGTCTCACAAGACTCCCTTGTCCTTAACAGGATGTCTCTGTACCAAAAACTTGCAAAAGAGGCAGAAGCTTCCAGCATTTTGAAACTCAAAATGAAAAATGGGATAATTTTTTTAAGTGTAGATGATCATTATGATATAAAAACAAGGTGCTGGCTCCCATCTGTAATCCTGGCACTTGGGGAGTCCAAGGCAGGATGATCACTTATGCCCAAGGAATTTGAGACCAGCCTGGGCAATATAACAAGGCCCTGTTTCTACAAAAACTTTAAACAATTAGCCAGGTGTGGTGGTGCGTGCCTGTGGTCCCAGCTACTCAGGAAGCTGAGGCAAGAGCTTGAGGCTACAGTGAGCTGTGTTCCCACCATGGTGCTCCAGCCTGGGTGACAGGGCAAGACCCTGTCAAAAGAAAGGAAGAAAGAACGGAAGGAAAGAAGGAAAGAAGGAAAGAAACAAGGAGAGAGAAAGGGAGAAAGGGAGAAAGGAAGAGAGAGAGAGAGAAAGAGAGAAAGAGAAAGGGAGAAAGGGGGAGAGAGAGAGAGAAAGAGAAAAGAGAGAGAAAGACAGGGAGAAAGAGAAAAAGAAAAGAAAGAAAGAAAGAGAAAGAAAGAAAGAAAGAAAGAAAGAAAGAAAGAAAGAAAGAAAGAAGGAAGGAAGGAAGGAAGGAAGGAAAGAAAGAAAGAAAGAAAGAAAGAAAGAAAGAAAGAAAGAAAGAAAGAAAAGAAAGAAAGAAAGAAAGAAAGAAAGAAAGAAAGAAATGAGGGAGAGAGGAAGGAAGGAAGAAAGGAAAGGAAGAAACAAACAAAACAAGGTGTGGCTCTGTGGCTCTTGTTTTGAGTTCACTGACGTTCCTTGACCTTTCTTAAACCATTCACAGTTTTCATCTTGACTTGTGAAGGTGACACGGGTGTGAAAGGGGTTTTTGTTTGTTTGTTTGTTTTAAGGCAGAGTCTCACTCCATCACCCAGGCTGGAGTGCAGAGGTGTGATCTCGGCTCACTGCAACCTCCATCTCCCAAGTTCAAGAGATTCTCGTGTCTCAGCCTCCCTAGTAGCTGAGATTACAGGTGTGTGCCACCACGCCTGGCTAATTTTTTTTTTTCTCGTAGAGATGGGGTTTCTCCATGTTGGCCAAGCTGATCTCAAACTCCAGGCCTCATGTGATTCACCTGTCTTGGCCTCCCAAAGTGCTGGGATTACAGACGTGAGCCACTGTGCCTAGCCAAGAGGGTGTGAAAGGCTTTGATAGTTCTTAGAGGAACCTTGGGCTTGGAAACGCTGGCCTCGTCTGTTGGTTCTCATTGTACATAAGAATTATTTGGGTTGCTTTTCAAAAATATGGACTCCATTTCCCCACCAAGACTTATGAATCAGAACATCTCAAGGGTTGGTCCCAGGAATCTGCATTTTCACAGTTATCCCAGGCATGATTGATGCAGCCATGCCAGTTCCCATCCATGGCCTGTGACTGTGGACTATTGCAGAGTCCTTGACACTGGGTCGATGCTCAGCAGCCTTGTCACCCTCTTGTCCAGCCAGTCCCCAAGGATATAGCCCAGGAGCCTTGCCACTCTGACAGTCGGCATCATGCCTTATGTTCCCCACTCCATCTCCATCCTCACGTTTGTGGTGGCTCTGTCCTGTCTTCTAGGAGGAATCTGCATGTGTGGAGACAACTGCAAATGCACAACCTGCAACTGTAAAACATATTGGAAGAGTGAGTATGGTGACTGGGGGCACCATGGGCTGGGAGTTAGAAAAGTCCAATCCAGGCCAGGTGCAGTGGCTCACGTCTGTAATCCCAGCACTTTGGGAGGCCGAGGCGGGTGGATTACCTGAGGTCAGGAGTTCAAGACCAGCCTGGCCAACATGGTGAAACCCCATCTCTACTAAAAATACAATAATTAGCTGGGCATGGTGGTGGGCACCTGTAATCCCAGCTACTCAGGAGGCTGAGGCAGGAGAATTGCTTGAACCCAGGAGGCAGAGGTTGCAGTGAGCAGAGATCACACCATTGCACTCCAGCCTTGGTGACAAGAGTGAAACTCAGTCAAAAAAGAAAAGGAAGGAAGGAAGAAAGGAAGGAAGGAAGGAAGGAAGAGAGAGAGAGAGAGAGAAAGAAAGAAAGAAAGAAAGAAAGAAAGAAAGAAAGAAAGAAAGAGAGAGAGAGAGAGAAAGAAAGAAAGAAAGAAAGAAAGAAAGAAAGAAAGAAAGAAAGAAAGAAAGAAAGAAAGAAAGATCCCATCCCCACCCTCAATCCTCCAGCCATGGTGGATTGGGGCTTGTGGGGAGGGGGTCTAGATGCCTTTTACCCATCTGGGAGAGATCTGAAATGAGAACTATGTAGAGACCTATGGCAGGTCTCTACCCAGGGATAAGGGCATCCACAGTGTTTGGAGCAGGAAGAGGACTGAGGGGAAGTTCTGTCCTGCCCAGTGGTAACAGGGATAGAGCACTGGCCTGGAGTCATGAGCCCTAGGTTCTAGTCTTGCTTTTGCCACTGTCTCATGACCTTGGCAAACCCCCTCCCTTCTGTGGGCTTCTGATGGACTCTAGATGGTCCCTGGGATCCCTTCCAGTTCTAACATGCCTCAACCTCCTATCTCAGCATTTTTGCTAATGTGGATTGAAACCTCATGCACACACCCCTCTTTTCCTACTTCCTCTAAGTAGTGGGAGGGGCAGTGGTGAGATGGAAGTGTTGACCCACAGCGGATCTGCGCATCTCCTGACTCTTTCAGGCTGCTGTCCCTGCTGCCCCCCGGGCTGTGCCAAATGTGCCCGGGGCTGCATCTGCAAAGGAGGCTCAGACAAGTGCAGCTGCTGCCCATGAAAGCCATCCATCGTGCCCACCCCTTCCAAGGAGAGAAACCTGGGAAGTGTCTGTACAGTGCATGAATCGAGAAGGTGGAATAATTGTACAATAGGTTGTGCTTTTTATATATTTGCCCAAATGTGGTGTTGGTCACATTCATGTAAAGTACTTGGGGCAATAAAGTTTTCACTCTTGGTTGCCTGGTGGCTCAGAGCATTGTTTTACCCTAACCCAGCAGGACCAAAAGGTGCTGCTTCTGTTGCAGATCCTGTAACCACCACCCACATGTACCTGTGACAGGTGGCTGCCTACTGCAAGGTCCTATGACTCTGCCTGGGGGCTTTCTCCTCCTGCACAAGCTTGCTTGACCCATGCACAGGGCAGGCCAGGAGTACGGAGGAGCTAAAGTCACTGGGAACAGCCCTTAGCCAATGACAACTGTAGGTCGGTGGGTAAATATCCCAGCATCTTTACCCCTCAAAAGGAACAACTCTGAGACTCATTCTATGCTGTCTCCCAGAAGTCTCTAGAAGCACTGAGCTTCAAAAGCTCACAGCAGTAACCTGCTCATTAATGTAACCTACGGTGGCCTCCTTCCTTGCCTCACCTCCCCAGTTCCCCACCATTGCTTTCTGGGATCTCCACCCAAAGAAACTACTTGTACAGGGTCCGCTTTCTGGGTAACCTAATCTTGGCCAGGCTCTCCTGGCATAGCCCAGAATGCCTCATTGTGCAAATGTGGCTGTTTAATGGGCTTGAGCATGGAATCAGTCATGAACGGAGGCTGTGTGTATCTAAAGGAAATCTCCAAGGTCAAGACATTGAGGGCATTAGCTGCCCTGGTTTGGTTATTTGGATCAGTCTTTAGGACTGGATGACCTGGAAGGCATGAACCAGGAAGAAGATGGTGGTGGAGGTGCAGAAACAGCATCCTAAGCAGACCCCCTAGGAGATGACTTTTTGGCTAAACAGCTGAGAAAGCTGAAGTCCCTGGAGGTTGGCACTGGGGACTGGGGGTGATCCCCAGCTCTCACCCACACCACCATCCTCAACACAGCTGAAGACAAACCCAAGCTCTGAGATCATTTTCATTCATGCCATCAAGGGCCTGAACTAGGGCCCATCAGAGACCAGAGCGGCCTCCTCCTCCACCAGCCTCTGTCAAGCAACCATCAGATACAGGAGTGGGTGAGAATAGAGCCTTTGCCAAGGTCACAGAGCAGCCCCAGGTTGGGCTGGGCTCAGCTAGCAGGATTTACTGCATGCTTCCTGGAACTGATCACTTTCATAATCCACACTGTCATTATCCCTGTTTGGAACTTAGCTGGGGCTTCCCTAGGAAGATTTTCACCCTCTGTCCATGAGTTGTGCCTTAGACACAGAATCATAGTGCAGTGGAAACAGCTTGGCCCTGGGAGTCAGACACTCTACCCCTCCCTGGCAACATGACCTTGACCAAGTCATTTAACCTTTTGAGGCTCAGTTTCCTAATCTGTGAAATGCGTCTCCTTCACAGAGTTGTAGAGAGAAACTGTAGCACAGAATCTGTGCACATAGCAGTGCCCCATTAACATAGATTTTAGCAGAGCTACAGCCTGTCCTAGCCTTCTGTTTATTGATCTCTGAAAAGGCCCCTACCAAGCCATTCTCTGTCATTGCAGAGCTCTTAAGCACCTTGAGAAGGACACAACGCAAGGGATTATACCTTCCAGCGGACAGAACAGTCCCTTGTGCCTCCAGCAAGCAGGTTGGACACTCACCCTGCAACCTCGGCCTCGGTACCCACTGGGATGCCAACTCATCTCATCCAAATGCCTTTAGAGTTGGTACTTCTGCACGATCTCACTTACTCCCATCACAACCTTGAAAAGGAGATTCAGCCTTCAGATTCTTATATTAATAATAATAATATTAACAACTAATAGTTATTGAGCACTTAATATGGATTCAACACCTAATAAGTGCCAAGCATTGTCCTAAGCAGTTTATAAACATCATTTCATGGACTCTGCACTATCAGGACCACTTCAGAGCCAGACAACCAGGGCCCTGCTCTGGGCCCTCTGCCTTAGAGGACCTGGTCTTCCTGTCCCCACAGGAGAGGAGTCCGAGGGTCCCACGAGATCTGTCCAACTAGAACTCATGCTCATTCCTCCCCCAAGTCCCCCATCTAGCACCATCTAGACAATGCTTTGGGTACCTGGGACCCCAAAGGCTAGTTCTAGGGTCTGCGTAGGCCCCCTCTCCCAGCAGTCTGTCCTTCCCTAAGGTGCACCATGTCATCAGTCTGTACACTCCTGGGCCCGAACGATGGCCAAGGGTAGAGGTATTCAGAGACGGGAGGATGTGTGAATAGAGATTGGACACATGAGTTTTTATGTCTACATAGAGTGGAGAAGTCAGTGTGGGAAGAGCAGGGGGTGAAGTGCACCTAGGCCTCCATTCTTGCTTTTGCCCCAGGCTCTGCAAGTGTTAGGGGCAGGCCTGCACTAACAACCCTAGAAGACAATCCTGTTACATAATAGGATCCTGTTAGATCCCCCACTTTGCAGATGGAGATGCTGAGGCTCCAGGAAAGTCAATGGCTGAAAGTCACAAGACTTCCAGGGGGCAGAACTGGGAACTGAGCTCAGGTCTGCCTGACCCAGAGGCCATGCTCTTGTCTATGCGATATGGATGAGGCAGAGAGGAGGCTGCAGGCAATGCTGCCCCAGACCCAGGGGCGAAGAGTCTTTGCCTGGGGCCTTGTACTTTAGAGAGCACACACACCACAAGCACACAAATGTGTTAAGGCAGCGGCCCCCGACCTTTTTGGCACCAGGGACCAGTTTCGGTGGAAGACAACTTTTCCACGGACAGTGCAGTGGGGCAGCGCGAGATGGTTTTCGGATGAAACTGTAGTTAGATTCTGATAAGTAGCTCAAACCTAGATTCCTCGCACGTGCAGTTCACAATAAGGTTCTCATTCCAATGGAATTCCAATGCCACTTCTGATCTGACAGGAGGCAGAGCTCAGACGGTAACATTCACTTGCCCCGCGGCCTGGTTCCTAACAGGTCACAGAGCAGTACTGCAGTCAGGGATTTGGGGAAGCCCATATTAAATAATACTTGGGGCCCCTGTCACTCAGGATCTTGTATTTGCCGTTACAGTGTGATCAAGTAATCCTAAACATCTTCTCTGGTTACTAACACTGTTCAGGCCCTGGGGAAACACTTCTCCATCTCTTGCTCTGTGTCCTCAAAACAAAGAGTGACGATATTTGAATGGCAGGATGGTTTTATAGATTGTCCCAATGCTGATGTCAGAGATAGACACAGTCTTCAAAGTACAGGGAGGATTTAAGTGTAGAAATTAGAAAAAAGACAAATTAACAAACTCATCAAATCCTCCTCAAAAAGCATGAACGCAACAGACTCTCATGTCACACCATCATTTCCCATGAGTGTGACTTGTCCATTTTCTTGCTTTTCTTTGTGTTCCAATTTGTGTTTCCAGAATATTTATGATTTTATGCTAATTGCAGAAGCTGCACAAGGCAACTGAGGAATGTTTTGTAATATTAAGCAATTCATATTATTCATATAAATTCATATTACTCTTAAATTGGTGTAGATAGAGCTATAGCTACAGATAAATATACAGATATACATACTATGGACTGAATGTCTGTGTGCCCTCAAAATTCGTATGTTGAAGCCTAAATCCCCAATGTGATGGTATTTGGAGGAGGGGCTTTTAGGAGGTAATTAGGTTGTAAGGCAGAGTCCTCATGAATAGAATCAGTGCCCTTATAAGAAGAGATGGGCCAGGCCCAGTGGCTCATGCTTATAATCTCAGCACTTTGGAAGGCCAAGGCAGGCAGATTGCTTGAGCCCAGGAGTTCGGGACCAGCCTGGGCAACATCTCTAAAAAATCTCTAAAAAAAATACAAAAATTAGCCAGGCATGGTGGCACACACCTGTAGTCTCAGCTACTCAGGAGGCTGGGGTGGAAGGATTGCTTAAGTCCAGGAGGCAGAGGAGGAGGTTGCAGTGAGCTGTGTTTTTGCCACTGCACTCCAGGCTGGGCAATAGAGTGAGACCCTGTCTCAAAAAAAAAAAAAAAAAAAGAGGCATGAAGTGATCTCTCTGTCTTTCTTTTCACTGTATGTGAGGATACAAACAGAAAACGGCCACCTATAAACAAGAAAGTGGGCTCTCACCAGACACCAGATATGTCTGTGCCTTGATCTTGGATTTTCCAACCTCCAGAACCATGAGAAATAAATTTCTGTTGCTTAAGCCACCTAGTCTATAGCATTCTGTTATAGCAGCCTGAATTGACTAAGACATACATAAATATGTGAGCTATACCTTTCTATATGTAGATAGAATTTTTAAATATTTCAACTGGATGAACATCAAGTTCTAGAACAATGAATCATTTTATTTTAATAAAAATATTTAATAAAATTTCATTAAATCCTTAAGAAATTAAATAGGCCAGGCGTGGTGGCTCAAGCCGGTAATCCCAGCAGTTTGGGAGGTCAAGGTGGGCAGATCACCTGAGGTCAGGAATTGAATACCAGCCTGGCCAACATGGTGAAACCCCATCTCTACTAATAATATAAAAATTAGCTGGGCATGGTGGTGCATGCCTGTAATCCCAGCACCTTGGGAGGCCAAGGTTGGCGCATCACTTGAGATCAGGAGCTCAAGACCAGCCTGGGCAACATGGTGAAACCCTGTCTCTACAAAAATACAAAGCTTAGCTGGGCATGGTGGCACGTGCCTGTAATCCCAGCTACTCAGGAGGCTGAGGCAGGAGAATCGCTTGAACCTGGAAGGCAGAGGTTGCAGTGAGCTGAGATCTCGCCATTGCACTCCAGTCATAGCGACAAGAGTGAAACTCCGTCTCAAAAAAAAAAAAAGGAAGAAAGAGAAAGAAAGAAAGAAATTAAATAATACAGGACATTGAAGCTGGATGGAGAAACGTAGATGATCTTGGCGGCTTTCTTAAGCACGTGCATCTCTGGGATGACCACTTCGGCTGCCTCATAACAGTAGAAAAATAAACCCCTATTTAGGGTTTCAGCCACTGTTCAGCTAAAAGCAATCTGATATATTGTACAAACATGAGTAAGTCTTCCATGCTCTGTCTCTTAAGTTGTTATGAAATTTGGAATAAAATAAAATTTGAAATAAAATGTCAAATAAAATTTTAAAGCCAGATGTGGTGGCTCATGCCTGTAATCTCAGCACTTTGGGAGGCTAAGGCAAGAGGATCGCTTGAGCCTAGGAGTTTGAGGCTGTAGCAAGCTATGATCATGCCACTGCACTCCAGCCTGACGCAGTAAGAGCCTGTCTCTAAAAAATAATAATAAAAAAATTAATAAATCATTTTTACAATATTATGATTATGTAAGTACTGTTTACTGGAGAGCCAAGGATAAATGGATCCACAAAGAAGAATATGTAACTCAATAAACGTGGGCCGCTTAGAGAAAGAAGTTAAGGTCTTTCAGAATTTGTCTAGCAGATTTTCTGCTTCTCACCAGAAAACCCATAAAAAAATAGAAATAAAAGAAAGAAGAATATTCTCTTCTGAGACTTGCTCAGAATCAGGTCACATTTTAGTTTGCTTACAATTTGGACTATTATTTCCTTACGGGACTTTTATGTTTTTCCTGGCATTTCAACTGTCTTTTTTCCCCCTTGTATAGGCACATGGGCAGATATGTCTTTTTTACTCTATCATTAAGATAATTCCATTTTTAATCACGCTATTTGTTGAGTGATCTAATATTCACTGACTTGTTTCCAGATCTGCTATACAACTGTCATTCTGAGATGTATTTTCATTGCTCTCCTAGTTTAGAACCATTGCTTCTTGGATTCCCCTATCATGCTCTATTTTGGACTCCTTTTCATTTTGCTGGAGTACATCCTCAAGCAATTTTTTACCAAAAGGATGAATTAGGAGAAACTTCAGAGTCCCTAAATGTCAGAAAATATCTTTATTTTTCTCTCATGCCTTACTGACAGTTTGATTGGATATCAGTTTAAGTTCAATATCATTTTCTCTTAGCACTTTTGAAGGCATTGCTCCATGTCTTCTGAGAGTCAGTGTTGCTGTTGTGAACACCAACATTACCCGCCTTTTATTTCTCACTGGAAGCTTTTGGGTGTTTAACTTATCATTGGCACTCTAGGATATGTAGTATGGGTCCAAATTTGAATGTTCTTTTTTTCATTCAACCTGCTCTGTGTTTGCTAGGCCTTTTCATTCTGAAGACTGACTTTTTCCCCCTAAAGTCTTGGAAAACGATTATTTCTTTAGTAATTTTCACCCCTCCATTCCATTTTCTCTTCCAAAACTCCTATCAGTGGTTACTGGTTTTCCTGGATCAATCCTCTATGTCTCAAAATATTTTCCTTTAGTATGCATCTATTTCTGTCTTTCTGTGTGTATGTGTCTCTCTCTCTTTCACCTCTTTAAGTGGGACATTAGAAAAGTACTTTTTGTAGTACTTTCACTGATGTTTAAAAATTTTGTCAACTATACTTAAATATATAAGGGCCTCTTCTTCTTTGAATGTCTCTTCATCATAATATTCTGTTTTTATTTTATGAGTGGAGTTTTTGTTTTTGTTTTTGTTTTTGTTTTGAGACAGAGTGTTGTTCTTGTTGCTCAGGCTGGAGTGCAATGGTGCGATCTTGGCTCACTGAAACCTCCGCCTCCTGGTTTCAAGCGATTCTCCTGCCTCAGCCTCCCGAGCAGCTGGGACTACAGGCATGTGCCACCACTCCTGGCTAATTTTGCATTTCTTTTTTAGTAAAGACGGGGTTTCTCCATGTTGGTCAGGCTGGTCTCGAACTCCCGACCTCAGATGATCCACCCGCCTCTGCCTCCCAAAGTGTTGGGATTACAAGCCTGAGCCACCGCACCCAGCCTGGAGTTATTTCTTGAATCACTCTGATGAGTTAAACGGTTTTAATTTCTTATTGTTTTCTCTTTTTTTGGAGGTCCAAACAAATATTTATTAAATTCCTATTATAAGCCAGATTTTATACTCTGACCTAGGGATAATATATTGTTAAGTTTTCCTTGAATTATTTCTGCTTCTTTGAGCTGAAAGCAGACTCTGTGGGTGAGTGGAGTTTGCTGACTGGCAAGCTTGGTTTTAGCATGCCCAGGTGGGGAGATGGTAGCCAAGTTTGGCCACCCCTTGGGGTCAAAACAAGAAGGGTCATCTTCTGTGGAGTTGACCCACCTCTGGAAGCCCTGGCTCCTCCTAGGCTGGTTATTCGATTTCTTCAGAGAAAATCTTGCAGTCTCAGACCGGGGGAAAATGGTGGGGCTGCCCAAACTAGGGTACAGGAGGTAAGTGTGACAAACACATGTCAGTTCTACAGCCAGACCTTCCATTAGCTGCCATCTTGGTTTTTACTCCTCCTTCCTCTTCTGCTTTCTTAGCCTCACCTCACCCCACCAAAATAAAACAAAGCACCCCAAAATCTCCTATAGACTTCCGCACTTCTTGATTTGAGCTGTGGCTTTCTCTACTCCCATTTACCCATAAATGTGATTTAACTCATTCCAGTATTCCAGAAATGGTAAAATCTCTGATCTCTTGATGTACTGTCCAAGCCATCTCCCCCAACACAGCTCTTTTATTGGTTTTTCTTTTTTCCTCTTTATCCTTCCTTACTTTCTTTCAGTGTATACTCAGGAGGAGGAGAGGAAAATCCATGTGCTCGGCCTCTCATCTTTAGCCAAAAATCTGAGCCAGACTTTTCATTGGTAGGATTTTGAATCTTTACAATAACTCTGCAGGATAGAGATTATTGTCCATTCCACAGGTGAGGAAAACTGAGACTCAAGGAAGTGAGAGACCTTGTCCCAAGCTCAAGCAGAACTAGCTGGTAGAGAAGCTTGAAGGCCATGAGGGAAGGTGAGATGGAGGGGAAGAAAGGCCACAGGGATAAGTGAGCAGAGCGGCTACGTGTGGCCCTGAGGGATAACACTTGAGCATTAAGAGGAAACACCAAGGAAACAGATTTTAGGTCAAGAAAAAGAAGAGCTCTCTCATGTCAGAGCAGCCTAGAGCAGGAAAGTGCTGTGTCAGGAGGCTGACACGTCATGGCTTGTGTTCCTGTACTGCCTAAGGCACAATGGCAACCTCAGAAAGGCTGTGACCCACTCTGCACCTGCTCAGGCCATACCTGGACTGGGGTGGAGGCCAGAAGAGGGTGTGGTGAGGAGGGAGGAGGAGCCCAGATCACAGGACAGGAAGGCAAAGTCCTCAGGTGGGCTGTAGGGGGCGCTCCAGGCCCAGAGACGGGGCAGCAGGAATCATCTGCGTTTTGAGGGCGGATGTTCTCACTTCACTCTGGCTGCTGTTGGGGCCCAAGAGAGCCTAGAAAAGTCCTGGGACCTTCAGACATGGCTGCTGGGAGGACAAATCAGGACAAGCTCTCCAAGGGCTCACCAGGCCATAACAACGTGCAAATCACCCAGATTCACAAGGCATGGGCTTTTAAAATAATTTGGCAATATGAGCACATCAAAGAACCATAAAAACATTCTTCTTGCTTGACCCCGTCGTTTTACTTCTAGAAACCTATTCTAAGGAGTTCACCACAAATTCAGAAAAGAAGGAAAAAGAAGGCTGGGCACAGTGGCTCACGCCTGTAATCCAGCACTTTGGGAGGCCAAGGCAGGTGGATCGTTTGAGCCCAGGGAGTTTGAGACCAGTCTGGGCAACAGAGCCCCATCCCTACAAAAAATACAAAAATTGGCCAGGCATGGTGGCTCATGCCTGCAATCCCAGCACTTTGGGAGGCCGAGGTGGGAGGATCGCTTGAGCCCAGGAGTTCAAGACCAGCCTGGGCAACATAACAAGACTCCATCTCAATTGTCAAAATATTTATTAAAAAAAAAATTTTAATACAAAAATTAGCTGGATGTGGTGGCGCGCACCTCGCTACTTGCGAGGATCAGGCAGGAGGATCACTCGAGCCCAGGAAGTCAGGAAGTCAGGGCTGCTGTGAATGTTTGCACCACTGCACTCCAGCATGGGCGACAAAGTGAGACTCTGTCTGAAAAAAGAGAAAGACAACCTTACTCACAAAAAGATTCATTGCAGTACTATTTACATTTGTGAAAAACTGGAAACAACCTAAAGTCCAAGTCCATGAAAACGTTCAAGTAAGCTAAGACTATAAAAAAAACAAAAACAGGCCGGGTGCTATGGCTCATGCCTGTAATCCTAGCACTTTCAGAGGCCGAAGCGGGCAGATCACTTAAGGTCAGGAGTTCGAGATCCACCTGGCCAACATGGTGAAACACCTGTTTCTACCAAAAAATACCAAAAAAAAGTAGCCAGGAGTGGTGGTGCACACCTGCTACTCGGGGATGCTGAGGTGGGAGAATCGCTTGAACCCTGGGACAGAGGTTGCAGTGAGCCGAGATCGTGCCACTGCACTCCAGCCTGGGCGACAGAGTGAGACCTTGTCTCAAAAAAAAAAAAACAAAAACACAGAAAATGGTTATAGCAAAACCTAAACAGATAATAGGCCATAAATTAGTTATGCAGTAGTTTTTCAAAAAGAAGCCACATAGAATACAAAATATACTATCCTAAATGTCAACAGGGATTGTGTTCAGATCACAGTAAAAGATAATTTTTACTTTTCCTTCTTTCTGTGTTTTAGAATTCCCCAAAATTTTCTGAAGTAGCATGTTTTAAAATAAATAAATACATTCTGAAAAGGAAAAAAAATAGTGTGTATTCTTTGAGCCAGAAATTTTACTTTAAGAAATGTTGTATGGAAAGGAAAAAAACAACCATGAATATACACATACAAATGCTCCCAAGATGTTTATCATGGCATGGATTATAATAGTGAAGATTTGGAAACAATCAAAATGTCTCAAAGTAGGGTACTGGGTAAGTCAATTATGGAATAAATCTATTAAAATAAAATTATAGAAGTGAAATTCATGTCATGGATGTTCATAATCTACTGATAAGCAAGAAATAAAGTCATTTATAAATCAGCGTGTACTGTGGGCTTCTAATTTTATATTTAAAGGGGTTATATATGTACTTTTCATTTTTTCCAGAATTTTCTACAATCAACAAAGAAGGAGGAGGAGTTGAGGAGAAGAGCTAGATCCAGGTGGAGACCCAGGTGTTTTTAAAATCTGAGGCACAGATGACATGAATTATCAAATTTAATTTTGAAGACAAGGAAAGGATAGAATATTTGGAATTGAAACCTTCTTGGAAAAGTTGGGCCATTTGACGACAAGAGATATAGGCTAAATGGAGGATTCCCCCTTCTCTGTGCCCAGCCTTACTGTCCACCTTCCCTTGAAAATTACTTCCCCTATGCAAAGGATATAAACAGACACTTCTCAAAAGAAGACATTTATGCAGCCAAAAGACACATGAAAAAATGCTCATCATCACTGGCCATCAGAGAAATACAAATCAAAACTACAATGAGATACCATCTCACACCAGTTAGAATGGCAATCATTAAAAAGTCAGGAAACAACAGGTGCTGGAGAGGATGTGGAGAAATAGGAACACTTTTACACTGTTGGTGGGACTGTAAACTAGTTCAACCATTGTGGAAGTCAGTGTGGCTATTCCTCAGGGATCCACAACTAGAAATACCATTTGACCCAGCCATCCCATTACTGGGTATATACCCAAAGGACTATAAATCATGCTGCTATAAAGACACATGCACACGTATGTTTATTGCGGCACTATTCACAATAGCAAAGACTTGGAACCAAGCCAAATGTCCAACAATGATAGACTGGATTAAGAAAATGTGGCACATATACACCATGGAATACTATGCAGCCATAAAAAAAATGATGAGTTCCTGTCCTTTGTAGGGACATGGATGAAATTGGAAATCATCATTCTCAGTAAACTATCGCAAGGACAAAAAACCAAACACCGCATGTTCTCACTCATAGATGGGAATTGAACAATGAGAACACATGGACACAGGAAGGGGAACATCACACTCTGGGGACTGTTGTGGGGTGGGGGCAGGGGGGAGGGATAGCATTAGGAGATATATCTGATGCTAAATGACGAGTTAATGGGTGCAGCACACCAGCATGGCACATGTATACATATGTAACTAACCTGCACATTGTGCACATGTACCCTAAAACTTAAAGTATAATAATAAAAAAAAGAAAAGAAAAGAAAATTACTTCCCCAAGTGTCCTCCTTCGATTTGACATATTTGAGCCCCCAAACACCTTTGGGGGCAGGGGCAGCTCATGACACTCTGCATTTGACAGAGGCCAAACATGCAAGTTGGCCATAAGGCCGGGATTGCGAAGCAGGTCTTTTGATTTCCCTGGCTCTTTTCCCTACATGTTTGAGCTGCTAAAAATCAAGACAGGGTTGTTACAGGAAAAAGTGGAGCAGGATTTCTCAGCTTTGGCAATATTGACATTTGGGGCCAGATGAGTCTTGGTTTTGGGGGATTATCCTGTGCATTTTAGGATATTTGGCAGTATCCCTGGCTTCTATCCATTAGACACCAGTAGCACCACTGTCCCCAAAACGCTACCACTATCAAAAATGTTTCCAGACATTGCCAAATGACCCCTGGGGGCAAAACCACCCACTGCTGAGAACCACTGAGATAAATGAGGTGTGAGAGGGATCTTTGATGCCCCGAAGTCATTCCTGGGAGAAGGGAATGCTGCCTGTTCCTGCATCTGGGAAGCTAATAATTAGGAAGGCAGAGAGGGGATACTGGTTTATGTAAAATGGCGTGGGTGCTACCAATCTACTATGCAGACTCCTAGCAGCATTTTGATCTTTTCTTTTCTTTTCTTTTTTCTTTTCTTTTCTCTTTTCTTTTCTTTTTGCAGACTCCTAGCAGCATTTTGATCTTTTCTTTTCTTTTTTCTTTTCTTTTCTCTTTTCTTTTCTTTTCTTTCTTTCTTTCTCTCTCTTTCTTTCCCTCCCTCCCTTCCTTCCTTCCCTCCTTCCTTCCCTCTTTCCTTTCTTCTTTTTTTTTTTTTTTTGAGACAGGGTCTCACTTTGTCACTCAGGCTGGAGTGCAGTGTCATGATCCCCGCTCACTGCAGCCTCGACCTCCCGGGCTGAAGGGATCCTCCTGCCTCAGCCTCCCAAATGCCTGGGACCACAGGCACGTGCCACCACACAGCTAATTTTTTGTAGAGACGGGGTTTCACCATGTTGCCCAGGCTGGTCTTGAACTCCTGAGTTCAAACAATCCACCCGCCTCAGCTTCCCCAAGTGCTAGGATTACAGGCGTGAGACACCACACCTGGCCCATGTGTTGATCTTTTATTAAGCAGCTTTCTCTTTACCCAGGCTGTGGGTTCTTGAAGAAGGACATTCTTACTAATCTTCGTATCTGGCATTCCTAACACAAAGTCTGGATTAAGGTGATGCTCAACAGATGTTTGTGGTCTGAAATGAAATTCACCACCATGTTACTCTTTTAAGCCAAGCAGGATGGTGGGGGCTACAGGGTAACTTCATGGCTCTGTATTTAACTAAGCCTGACTCTTCATGACTCAACCTTCAAGGGGTCCCACAAAAATAATTAGCCCAAAGTCAGACTCACTCAATTCTCACAGGCATTCATTCACTCAACATTCAAAGGACATTTCAGGTACTCAGGGAACTTTGCTAAGCACAGGAGTGGGGAAGGGAAGGAATCATCCCTCTTAGTCCCCAACTTCAGGGACCTCAGAGTCTGTCTTGGAGATGTCAGAATGTCTTGTCTCCTCTCCTGTAGGGGAGAATATATCTAGACAAGACCCCACAGAAGTGCCAAGGAGGGGAGGTTACAGCTGGCTGCAGGCAGGAGTGAAGACTTCCTGGAGGACATGGTATTTGAGCAGGGCCTAAAAGGATATGTAGTGTTTTTTTTTTTGTTTTGTTGTTTTGAGACAGGGTCTCACTCCGTCTCCCAGGCTGGAGGGCAGTGGCAAGATCTCAGCTCGACGCAACCTCTGCCTCCCAGGTTCAAGTGACTCTCCTGCCTCAGCATCCTGAGTAGCTGGGATCACAGGCATGCGCCACCACACCCAGCTAATTTTTGTATTTTTTGTAGAGACAGGGTTTCACCATATTGGCCAGGCTGGTCTCAAACTCCTGATCAAGGCGGTGATCTGCCCGCCTTGGCCTCCCAAAGTGCTGGGATTACAGGCATCAGCCAATGCGCCTGGCCTGAAATTTCTTTTAAAAGGAAATCTCATATCACTACTGTAGAAGAGATGCTGAATCATTTGCCATAAACAGGAGGTAACCATGGAGACAAATACAGAGAACATAAAGCCAAGTTATTAAATGTCTAGCTAGATACTGTGGCATGGTAGGGCTCCCCTGTTCTTTCCTGACTCCTCAGCCCATTCTCTGTTAAAAAGGGGAGCTGGGGTCAGGCACGGTGGCTCATGCCTGTAATCCCAGCACTTCGAGAGGTTGAGGCAGGAGGATCACTTAAGCCCAGGAGTTCCAGACCATTCTGGGCAACATGGTGAAACCCTGACTCTACCAAAACAAACAAACAACAAAATACCCAGAAAACCACACACACACAAATTAGCCAGGCATGGTGGTGTGTACCTGTGGTTCCAGCTACTTAGGAGGCTGAGGTGGGAGGATCGCTTGAGCCAGGGACGTCAAGGATGCAGTGAGCCATGATTGTACCACTGCACTCCAGCCTGGGTGGCAGAGCAAGACCGTCTCAAGGAAAAACGAGGGAGGGAGGGAAGGAGGGAGGGAGGGAGAGAGAGAGAGGGAGAAAAGCTGGGCACTGAGAGACAGAAGGAGAGGCACTGAAGACATCTTAGCTCCAAGCTGAGTGTCCTTGGAGCAACCAGGAAGATTCATTAAGACTGAAAAGAGAATAATTTTTAATGTGATTCAAGGTTATTTCATACAATCATCTCACTTTGGGAAGCTAGACCAGTGGAATCAGGCTTGGAGTCAAGAGACATGGTTCAGGTACCGGCTTCATTACAACATTGCTGTGTGACTTTGGACAAAATCTATGCTGTCTCTGAGTTTCCTTATCTACTAAAATAAGGCAGATGGTACTCATGGGATGAGTTTTCAGAAAGAATCTCAGGATCCCTACTCAAACCCTGGTGTAAGTGGGGCAAGGATGTCATAGGTGAGCGACAGCTATCTGGGCTCTTTACCCAGGCTGTGGGTTCTTGAAGAAGGACATTCTTACTAATCTTTGTATCTGGCATTCCTAACACAAAGTCTGGATTAAGGTGATGCTCAACAGATGTTTGTGGTCTGAAATGAAATTCACCACCATGTTACTCTTTTAAGCCAAGCAGGATGGTGGGGGCTACAGGGTAACTTCATGGCTCTGTATTTAACTAAGCCTGACTCTTCATGACTCAACCTTCAAGGGGTCCCACAAAAATAATTAGCCCAAAGTCAGACTCACTCAATTCTCACAGGCATTCATTCACTCAACATTCAAAGGACATTTCAGGTACTCAGGGAACCTGAGCTAGGGATGCGGGGGTAAAGGAATTTACCAAGACAGTTGTAGATAAAGGAAGGCAGATTTATTAAAGAAAGTATGAAAATACATTGCCGGGGAGCAACTGGCAAAACCAGCAGAAGAGGAACCGACTGCAAGGAAGCAAAGGCTTTCTGAGGATTTTATAGAATGGAACTTGGGCTGATTGATAACACCAATGCAGCAGGGAGCTTAACTTGCATTCTTTCCTCAGCGGGGGTGTTTGATAAATTGAGGTGTTTGATGGTAAGCAGGAAGTCTGCGAGTTATGTACGTTATCTGCATGGGAGGGCCGTATGTCCTGGGCCAAGGTAGACCTAGAACTTATTTGCTTTATCTCTTTGCTCTCTCTGGTCCCACCAGTCTGACCCCTTTTCCCTAATTAGGATTCCACAAAGGATAGGACAGGGGAGGGGGGCATTTTGCCAACTTGAGGGCAAGATCTCGGAGCATCAATGATCCAGTGAAAATTGGGAAGACAACATCACAAAAGACCTAAAAGAATGTAGGCTCCCGGAAGCTAGTTCCTGTGGCTCACAGTGACTGCACTAAGCTCAGAGATTTGGTCTCCTCCAGATAAGTGCTGGGACCCCGTTGTTGTGGGCTGGAACTTGGTCCGGGCCAGGATCTGCTTGGAATGGAGAATCTACCTTCACAGAGAGGTCTAAAGTCAGTGTTTTGTTTTGTTCTATTCTGTTTTTTTGTTTTTGTTTTTTTGAGATGGAGTCTCACTCTGTCACCCAGGCTGGAGTGCAGTGATGCAATCTCAACTCACTGCAACACCTCCCGGGTTCAAGTGATTCTCCTGCCTCAGCCTCCCGAGTAGCTGCAATTACAGATGCCCGCCATCACGCCCAGCTAATTTTGGTATTTTTAGTAGAGGCAAGGTTTCACCATGTTGGGCAGGCTGGTCTCGAACTCCTGACCTCAAGTGATCCACCCGCTTTGGCCTCCCAAATGCTGGGATTACAGGCGTGAACCACCGCGCCTGGCCTAAAGTCAGTGCTTTGATGTTCTCTTGTGTGGAAAACCACATACACTATCACAGGCCAGGCTGTGGGCTGAGTCAGGACTGTGCAGGTCATGTAGGGCCTGAATGGGGCATTTCCAGAGGTCGAGGACCTGCCTTATGGGTAGAGAGAGGAGGCAGGATGACTTTCTTTGTTGCAGATGAAGATTCCGCAATTCCGTAAAAGTTTGCTTGGGGTATCAAAGCATTATCAAGTATCCAGGAGCCTGGCGGGTAGCATGCCTAATAACTAGAATTCATAGTGGATTGAATTAAAGACATCGGGGCAGGCTGAAGAGTAATGCACTTAGATTTAAGTCCAGGGTCTGCCTCCAGGACAAGCCACTGAATCTGAGCCTCGATTTCCTCCCTTGCAAAAGGGAGTTAGCAATGCCTACCATAAGGGTAACTGGAAGGAGTCAATGAGATAATATGTGAAGGAGTCAGTGAGATAACATGAGATCAGCTCCCCATGGTGCTCTATATGGTACCTGGCACATGGTAAACTCCCAGCAAGTGGAAGACATTGTCCATAGTAGCCACTAGCAGTCATCTGGTCAACCCATGTGAAAAGTGGGGCACAAACTGGGGAGAGGCTTCCTTGGGTTCACTACACCACTTACTAGACAAGCTGAAACTAGAAACCACGGGACTTCTAGACCCCCGCCTTTTCTCTAGCTTCAGCTTCCCTGTGCACAAAATTGTTCATTAATAAATCCGGATCTCTCCAAGAAATGACTTTATTTGTAGATTTGCATATTTGCAAACTCTTTTTGTACACTGTGTGCCCAGGCTCCTAAAATCCTAGCCAATTTTTCAGTCCCAGGATAGTAAATTGGGAAACTCTTTGAGAGCGATGCAATAGTCTTAATCCTGCACTGGACCAATTTCAGTCAGGGTGTGGGCTTGCTGGGGGTCTTGCTTTTTTTCTGAGATCATCTGGGGATCATATGGGGATGGAAAATCCCTTAGTGTGACCTTGAGTGATCTCCACCCCTCAGCCTACTGGTCTTGCCTCTTGGCCCCAGTCTAATTGAAAAAGTTAAAGTTTCTGTGAACTCCCTTCTGCCAGGAAGCTCTAGGATTGGGCGCAAGGTCTCGATTGAGGACTGATGTCTATGACTGGTGGCCCATGCTGATGTCTGCAGTACTGTATCAACTACAGGCCACAGGTGACTGTGTTTCAGGAAGCACAGAGCTGAGGCCAACCATGAGACTGGGTGTCAAGCAGGAGCTTTAGGAACCCAGGCCCCCTGCAGAGTCCTCACCTGACTTCTTCATTTGTAAATGGTGAGAACCAATGTGGTGAGGACCCTGCTCCAAGTCTTTTCCCAATGCCATCCCATTTAAGTCCCTGACAAATCTATTAAGCAGGAACTATTATTACTATTAGTATTATTTTCGTTTTACCATTGAGCAACTCAAGGCACAGAAATGTTAAGTTGACCTAGCTAGTAACTTGCTATGGTGTTTGTTTGTTTGCTTTAGAGAGAGAAGGGGTCTTGCCATGTTGCCCTGGCTTGCCTTGAACTCCTGGGCTCAAATGATCTTCCTACCTCAGCCTTCCAAGTAGCTGGAACTACAGGTGCACGCCACCATGCCTGGCTGCCGTATTACTATTAAGCGGCAGAGTCACACTGTAAACTCAACTAGCATGACCTCAGACTCATTCATTCATTCACTCATCAAGTAAATGTGTCCTGAATGTCTACCACGTACCAGGCACTGTTATAGGCACTTCAGAGACACCAGTGAACAAAAACAGTGATCCTTGCTCTTTCTTGCTTAAATTCTAGCAGGAGACAGACGACATATAATCATTACAAATAAGTAAATTATTTAGTTTGCTAGTAAATGTTAAATGCTATGGAAAAAGGGAAGATAGAGCAAGGTAAAGGAGATGAAAAGTACTGGGGCATCGAGGCATGCAATTTTACGTAGTGTGATCATGATGGGCTTCACAGAGAAAGCAGATTTGAACAAAGACTTAGAAGTAAAGAAAGGAGTGACTTGCATGGTTATCTGTGGAAGGAGAATCACAGGCTACGGAAACATAGACAAAATAACTTTGAGCTGTTTTTTGTTTGTTTGTTTTTTGAGATGGAATCTCGCTCAGTCGCCCAGGCTGGAGTGCAGTGGTGCGATCTCGGCTCACTGCAACCTCCGCCTCCTGGGTTCCAGTGATTCTCCTGCCTCAGCCTCCAAGTAGCTGGGATTACAGGCACCCGCCACCATGCTTGGCTAATTTTTTTTGAATTTTTAGTAGAGACGAGGTTTCACCATGTTGGCCAGGATGGTCTCGAACCCCTGACCTCAAGTGATTCGCTTGCCTCGGCCTCCCAAAGTGCTGGGATTACAGGTGTGAACCACTGCACCTGGCCACTTCGAGATGTAAGAATTAACAAGGGGTCAGAGAGGATAAAGGTAGGGGAGAAAGGGACCTCCTGGAGCGATAGACCTGCACGGCATGCTCCTCATGGAGGCTTAGAACGGAAGGCCACATGGAGGATGAGGGGTAGGGGGTATCAGAAAGATGCTGTGGTTTTCAGACCCCTCAAAATCCTGGCCACCCTTGGGGCAGGAAGGAGGTTGCTATGCCAGCTCTGAAGCCTCAACCCCAAAGAAATCTGACAGACCTGAGGGAGATTGCAGGGGAGGCAGCTTCAGTTGAGTGCATCCCAAGCGTGAAGGTCCTAGATACAGAAACCCTGAGGTTCAGGGCCTAGGGCAAAGAAGTTAAGAGGCCAGAGTGCCCTTAGGCAAAATGGAAGCAAAGAAACAGATGACTGGCTGATGCTAGAGTTGGGGAACTCTGAGATCTGATATTCCAATTGTCCAGTGGCTGGAACCTACACTGTCCGTGTGAGAGCCTACACTTGAATATAGCCTCTGACTCTCCATACAAGGCTCTATTTTGGACCTTGGTTAGCCTTGGCTGGCCTGGCTACCCCTCTCCCGTGGTAGCACAGCATTCAGCTGCTCTCGCCCTGCACAGTGCGGGCTTTGCTTTAAAAATTCTCATCTCAGGATGAATTTCCTTATTGGGTTACTCCAGTGTGACTAGTTCTTTGTCAAACACCTCCTCTGTCCCTGCCTTCATTTGGGGGCCATCTTTTTTGCGGGGGAGGTACAGGGTCTTGCTCTGTCATCCAGGCTACAGTTCAGTGGTGTTATCATAGCTCACTGCAGCCTCAAACTCCTGGGCTCAAGCAATCCTCCCACCCTGGCCTCCCAAGTAGCTAGGGGTACATGTGATCCCCACCACTACTGGCTGATTTTTTAAATTTTTATTTTATTTATTTATTTTGTAGAGATGGGGTCTTACTATGTTGCCTAGGCTGGTCTCAAACTCCTGGCTTCAAGTGATTCTCACCTTGACCTCCCAAAGCATAGGGATTACAGACATGAGCCACTGGCCTTGGGAGTCATCTTAATGCTCAGCTCCACGTACCCCGAAACACAACCCCTTCTGTGAAAGCATTAGCAAGCAAGGAAGATTTTCAGAAAGTCTCAGAGGGACAGCAGAGAGAGTGACACTCACACACTTCACAATAACATTTTTTAAAATGCTTTTTACAGAGGTCTTCTCCCAGCTCTGGTCCCTTCTTTGCTGCCCCCCAAACTTCATCTAGACCCCTGAATGGCCCTCGTTTTTGAGGAGCAATGACCTCTCTCCTCTCCACTTCTCGGGGTCTCATTCTCACTCACGCTACCCTGCTCAGTCACAAATGATTCTCCTTGGCAGCTTAGACCTCTTTTCCTTTCATTTTGCACCCAAATCCCTTATATTCATATAAACATTGATCAATCTTATTTTACCTAGGCTCTCTTTTCTTTTTGAGACAGGGTCTTGCTCTGTGACCCAGATTGGAGTGCAGTAGTGCAATAAGGCTTACTTACTGCAGCCTCCTCAACCTCCTGGGCTTAAGCAATCCTCCCGCCTCAGCCTCCCAAGTAGCTGGGACTACAGGTGCATGCCACCACATCCAGATAATTTTTTTTTTTTTTTTTTTAGATGGAGTTTCCCTCTTGTTGCACAGGCTGAAGTGCAGTGGTGCGATCTGGGCTCACTGCAACCTCCGCCTCCCAGGGTCAGGTGATTCTCCTGCCTCAGCCACCTGAGTTGCTGGGATTACAGGCACCTGCTACCATGCCGGGCTAATTTTGTATCTTTAGTAGAGATGGGGTTTCTCCATGTTGGTCAGGCTGGTCTCGAACTCCCGACCTCAGGTGATCCGCCGGCCTCGGCCTCCCAGAGTGTTGGGATTACAGGCGTGAGCCACCACGTCCGGCCTCCTTTTTATAAATAGAAAAATCTCACTGACCTGCCTTGAGTTTAACATGCCCCCCACTGACAATCCCTCTAGATACCTGAGTTCTGAGTTCTAGGCCTGGCTCGGCCTCAGGCTTATTCTGGGACCCAGGCACATTTCTGCTTCTCTGGCCTCACTTTTTCTTATCTGTATAATGGAGGGTTAGGAGTCAAGGATCTGAAGATGCCAGGCAGGACAGCGGGGAAATGGAACACGCCCCTTGCCAGTGACACTCGGAGGGCGCAAGAGTCAGTGTCGGGCTCATCGTGAGCAGGTTCTTTCTGCCCCCAGTTCAGCAACCCGTCTGAACAGATCTGGCGTCCTGGAGAATTCTAGAATGAAGGGGAAGAGAGGCAGGGAAGAGCTGGGAAATACGCAAAGCGCCTTTTTCTCCACTTTCGGAGATGGTACGTGCGCGCTTCCACGCAGTGGCGGCTGCTGCGGCGAGCACGTCCCCTGCGGGACCCACGCGGGGAGTGGGCTGGCAGTGCGCGCACAGCGGCGGCGAGTGGGTCGTGCACGCGGATGCGGGGTGGGAGTGGGGGCGCACGCGCGGGCGTGGGCGAGCGGGCCCCGGCAGTGCACACACACGGCAGGGGCGGGCGACAGATGCAGTGCGTGCGCCGGAGCCCAAGCGCACAAACGGAAAGAGCGGGCGCGGTGCGCAGGGGCGGGCGCCCAGCGGGCTTGGCATGCGCGCCCCCGCCCGAGGCTATAAAAGCATCGCCACCTGCTGCCACTAGCCAAGCCGCGCGTCCAGTTGCTTGGAGAAGCCCGTTCACCGCCTCCAGCTGCTGCTCTCCTCGACATGGACCCTGAGACCTGCCCCTGCCCTTCTGGTGAGCCCCCGCCCCCGCTCGCATCCTGCGCACTGCGCGCCCTTGTACCTGCAAAGAAACCCACGCCCTGCGCCTTCGCTCAAGGACACTTGGGGGAAGGGCCCCTGATTCCCTATTCTTCACCTCGTGAAGGGCGGGCATGCCTGTGTCGCGGAGAACAGGGAGACTTGGCACCCCATCTCCTCGTGACAGGCGTGGGGACCCGAGTTCGTCCACATTAACCCTTCCTGTGGCGTCGCCCTCTCTAGGTGGCTCCTGCACCTGCGCGGACTCCTGCAAGTGCGAGGGATGCAAATGCACCTCCTGCAAGAAGAGTGAGTGCGGGGACCCTTCCCCTCTGCCGCCGCCCCCTCTGCTCTGCGGAGTCGGTGTCTCACCACGCAGGATGTGGAGAGACAGCCAGGCCCCGATCCCGTGGTTTCTGACTCTTGCTGGAATAGAACCACCCGGGCAGACATTAAAATACAGATGCCCCTGCCCCACACCCAGGAATTGATGGCCTAGGCGTGGGACGAGAGGTTTTTGTAAATCCCCAGAAGACTCCAATGGCAGCTGGGATTGAGGACTGCCACACTGGTCCAACCTTTCCCGACCCATCCCTCAAAAACTCCCCAAAACCTGGGGAAGCCATTAGTGAGGCTGCGGCTCAGCTCTGGAGTTCCGGTCCCTTGGCCTCTCTCCGGCCTTACGGATCCTCTCAGTTTGATCTCAAAATCTCCCCAGCTCACGGCAGTGTAATATGCATAGGGAGTAAGAGGTGGGAGGAAGGCTCCCTTCTTCCCTAGGTATGAAACCAGGCACAGGTCCCCACCGCCTCCCCACGGCTTTCCTGGGCCCCTTACATCTGCACCATATCTGCCCCTCCCAAGTTTATCCTTTGAGGCCCCTTTCAAGGTCGTTTACCCTGTGATGCTTTCTCCTTAAGGCCTAGTACCCACCTAAGCTGGGCTTAAGCCCACCAGCCCCCAGGACTTCCTGGCATCCACCCAAGGGGCTCTGGTCATTTCCTGGGTACCTCACTCCTGTGGAGGTGCAGGATGCCACTGCCGCGACATAGATGCTGAGTCAAAGCAGGTGTGAGACTAAGAAGGGGGCTGCGACTAGCCCTGGCTGAATGAACCAGGATGACTCCCCACCCAGCACCCTTCCCTCCCCTTTGATGGGGACGAATTGGGGGAGTGTGCATCAGAGAGTGGTCATCTTCCATTTTATCTGCAGGCTGCTGCTCCTGCTGCCCTGCGGAGTGTGAGAAGTGTGCCAAGGACTGTGTGTGCAAAGGCGGAGAGGCAGCTGAGGCAGAAGCAGAGAAGTGCAGCTGCTGCCAGTGAGAAGGCACCCCTCCGTGTGGAGCACGTGGAGATAGTGCCAGGTGGCTCAGTGCCACCTATGCCTGTGGTGAAGTGTGGCTGGTGTCCCCTTCCCCTGCTGACCTTGGAGGAATGACAATAAATCCCATGAACAGCATGAGCCAAGGACTGGTCTCTTCTTAAAGGGGGGAAGGATGTGGAGCAGTGGGGGAGCCTATTCCAAGGGAGCCACACAGTTAAGAGTGAAACCCTGGCTGGGTGCAGTGGCTCACGCCTGTAGTCCCAGCACTTTGGGAGGCCGAGGCAGGTGGATCACCTGAGGTCAGGAGTTCGAGACCAGCCTGGCCAACATGGTGAAACCCCGTCTGTACTACAAATAAAAAAATTAGCCGGGCATGATGGCATGTGCCTGTAATCCCAGCTACTCGGGAGGTTGAGGCAGGAGAATTGCTTGAACCCAGGAGGTGGAGGTTGCAGTGAGCTGAGGTCACGGCACTGCACACTAGCCTGGGCGACAGAGCAGGACTCTGTCTCAAAAAAAAAAAAGAAAAAGAAACACTGAGACTTGGCCACTGGTCTGTTTGGGGCTGGGGTGGAGCCCAGGGGACAGAGTGCATTCTCCCCCACCTTCAGATGGCACCCCACCCTCCTGCTAAGTCAAGTTCAAGTCTGGGAAACAGGAGAGACCAGGCTCATCTAGGTTTGTCCCTCTCCAACCTCCAAACCTCAGCTTCCTCATCTGTAGGATAGAGTTAGGGGGAGTTAAGGCCAGCCCCTAGCCTGTAGGGCCTGTGAATTTGGGGATTTTCTAGTTGCTCCTGCAAAGCTGCCTGTTTTCAGAGTTATTAGAGGAGAGTCCAGGAGGCCCAGGGGCTTGTCTTGGCTGACTGTCAGCTGCATTCCCAAGGTCACCACCCTGAATAGCCTGTTTCCCCAAAGCACGTTGTTCAGTTCCCTTTCACATCTTCTCATTTGGCGGTTTGTCTCCAGCCCCTCCTGTCTTCAAGAGGAAGTAGGGTAATAAGAGCTTTTATCCACAGTGGTTGTGATCCAGTCCTTGGTGAAAGAGAACACTCAGGTTTACCTAGGTGAGCTAAGAAGGGAGAAATGAATTCTGGGAAACAAAAGTTTCCCAGTAAGAGGATACAATGCTGTGAACACAACACTTTTCCTCCAAGTTAGTTTTTTGCTGACAGTTATTTCAAAAGCTCACCATATATATATATATATATATATAGCCTAACAGGCTGAGTTTAGAAAAGGAGAATGCAAGGAAAGTCAAGCCAGCTTTGAAAAGGAACAACAAAGGGAGCTCGCTCCAACCTGGTAGCTCCACTCGTTCCCAAAGCTCTGGAAAATTGTGGAGGGTCAGGAAGAGATCAGTTGGACTGAAGACAGTTCAAAAACAAACCTCTGTGTTGCTGGAAGTAAGAGATGATCAAACCAGTGGGAAAGTACACACTACTCAGTGAAAGGTGTTGGAACAATTTACATGTCTGGCTAATTTTTGTAGAGATGGGGTTTCACCATGTTGCCCAGGCTGGTCTCGAACTCTTGAGCTCAAGTGATCCACCTGCCTTGGCCTCCCAAAGTGCTGGGATTAGAGGCAGACTTTTTTTCTTTTTCTCAGGCTGGAGTGCAGTGGTGCCATCAGGGCAGTGTGGACCTCCAGGGCTCAAACAATCCTCCCACCTCAGCCTCCCGAGTAGCTGGGACTATAGGTGCATCCCATCACTCCCAGCTAATTTTTTTTTTTTTTGGTAGAGGCTGGGTTTTGCCAGGTTGCCAAGGCTATCAGTATGATTTTTAACTTCATTTTACAGATGGGGCAGTAGGGGTTGGGGAAATTTGCATGAGGACACACAGCTAGAGTGGTGTGGTATAGCCAGGATTTGAATACAGGCTGTCTAACTATAGGGTAGCCCCCTAAACTTAAGCACGCATTGTTTTCTTGCTTCTGGCTTGCCTCGTGTTACAAAAAGCATAAAAAAAGAAGCAAAATCACCTCATATACACTACGATGGCTAGTATCGGAAAAACAAAATTAAAAGTGTTAGCCAGAATGTAGAGACATTGGAACCCTTGTGCCTTGCTGGTAGGAATGTAAAATGGTGCAGTGCTGTGGAAAACTATAGTTCCCAAAGTTAAAAATAGAATTCCATATGATCCAGCAATTCCACTTCTAGGTATACCGCAAAGAATTGGAAGCAGAGTCTTGAAGTGGTATTCTTATACACATGTTCATAGGATTATTTATAATCACCAAAAAGTGGAAGCAACCCAAGTGTCCATTGACAGATGAACAGATAAACAAAGTGTGTTATATACATACAAAGGAATATTATTCAACCTTAAAAAGCAAGGAAATTTGACATATGCTACAACATGAATGAATCTTGAGGACATTATGCTGAGTGAAACAAGCCCATCACCCAAAGACAAATTCTGTGTGACTCCATGCGTATGAGACACTTAGAGCCGTTATAGTCTATCTACACAGAGACAGGTGTAAGTGTAGGATGGAAGTTGCTGGGGCTGGAGGGAGGGATGATATGGTTTGGCTCTGTGTCCCCACCCAAATCTCATCTCATATTGTAATCAGGGGAGGGACCTGGTGGGAAGTGACTGGATCATGGGGATGGTCTCCCTCATGCTGTTCTCATGATAGCTGATGGTTTTGAAAGAGTTCGGCAGTTCCCCCTCTGTCCTCTCTCTCTCCTGCCACCCTGTGAAGAAGGTGCTTGCCTCCCCTTTGCCTTCTACCATGATTATAAGTTTCCTGAGGCCTACCCAGCCATGCGGAACTGTGAGTCAATTAAATCTTTTTTCTTTACAAATTACCCAGTCTCAGATAGTATCTTTATAGCAGTGTGAAAACAAACTAATACAAGGTGGGAATTGAGAGTTGTTTAATCAGTACAGAGTTTCAGTTTTGCAAGATGAAAAGGGTTCTGGAGATGGGTCGCAGAGAATCTGAATATACTTGTCATTACTGAACTGGACACTTAAAAATCTTTAAGATGGCAAATTTTATGTCATCGTATTTTACAATTTTAAACAACAAACAAAGCTAAATGACGAAGGACAATAGTTTCTATTAATATACTGTGTGCTGTGGATTTAATTGTGTCCCCTCAACAAAATTCATGATGAAGCCAAAAGTCCCAATGTGACTGTATTTGGAGACAGGGTTTATAATGAGGTAATTTAGGTTAAATGAAGTTACAGGGGTGGGGCCCTCCAACTATAGGGTTAGTGTCCTTGTAGGGGAGTCACCAAGAGTTCACTTGCTCACTCTCTCCTCTTGTGCACAAAGAAGAGGTCACGTGAGTACACCTCTTCTTTGTGAAGATGGCAAGATGGGGGCGGCCTATGAGCCAGGACAAGAAACTGACCATGCTGGCACCTTGATCGTGGACTTCCAGCCTCCAGAACTGTGAAAATATAAATCTGTTGGTTAAGCTGTCCAGTCTACAGTATTTTGTTATAGCAGCCCGAGCTGACTCATATAGTGTGTGTATATAGTAGTCCCCGCTTATCCACAGTTTCACTTTCCAGTTACCTACAATCAACTGCAGTCCAAAAATATTACATACAATAAGATGTTATGAGATGAGAGAGGGAGATCACATTCATATAACTTTTATTACAGTATGTTGTTATAATTGTTCTATTATTTGTTCATCGCTTATTGTGCCTAATGTATAAATTAAACTTCATCATACATATGTACACATAGGAAAAAACATAGTATATATAGGGTTCGGTACTATCCACAGCTTTGGCACCCACTGGGGATCTTGAAAGTATCCCCTGTGGATAAGGGGTACTACTGTCTACGTACATATTGATCTTTTGTACACATACACACACACGTTTGACAAAAGATCATTATCTACAATATATAAATAGTTTCTATTAATAGATAAGAAATAGATGACAATTTAAAAATTAGGCAAAAGGCCGGGTGCAGTGGCTCACGCCTGTAATCCCAGCACTTTGGGAGGCCAAGGTGGATGGATCACCTGAGGTCAGGAGTTCGAGCCAACATGGCAAAGCCCTGTCTCTACTAAAAATACAAAAATTAGCCAGGTGTGGTGGCGGGTGCCTGTAATCCCACCTACTTGGGAAGCTGAGGCAGGAGAATCACTTGAACCCAGGAGGCGGAAGTTACTGTGAACCAAGATCGCGCCATTGTACTCCAGCCTGGGCCACAGAGCAATACTCCATCTCAAGAAAAGAAAAAAACAAATTAGGCAAAGGATATAACTAAGGAATTCATGGAAAAATAAACTCCAAAGGCTAAAGAACAAATGAAATGAAATAGAATCAATGTTTTACTTCATTCTATCAAGGAAATAGAAACTAAAATAACATTTTGTCATTCACTTGGCAAAATCATAAAAGGTTGTTATTTTTTATTAATAGTGAGGGGTGGGGGACTGGTTACATACCTCCATCCTCTGCTGGAGTGTAAATAGGTACAGCCACTTTGGGGATATACCTACTTAACAGTAGTTACTGAAATTTAACAAGTATATACCTTCACCCAGGACTGTATTATCATCTGTATCAGCAGAAGTCTCAAAACAAGCTAAATACCCTTTAGTAGAGAAGTAGTTTTTAAAAATGATCATAATGAGCCAGGTGCGGTGGCTCGCGCCTGTAATCCCAGCACTTTGGGAGGCCGAGGCAAGCAGATGACGTGAGGCCAGGAGTTTGAGACCAACCTGACCAATATGGCGAATCCCCATCTCTACTAAAAATACAAAAATTAGCCAGGTGGTGGTACATGCCTGTAATCCCAACTACTCACGTGGCTGAGGCAGGAGAATTGCTTAAACCCAGGAGGTAGAGGTTTCAGTGAGCCAAGAACACCCTACTGTACTCCAGACTGGGGAAGAGCCTGTCTCAAAAAAAAAAAAAAATCATAATGAACATCTAATAGAAAGAATGAGGTAACGCTTGGATAATGCAGTGGAAACACCTCCACAACTTACCATTAAGTGAAAGAAAAAAAAAAGAAGAAGCCGTAGAACAGAGTGTATCATATAATGCTAAACAATACTTATAGTATAATGCCAATTATGTAAAAAGAGAAATAAAAACTCCACATTTGTGTATATATGAATACAAATGTATAGAAAGGGAATGGGATTTTCCAGGAGAATCAGGCGGGAGAATCTTTAGCTTTACATATATTAATGTTTCACTTCTGTTTGACTAATTTTTAAGTATGCAAGTGAATAGTACCACTTACCTTTTTTTCACTCAACAATATGTCTTGGCCAGGCATGGTGGCTCACGCCTATAACCCCAGCACTTTGAGAAGACAAGGTGGGAGAACCACCTGAGCCTAGGAGTTCAAGGCCAGCCTGGGCAACATAGTGAGAAGTGGGACCCCGTCTTTCCAAAAAATTAGAAAATGAGCCAGGCACGGTGGCACACACTTGTAGTCCTAGCTACTTGGGAGGCTGAAGTGGGAGGAACACTTGAGCCTGGGAGTTTGAAGGAGCAGTGAGCTATGATCGTGCCACTGCACTCCAGCTTGGGCAACATAGCACAACCCTGTCTCAAAAAAAAAAAAAAAAGAGAGAGAGAAAGAAAAAGAAAATGTCTTGACAATTTTTCCATGTTAAGAGATAAAGATCTAATAACTGCTACAGAAAACATCATGGAATGGTTATATCATAGTTCATTTTGCAACTGTCTTACAGACTCATGGATGGACATTTAGGTGGCTTCCACTTTTTTCAATATGCAGACTGTGCACCTGTGCCAGTGAGTTTCTCTGAGTTATAAGCTGAGATGTGTAATCACTGAAGCACAGGAAATAGCCCTTATTACTTTTCACATATCCTGCCAGACAGCCCTCCACTGAGGCTGTTCCAATTTGCATTCCACCTGCAGTGTCTGAGAATTTTCAGTGCTTTATCCCTCCATCAGACCTAGGTATTAACCTTACATTTTGTCGACCTGGTGGGTGAAAAATGACATCCTAGGTTCTAAATCGCATCTTTTCTTTTAGCAGTGAGGTTCAGCATTTTCCTACTGGTTTATTAGTTGTCATTTTCTGTGCACTGCTGTTTCACGCTCTTTGTTCTTTCTACATTCAGTTATTTGTCATTTTCTTATTGATTTGTAGAAGCTCTTTATATATTTTGGTCACTGATTGTCTTCCATCTGCTTTTCATTTTTCAGAAAGTTTTCAAAGTCTCTGGCCTCCTTGTGGTATTCTTTCATTTTTTAACACCCTTATCAATGTATAGTTTACATGTCATAAAATTCACCCATTGTAAGGGTACAATCCAATGACACTAGCAAATTTTTAGAGTGGTGAAACCAACTCCACAGTCCAGTTTTAGAACATTTCCATCATCCAAAAGTTCCCTTGTGCCTATTTGTAGTTAATCCCTGCTCCTACCCCACCCCTAGGCAACCACTGACTTGCCTTCTGTTTCTATAGGTTTGCCTTTTCTAGACATTTTATATAAATGGAATCATACAATATGTAGTCTTTTGCATTTGGCTTCTTTCACTTAACGTAATATTTTTGAGATTCATTCCACTTTGTTGTATGTCTTACTAATTTGTTCTTCCTTTACATTACTGAGTAGTGTTTAGATATTGTATTTTGTTTATCCATTCACCAATTGATGGACTTTTGAGTTGCTGTCATTTTTTGCTATTTTGGATGATAGCTATGTTTATAAATGGCCGTAAACATTTGTGCATGAGTCTTTGTGTGGATATATACATATATGTATATTTTAGAGATGGGGGTCTTGCTATGTTGCCAAGGCTGGCCTTGAACTCCTGGGTTCAATTGATCTTCCTACTTCAGCCTTCTGAGTAGCTGGGACTGCAGGTGCATGCCACTGTGCTCTGCTTTGCCATATATTTTTATTTCTCTTGGGTTGATATCTAGGAGTAGAATTACTGGGTCATATGGTACTAAAGTGGTTAACCACTTAACATTTCCACCAGCAATGCATAAGCATTTCAATTTCTGCACATTCTCACCAACACTTTTTGTTATCTATCTTTTTTATGATAGCCATTCTAGCAGGTATAAAGTAGTATCTCACTGTTGTGGGGTTTTTTTTGTTTTTTTTTTGTCTTTTTTTTTTGAGTCAGGGTCTCATTCTGTCGCCAGGCTGGAGTGTAGTGGCACGATCTTGGCTCACTGCAACCGCCGCCTCCCAGGTTCAAGTGATTCTCCTGCCTGAGCCTCCGGAGTAGCTGGGATTACAGGCGTGTGCCACCACGCCCAGCTAATTTTTGTTTTGTTTTAGTTTTGCCAGGATGGTCTCGATCTCTTAACCTTGTGATCTGCCCACCTTGGCCTCCCAAAGTGCTGGGATTACAGGCGTGAGCCACCACGCCCGGCCTCATTGTGGTTTTAATTTGCATTTCCCTAGTGACTCATGATGTTAAGCATCTTTTCATGTGCTTATTAGCCATTCATGTATTTTCTTTGGTGACATGTCTATTAGAAGATTTTGCCCATTTTTTCCTCTTTTATTGTGGTAAAATATACACAACATAAAATGTACCATTTTTAAGTGTACAGTGCAGTGGCTTTAAGTACATTTACATTGTTGTGAACCGTCACCATCATCCAACTCCAGAACTTTTCCATCTTGCCAAACTGAAACTCTATCCATAAAATACTAACTCCATGCCACCCCCCCATCCCCCACCGCCCAGCCCTGGGGCCACCATTTTACTGTCTGTCTTTGTGGATTTGACTATGTTACTTTCTTCATATAAGCTGGGATCATACAGTGTTTGTCCTTTTGTGTCTGGCTTATTTCATTTAGCATAATTTTTTTTTTTTGAGATGGAGTCTCCCTCTGTTGCCCAGGCTGGAGTGCAATGGCATGATCTTGGCTCACTGCAACCTCCGCCTCCCGGGTTCAAGCAATTCTCCTGCCTCAGCCTCCCGAGTAGCTGGGACTACAGGTGTGCGTCACCATGCCCGGCTAATTTTTGTATTTTTAGTAGAGACAGGGTTTCACCATATTGGCCAGGTTGGTCTTGAACCCCTGACCTCGTGATCTGCCCACCTCGGCCCCCCAAAGTGCTGGGATTACAGGTGTGAGCCACCGCACCCAGCCATCATAACATTTTTAAGGTTCATCTATGTTGTAAGATGTGTTAAAATTTCATTCTCTCTTAAGGCTGAATAAATTTTCCATTGCATGTCTATACCATATTTTGTTTATCCATTCATTCATCAATGGACGCTCAGGCTGTTTCCATTTTTTGGCTATCATGTGTAATGCTGCTATGAATATTGTTATACAAATATCTGTTTGAGTCCCTGCTTTCAATTATTTTGAGTATGCATTTTTGCCAGTTTATTTTTATTTATTATTATTATTATTATTATTATTATTATTATTATTATTATTTGAGACAGAGTCTTGCTGTTCCTCAGGCTTGAGTGCAGTGTCGTGATCTCGGGTCACTGCAACCTCTGCCTCCCGGGCTCAAGCAATTCTCGTGACTCAGCCTCCCGAGTAGCTGGGACCACAGGCGCATGCCACCACACCTGGCTAATTTGTTTTTGTTTTTGAGACGGAGTCTGACTCTGTTGCCCAGGCTGTAGTGCAGTGCCATGATCTTGGCTCACTGCACCCTCTGCCTCCCGGGTTCAAGCGATTCTCTTGCCTCAGCCTCCTGAATAGCTAGGATTACAGGTGTGTACCACCACACCTGGCTAATTTTTGTATTTTTAGTAAAGACGGGGTTTTGCCATGTTGGCCAGGCTGGTCTCGAACTCCCGACCTCAAGTGATCCACCCACCTCAACCTCCCAAAGTGTTTGGATTACGGGCCTTGCCCTTTTTAAAATACCATTGTTTGTATTATTGAATTATAAGAGTTCTTTATATATTCTGGATACCAGTCCTTAATCAGATATATGCTTTGTAAATGTTTTCTCCCAGTCTTCTGGGACTGTCTTCTGATTTTATTAATGATGTCTTTGAAGCACAAAACTTTTTAATTTTGAGAAAGTCCAATTCATCAATTTTTTTCCTTGATAAATTGTGATTATGGTATCATATCTAAGACCTCTTTGTTTAACCTAAGGGCATAAAGATTTCTCGTATGCTTTCTTCTAAGTGTTCTATGTTCTATAGTTTTAGCACTTAAATTTAAGTCTATGATCCATTTTGAGTTAATTTTCATGTATAATGTGAGGTAAAAATCTAATTTCTTTTTTTTTTTTTTTTGCATGTGGATATTCAGTTGTCTCAGTATCATTAGTTTAAACGTCTACCCTTTCTCTATTGAATCGTTTGGAGATCTTTGTCAAAATTCAATTGACCATACATGTGATTTCCTTTTAGACTTTCGATTCTGTTCCATCGATCTATGCCTGTCCTTGTACCAATACCACACAGCCCTGATTACTGTGGCTTATTGTAACTTTTGGAATTGGATAGTGTGAGTCCTCCAACTTTGTTCTTTTCCTGGTTGGGTTCTTCTTTAACTTCTGCCATTCAGCCTTTTAACGAATGACCTTTTCTGACTTTGCATGGGATTGGGCACGCACAGGAGACGTACATATCCACTGAGTCTGCATCTCAACCCAGCCCTCCACACCATTTCATCACAAAAATATTTATGGATGCCCAAAAGTCACCATGCCCTCTGCTGGTCACTGGGGATACATGAAAAGAAACAGTCTCTGCCTTTCGGGGAGCTCACAGACTGATGGGGAGGATAAGACCGTTGCAAGAACAACCTGAGTGGAATCCTGGATGCTTTAGAGCTGGAAGAAAAGCCCAGGCCAAGGCACGTAGGCTGTGCTCATTTGATAGATGGGAAGACTGTGGCTCAGGGAGGGAGGGGAGGTGAAACCCAAAATCTCTGGGGGCTTTAAGAAGAGAGATGGTCAGGTGCAGTGGCTCATGCCTGTAATCCTGGCACTTTGGGTGGCCAAAGCAGGAGGATCATTTGACGCCAGGACTTTGAGACCAGCCTGAGCAACATAGTAAGACTTCTGTCTCTACGAAAAAATGTTTAAAATTAGCTGAGCATGCTAGGGTATGCCTGTGGTCCAGCTACCCGGGAGGCTGAGGCAGGAGGATTGCTTGAGTCTGGGAGCTTGACGCCACAGTAAACCATGACAGAGTCACTGCACTCCAGCCTGGGTGATAGAGTGAGACCCTGTCTCAGAAGAAAAAAAAAAAAAAAGAAGGGAGAGATGCCATTAGGTTGGGGGCTCAGTAAAGACTCCTTGGAGGAGAGGGCATTTGGGGGATGGTAGAAGAGGAGCAAAAACATGGAGTGTGTGTTTGGAGAAGGGTGTGGCATGGCAGGGTCTGACCCAACAGCAGAAGCACAGGGCTTGGGGACAGGTAAGACAGAGAAGGAAAGTTGAGGCCAGATGGGTGAGGAAGGGATGATGCAGCAGGAATTTAGCTTCTCTCTGAATGCAGGTTTTCCAAGCTGGCTCTCCACAAGGCAGGCCTTGCCCTTCACAGAGCCTCCTTCCAGCTCCTGGCAGGATCCGATTCTCTCCATTCCTCTGCATTATTAAGCACCCACCATGAGCCGGGCGCAGTGTCAGGTGCCAGAGCTACGACGGTGAATGCAGCAGGCACAGCCCACAGCCTCCTGGGGAGAAGGATTAAACAAAACGCCACACACAGCACCGGCTGCAGGGAGAGGCTAAGGGACAGAAGGCCAAGCTCTCAGGCTCTGGAGCTCCAACGCCTGGTGTGACCCTTTCCTAGTGAGTGACTGGCAGTGTTACTTAACCTCTCTAAGCCTCGGTTTCTCCCTCTGTCAAATGTGGATAATAACAGTCCCCATCTTATAGGGCCGTCGAAAGGATTGAGTTCACATATACAAAGAATTGAACAGCTGGCATGGGATGTGTGATATAGAAAAGTGTGAGCAGTTTGGGTGTGGTGAGTCACACCTGTAAGCCCAGTGCTTTGGGAGGCCGAGGAAAGAGCATTGCTTGTGGCCAGGAGTTCAAGACCAGCCTGGGCAACATAGCAAGACCCTATCTCTATTAAAAATTAATAAAAAGAAAAGTGTTAGCTTCTTTCTTACTAGCAACTGTAATTGCAATAAGTGCTACAAAGAAGGGATGTGCTTGCTGGTATCCGAGGGATTTGGCCTATTTGGGGTTCCAGGAAAGCTTTCCTGAGCAAATTGCCTTTAAACTGAGACCCACCAGATGAAGGAGACAGAGGGTTAGGGAGAGCATCCAAGACAAAGGAAACAGCACATGCAAAAAGCCTGAAGTCACATACATACCAGCGCCTTTGCCCAGTGGTAGCCAGGCTTTGAAGATGGTCCCAGTGATGCCAGACTCTGGTATTCGTGCCCTGGTGTAATCCCCTCCCCTTGAGCACAGCCTGGACCTAGTGACTTGCTTCTAAAGAACAGAATACTGAAACAGGGATGGGAGATCACTTCCGTGATTAAGTTACAAAAGATGATGACTTCTTAATTCAAATATTGGAAGAAAAAAAGAAGGGAGGAAGTTGTTTTCCAAATAATTTGGAAAGGGAGAAATATCTATTTTATGGAACAATGGAGAGTACTGAGAGAAGTGAAGGTTCACAAAGAGGATTTCTACTATATGGAAACAATCTTGTAGAATGAAAACCTCCATCTAGGTTGACTATAGGTTGTCAATGGTATGATTTTTCTGATGTTTATTTATTTATTTTTGAGGCAGAGTCTCGCTCCGTCACCCAGGCTGGAGTGCAGTGGCGCGATCTCGGCTCACTGCACCTCCACTTCCTGGGTTCAAACGATTCTCTTGCCTCCGCCTCCTGGGTTCAAGTGATTCTCCTGCCTCAGCCTCCTGAGTATCTAGGATTACAGGCATCACCACCACGTTCAGCTAATTTTTCTAATTTTAGTAGAGATGGGGTTTCACCATGTTGGCCAGGCTGGTCTCCAACACCTGACCTCAGGTGATCCACCTGCCTTGGCCTCCCAAAGTGCTGGGATTGAGGCATGAGCCACTGCACCTGGCCTATTTATTTATTTTAATTTTTTAAAAATAGAGCTGGAGTCTTGTCCTCCCTGCCCAGGCTGGAGAACAGTGGCACAATCACAACTTACTGCAGCTTCAACCTCCTGGGTTCGAGCAACTTCTAAAAATCTTTTGTGGAGACGGGGGTTTCACTGTGTTGCTCAGGCTGGTCTCAAACTCCTGACCTCAAGTGATCTTTCTGCCTCAGCCTCCCAGAATGCTGGGATTACAGGCGTGAGCCACTGCGCCCGGCCTAATTTTTCTGATGTTTTAAAATGAAAAATTTCCTCTTCATCCCTGCCCCATATGGCAGGGGAGAGAAGGGGACTATATCCTGCCCTGGGCCGCTATCATATCACTATTTGGAGGCCATGTGATTGAGATTCCATGCCTTGGATGCCTCTTGAATAAAGTTAGTATCATCTTTCACTAAGAATGAATGAATAAAAGACCATGACAATACAAAATTAGCTGGGCATGGTGGCGCACGCCTGAAATCCCAGCTACTTGGGAGGCTAAGGCAGGAGAATTGCTTCAACCTGGGAGGTGGAGGCTGCGGTGAGCCTAGATTGCGCCATTGCACTCCAGCCTGGGCAACAAGAGCAAAACTCCATCTCAAATAAATAAATAAATAAATAAACAAAATTAAAAAAAAATAAAACACCATGACTTCTTTCTTGCTCCCACCCTTGTTCTCACTCTTTGGCCCTCTCACTGGCTCGCTGTCCTGCGGTGAGATGCTCTGTGGAGGGACCCATGCGACAAGGAAGGAAGCCGCAGTACCATAGCCCACAAGGAACCAAATTCTGTCCACAACCACATGAGGGAGCTTGGAAGCAGATCCTGTCCCTGCTGACACTTGAGCTGACTGCAGCCCTGGCTGTCACCTTGATTGCTATCCAGGAGACATCCTGAGCCACAGGGCCTAGCTAAGCCTGTCTGATTCCTGCCCACAGAAACTATGAGATAGTTCATGTGTGTTGTCTTAAGCTGCTAAGTAATTTGTAATGCAACAAGATAACTAATACACCTCCAAAATGAAGGCAGTGTCCACTGAAGGAGGAAGAACTAAGAGCAGATAGATGGTACCTGTGATGGGAGCCACTGAGTCACAGAATCTCCTGGGGAAGAAGGAAACTAACCTCTTCCTATCCCCCTATTTAATGCTGGCATCTGCTGTCCTCTGCTGTGGTAACAGGGAACTATCTCCCAAGGAGTCCCTTCCACTCAAAATCAGCTCTAATTGCCAAGAAAGGCCTTTCTGGCTGGGTGCAGTGGCTCACACCTGTAATTCCAACACTTTGGAAGGCTGAAGTGGGAGAGCTGCTTGAGTCCAGGAGCTCGAGGCCAGCCTGGGCAATATAGTGAGACCCCATCTCGACCAAAAAAAATACAAAAAATTAGCCAAGTGTGGTGGCACACACCTATAGTCCCTTAGTCCCTGCTACTCAGGAGGGCTGAAGTGGGAGGATCTCTTAAGCCCAGGAGGTCAAGGCTGCAGTGAGCCATGGTCACACCACTGCACTCCAGCCTGGCAACAGAGCTGAGACCCTGTCTTTAAAAAAAGAAAAGAAAAGAAAGGCGATGGGAGGGGAGGGAAGGAGAGGAGAGGAGGGGAAAGACCCTGCTACCTAGAAAACAACCTTTATTCCTGTAACCTTACCCCACCCACTGCGATTGTCCTGATTCTGCCCTTAGGACCACAGAAAGCAAGCCTAATTTCCTCTTTTCAACATGGTATAAACATGTAGGTATGAGTTCAAATCCTAGCTCTGCCACTTACAAGCTGCGTTATCCTGAACAGGTCCCATAACTCTTCAGGGCATCATCTGTAAAATGGAGATAACAGCACCTGCCTTGTAGGGCTATGTTAGGCTTTAAGATAAACTCATAGTGTTCTTAGCACAAATCTTGAATTACAGCAGGTGCTCAATATTATTCCCCATGACTACTATGGCAGATTAGACATGCTTGAAATTTGTTGACTCCTCCCTTCAAGACAGGGGGTCTTGTTCCCCTCCTCTTGAATCTGGGCAGGTTCTGTCACTGCTTGACCAATAGAATATGGTGCAAGCGACCTGTGCTAGTTTCAGGGTCCAGGGCTTAAGAGACTTGCAGCTACCACTTCCATCTCTTGAAACTCTCAACTGTATGACCTGACTCTAATTGCCCTGAGGCCACCATGCTGAAGAAGCCACATGTAGAGCTCTGGTCAACAGTTCCAGCTGAGCCCAGCCTCCAGCCATCCCTGCCAAAGTGCCAGATGTGTGACTGAAGCCATCTTAGATTCTCCAGACCAGCCCATCCACCAGCCGAACAGCACCAAGTGACCTCAGCTAATGAAACAAAAGAATCGCCCAAGTGAGCACTGCTCCAACTCCAGACCCACGAATCCAGGAAAGACAATAAGATGGTCATTGTTTTAAGCTCCTAAATTGTGGGTAATTGGTTGCATAGCTACAGATAACTGGGGCAACCATTGCCAAATATTTGAAGGTAACTGTTCACTTCCAGATTGAACCTGCCTACCTCTCTCAGCTGATGCTCACATGATAGGGTTTTGGGCCTTAGGACCCCTGTGATCAGCTGTCTTCTGGACAATGGGAGCCCAACAATGAACACAGCCTTCAGGGCAGAGGGGGGTTCTGCCCAACTATGCCAGTTAGGACTCTATCTGGAATAATTTAAGCAAAAAAGGAAATGATTGGCTCATAATGGCTTCAGGCATGGCTGGATCCAGGTGTTCCAAGATATTGTCAGGCTCCATTTCCTTTGTGATTATTTTATTTTTGGGCTCTTCTCACGGAGCCAAAAAGCTTTAGAAACTCACTCAGCTTCACATTCTCTCAGGTACAAGTCCAGATGGAAAGACTATCTGCCATTCTCCCAGCATTCCCAGCAAAAGTATCACTGATTCTCTTTGGTTGGTGGCTGTGTGGCCCAATCAGAGCCAATTACTGTGACTAGGTAGGTGGAATGGCCTAGGAGCTCACAGATGGGACATACGCCATCAAAACCATATGGACTGGTAATAAGGAGGGGTAGTTCTTCAAAGGAAAACCAAGGATATCATCACAGGGGAAGGACAAGTGGATGGCTGGGCAGCAGATCTATATATATCCACCCCTGCAGCTAAAAGGAGAATGAAAAACATAACCTCTCTCATTCTACATGGCATACCTCTCTTAATGCAGCCCAGGGTCACGTCATCACTTCACATTGATGACTCACAACAGATATTCAGGGGGATGTTTTTCCTTATCTAATATCGCTTGGTTTCACTCCCTCATCCTCTGCCAAGTCAGGGATGCAAACATGCACATGGGTCCTCCCTCTTCACCTCTGTCCCAAGCACAGTGAAGCTTCTGGGGGCATGGAGATGAACAGACTAGGCCTGTGGCCTGCTCCACCTTCCCTGAGTCATTATCCTTCTCTCCCCTCAGAGTCAAAGTGATTCAAAAGAGACAGCTCAGGCCCACAAGCAAGTTTTACCGCCAACATGGCTGGCACAAACCCAGGGCTAGAACCAATGCTTTAGGGCTAGAACCAATGCTTTTGAGGGCAAAATAAGCCCTTCTGTTTCTTCACAGAGTTGGATTGTTTGCCTTGAGTGCATAGGTGACCATCTGAGTTATTAGCAACCAGGGATTTGGTATATAATACTGTGCATACATAAATAACAACAACAAAATTGGTCCACTGCCCAGAGAGCTCTCGATCCACAGAGCTGCCAGACATCATGAGATTTCAAAAGATCTTGGCTCTAAAATCAGAGGATGTTTGGATATAAATTCTAGTACAACCCAGTCATTTGACAGATGAGTAAACCAGGGATCAGAAGAGTCCAGGCATGTAATTGCCCCAAGGTCACTGAGTAAGTGAGTGGCCGAGTGACCACTGAAATTTAGTCCATCTGAGAGCTCGCCCCCCTGCCCTGTGCGGTGTTTTTACAAGAGTGAGCACGCAGGTTCCAGGGTGGTCAAGAGGTGTTTACTTTCATTTTGTAGTCGGCCTTCATACAAGGTGGGGGCTGGGAAGGGAAGAGCAGTCCAGGCCATTACCCCCATGAATTCATTTGACAAATATTTATTAAGCGTCTACTGCAAACTTGGCCCGGTGCTGGAAGCTGAAGACACAATTCCAGAGGCAGACAATGACTGCCCTTGGCATTTCCAGTGGTCAGGGGTTGGTGAGGAGGGGCAGAGACACCAATCCAAGAGTCCCCGCAGTTTATACATACCACAGGCACGGAAAGCGCCAGGAGGGGAAAGAACAGGATGTTTACCAGCACCTTCCACAGGCAGCCACGGTCATGGGGGTCAGGACAGGGTCCCCAGAGGAAGTGACGATTCGGCTGAGCTAGAAAGACATTTCCACAGGAACTTACAGTAAGGGCTGCAAGGACAGCCTGTCCTCCCCCGCCCACCACCTCACTAAACTTTCACTGTGGCAATCGGCATTCCCTAAGCCTGCCAGGAAGCTTCCAGTAACCACTTCCTGACTCCTAGCATGACACACTTCGGGCCTTCCAAGGTTGACGATCTAAGGCCCTTACACAGCGCCAGACACGCGCAGGCAGGGAGGCAGGATGTGCCTCTCCAGACAGGAATGTGGACGCCACCTGGGCTCTTCCCCTCAGCCTCCACAGGGGAAGAATATTCTTGTGGGGTTTTTCCCTTCCAAATGTCTCAGGGCGATTCCAGTGTTCCCGCTAGTTCCTCCCTCCCAGGCTAGAACACAAATCCTTCCCACTCCCTGCCTGGCAAACACCTTCTGACCCTCAGGCCCAAGGCAATGGCCCACCTCCTCCCAGGCTGGATGGGGTCTCCTCCTCTCTGTTCCCCCAGCCCCTGAGCTTCCTGAGGACCAAGCTTGTGGCTTCTTCTCCTTACTCTTCCTCCTTGGTGTCTCTATGTTAGAGGGCCGTTAGCATCTGCTGGGGCCTGGTCGCATTCACCCTGCTCTGCCACTCACTGGCTGTGTGACTCTGGACAAATTAACTTCTCTGGACCTGCAGTTTCTCCTCTCTACAATGAGAATACTGGAGAGTCCTTATCTTATGGGTTGCTACAGAATTAAGTGACATCTCACACACAACACACTTCCTACAGTCCCTGTTACACGCTAAAAGTACTCAACATGCAACGGATACGTCATCAGTAACCACCCCACGGGTTTACTGTGATGCTGCACAATTATTAAGCCTTGGCTGCTACAGAGTTGTAACCTGTCTGCACTTCCAACCGGTTTGGGAATGCAAGCAGCATTCCCAAGTCCCGCTTTCACCCGCGCGCTAACGGCTCAGGTTCGAGTACAGGACAGGAGGGAGGGGAGCTGTGCACACGGCGGAGGCGCACGGCGTGGGCACCCAGCACCCGGTACACTGTGTCCTCCCGCTGCACCCAGCCCCTTCCGCGCCGAGGCGTCCCCGAGGCGCAAGTGGGCCGCCTTCAGGGAACTGACCGCCCGCGGCCCGTGTGCAGAGCCGGGTGCGCCCGGCCCAGTGCGCGCGGCCGGGTGTTTCGCCTGGAGCCGCAAGTGACTCAGCGCGGGGCGTGTGCAGGCAGCGCCCGGCCGGGGCGGGGCTTTTGCACTCGTCCCGGCTCTTTCTAGCTATAAACACTGCTTGCCGCGCTGCACTCCACCACGCCTCCTCCAAGTCCCAGCGAACCCGCGTGCAACCTGTCCCGACTCTAGCCGCCTCTTCAGCTCGCCATGGATCCCAACTGCTCCTGCGCCGCCGGTAAGAGGCTGGGGATGCCCAGTGTAGACTGTAGCGCTAGAGAAGCAATTTCTGACCCCTCTTTCTTTCTCTGGTCACTCAATTTCAGGACAGGAGTTGCTCCTTCCCAAAGAGTTTTGGGGTATCTTTCTCTCCATTCTAGGTTATTCGGAGCCCCCTTTTTACCGTTAAGGAGATCTGAGTTAATGGCTTGCTCAAGTTCCCAGGAATCGGTTGTGGACTGAGGAACTCGGCCCCGGGCTCTTAGTACGCCGTCCCTTGTTCAGGTATCCAGGGACGGTTCTCACCTCTGTCTTTTCTCCTTGCAGGTGACTCCTGCACCTGCGCCGGCTCCTGCAAATGCAAAGAGTGCAAATGCACCTCCTGCAAGAAAAGTAAGTGGGATCCTCTCTTTCCTCTACCCCTTCCCTGTCCTCCAGCCTGTCCCCTCTCCACCATCCTCAGGGGAATTAAAGCAGTCTGGGGATGCCCCATTGCGCGGAAATTGTTGCCTCCTCAGTGATCCTTATCAGGGAGAGCAGGAATCCTTATTCCCGGTGTCGCTAGTACTCATCTCTGCCGCCTCCTGTCTGCCCCCAGGCTGCTGCTCCTGCTGCCCTGTGGGCTGTGCCAAGTGTGCCCAGGGCTGCATCTGCAAAGGGGCGTCGGACAAGTGCAGCTGCTGCGCCTGATGCTGGGACAGCCCCGCTCCCAGATGTAAAGAACGCGACTTCCACAAACCTGGATTTTTTATGTACAACCCTGACCGTGACCGTTTGCTATATTCCTTTTTCTATGAAATAATGTGAATGATAATAAAACAGCTTTGACTTGATTCTGTCTCTGGTTTCCTTTATATGCCTTAAAAATAACGGACTGGGGTGAGGGATTGAACTGGGAGGGCAGAGACCTGGGCTGTGGATGGAAATGTGAGCCGTTAAGAAAGAGTGCATTCTGGCAAGCCAGGCTACTGCACTGAGCTTCAGCTTCTGTAAAACTGAATGGCGCTGTGCCAGATCATATGGGAGCAGGAGGGACACATACATGATCACTTTCAGTTTCACGTCAAATGTGGCACAGAAACTTCTCCATTCCTCACTTTTACTTTCAATTTCCCTGCCCAACTTCAGTTCTTCGTGGGATTTTAGACTTGAAAGTGACTACAGAGGGTGAAATCCAACTCCCCAGTGGCTGGAATCTGACATCCGGTTTCCCAAACTCCCTGTGGGGAATGACCAGTTTTGTTTTGTTTTGTTTTGTTCTCCATTAGTCACAGACCTAAACTCTGGTAAAATAAGGAGTTAATAAGAAAATGAAAGTTTAAAAGACACAAAATACAAAGACAATTTTTTAGATTCAACAGGAACTTTTCAATAAATATATGAACAAATTAACATAGGAAAAATAAAAGAATTACCAACACTACACATTTGTCCAAGGGTGTGCATTGCATCCTGGAAACAGTTCTCAGACTGGCCCCAGTGCGTGGCTGGCACACCCTGAGCAGCACTGATCCAGACATCCCCACAAGGAACCGTCAGGCTTGTGCTGCCCAGTGTCACTGACAGGACACTCACTCGCACACCCCTGAGAGCTCCCTGTTTTGCCTTGGTTCTGAATCTTTGTAAGTTCCTCCCAAGGTCAGGCTGAATTTACTCCTCTCAAATTTCAGCCGTTGGCTACTTAAACCGTCAAAGTGGCTGGGGATGTGGAGGGAAATGCCCAGCATGTTCCCAGCAAGATGCAGTGTGTGTGATCATGGGTTGCAGAAGACGTTCTTCCTGTCTGCCCACGCAGGGGTGATGGCATTCAGCAGTTTGGAGGGTGTGGTGGCGCTCTTTAGAAAGGAGTGAAGCTCTGAGTGACTTGTAATTAAAGCCAACGGTTAGTCCCCCTGGCTATGCGGAGGGAATGTTATTTGATGTTCAGTCAAAGAGGAGGATGAGTGCCTTGGCCCAGGAATCAGGAGCACACTTGCCTGAAGGTGCTCCTTATAGAGTTTTAGAAGGCAACCTGAGCCAAGGGCATGGGTTTTCATGTCAGGCAGTCCTAGTTCACAGCCCACTTTACCACTTCCTGGCTGTGTGGCCTGGGCAAGTCACTCAACCTCTCTGAGCCTACATTTCCTCATCTGTAGAAAAAAGATGGTATCCCTATTTATGGATTAAATGAGATCTTGGCCTGGCTCCTGGCTAGGGTTTAATGACCACTAGGATCACTCTGTTTACATGGACTTTGTTGGAGACAGAATCTCTCTTGATAAGCTCTTGGGGAAAAACGGGTCTGGGAAGAATTACTCTGGGTCAGAGGCTGGGGAGTGGAATGAAGCTTTCCTGACTGTGTACCAGGGGGAGGGTGGATGACTTCCTGCACAAAGCCCTCTGGGATTAAGATGCTGCCACAGCATTTGAACAAACGTAAGAACCATTCTAATTTTTCCTATCATTTGAATACCCCATGAGCCAGTGAAAGAGTGACCGTGCAGGGACGAAACTGATTCTGTCATCTTCCAGATGTCATTTTCCCTTCCAAATGTCTCAGGGTGATTCCAGTGTTCCCGCTAGTTCCTCCCTCCCCAGGCTAGAACACAAATCCTTCCCCCTCCCTGCCTGGCAAACACCTTCTGACCCTCAGGCCCAAGGCAATGGCCCACCTCCTCCCAGGCTGGATGGGGTCTCCTCCTCTCTGTTTCCCCAGCCCCTGAGCTTCCTGAGGACCAAGCTTGTGGCTTCTTGCCCTTATTCTTCCTCCTTGGTGTCTCTATGTTAGAAGGCCGTTAGCATCTGCTGGGGCCTGGTTGCATTCACCCTGCTGTGCCACTCACTAGCTGTGTGACCCTGGACAAGTAACTTCTCTGGACCTGCAACCTGCCCAAGGTCACTCAGCTTAGAAGTCAGAGGCTGGAACCTTCACTACAGTTGGCCTCTCATCTTGGCTACAGCTGGCAGATCATGATGTCACTGGGCTCTAAGCCCTGCCTCTCAGAGTTCAGAGCTGGGTCAGCCCTTGGTCAGTTAGTCCAATTGTGTCCCTGGCTTGAGAGGTGGCATACTGAAGCCAAGAGAGGTCACAGAGCTATGCAGAGAGCATGACTGCCAGCTCAGTGCTCTTTCTACTGCTGCCTCACTGCCAGATTTTCAGTGTCCTTGTTTTTCACGGAACATGGTGACATAGGGTGGTGGTTGAGGGCATTATGATGCAGTCAGCATGCATTGGTGCAAAACCTAGCTGTGTCACTTATACCTGAGTGACACAACCTCTCTGTGGCTCAGTCTCCTCTACTGTAAGATAGGCTGAATAATAGGGTCTGGCTGGTGACAGCAAATGACTTAATACATGCAAAGAACTTAGAATGGCACCTGCCATGTATCAAGCAGACTACAATATTATCTATGATTTTATTTTATTTTGTTTTATTTTATTCTATTTTATTTTATTTTATTTTTTTGAGACAAAGTTTCACCCTGTCACCCTGGCTGGAGTGCAGTGGGGTGATCTCAGCTCACTGCAACCTGCACCTCCTAGGCTCAGGTGATCCTCCCATCTCAGCCTCCTGAGTAGCTGGGACTACAGGCACATGCCACCCCACCTGGTTAATTTTTATATTTTTAGTAGCAATGAGGTTTCACCATGTTGTCCAGGCTGGTCTTGAACTTCTGGGCTCAAGTGATCCGCCCACCTCTGGCTCCCAAAATGCTGGGATTACAGACATGAGCCACCACACCCAACCTAGCTATAATTTTATTATCTTTATTCATAGCATAGGGACGTTTTTCTACCTCCAGACCAATAAGCCAGGCCTGCTGTTCCTAGCCATGTGAGCTCTACATTCCTCATCAACTATCTGAGCATGTTAACTGTGGTCCAGAGAGTCTTCAGTCTTCCCGTGAAATTCTGATCAGCACTGGACATAGAAAACCATGAGCAGGACAGTCCACGCCCTTGTGGTACATACAAACAGATGCCTGCCATATCTGCTACCACCTACACCACAATTTTACCTAAAAATTCTCCTTTAAATGATTCATATTTTCCAAGATATATTTGTATTACTCATGGTTTTCCCCAAGACACAGAACCAATAAAATGTCCCTAGATAGATAGTGATAAAAAGAAAGCTTTAAGAAATTAGCTGATGTGATTGTGGGGATGGCTGGTCTAAACTTTGCAAGGCTGGCTGGCAGCATGGGAATTCTGTCAGAAGTTGATGTTACAGTCTTTCATCTGAAGGCGGTCTACAGGTAGAATTCCTTTCTCTTCCAGGGACCTCAGTCTTTCCTTTTAAGGCCTTCAACTGATTGGATGAGGCCCACACACATTATAATGAGTAATCTGCTTTATTCAAAATGTATTGATTTATTTTATTTTATTTTTTGAGACAGTCTAGCTCTGTCACCCAGGCTGGAGTGCAGTGGTGCGATCTCAGCTCACTGCAACCTCTGCCTCCCGGGTTCAAGCAATTCTCCTGCCTCAGCCTCCCAAGTAGCTGGGATTACAGGCATGCACCACCATGCTAATTTTTGTATTTTTCAAAGAGCAGCTAATTTTTGTATTTTATTTAACAGATTAAGCAGCTAATTTTTGTATTTTTAACAGAGAAAGGGTTTCACCATGTTATCTAACTCCTGGCCTCAAGTGATCCACCCACCTCAGCCTCCCAAAGTGCTGGGATTATAGACATGAGCTACCATGCCCAGCCAAAACCTACTAATTTAAATGGTAATCAGGTCTAAAAAACACTTTCACAGCAACATCTATATTAATGTTTGACCAAGCAACTGGGTATGATAACCTAGCCAAGCTGACCCATAAAACTAACCATTGCAGTCCACCACTTGTTAATTTGGCATACATAAACATCTCCTTAAACTATACTTAATGTTAAAACAAGGTCACACCTCCACCTAATGTGAAACAACTGTCCTGTGTATGCCTGAAATGACACAAACTCTCTCCCCAAAAGTGACTGCAAAATCCTTGAGGAATGTTCCTTGACATCCTATAACTTAAATACTATGATATAAAGTTAGCAATATTTAAATATTGTGATGTAAAGTTAATACATCCTCTGTTACATGACAAAGGGATAAGAGATGGAAGAAAACAAAAATATTTGCCACACATGCATACACACACACACACACACACACACACACACATTTATAACAACATAATGAAGAAATACCCATAACAATGACATTCCTCATTTCCTTACCTGTAACTGGTCACATGGTCATAGCTGCTATTTATAACTTTCTTCTTTTATGACCTATTATTCCATTTGCTTTCAGTAAACACCTCAGCCAATGGTGGTTCTTTACTTGGTGGGGTGACCTAAACCTTCATTCTGGAAGGGTCTGGGCCATGCATTCCTGTCCCAGTTGGGTTGTTAAAGTTTTCCATTGGCTTCAATCACAGGACATGGTAGTAATAAGAGACACCCTAAGGGATCTCTTGTATTCCAGACATCCTCCTCCTTACCTTGATTGCAGAGATTGTGATTACCAAGAAGTAGCCACAATCACCCTAGCCAGAATAGTGACTCCTTTCTTTGCCTGTTTTGTTGTTGTTGTTGTTGTTTCTTTTCTTTTCTTTTCTTTTCTTTTTTTTTTTTTGAGACGGAGTTTCGCTTTTGTTCCCTAGGCTGGAGTGCAATGGCACGATCTCAGCTCACCACAACCTCCGCCTCTTGTGTTCAAGCAATTCTCCTGACTTGCCTCCTGAGTAGCTGGGATTACAGGCATGCACCACCATGCCCGGCTAATTTTGTATTTTTAGTAGAGATGGGGTTTCTCCATGTTGGTCAGGCTGGTCTCAAGCTCCTGACCTCAAGTGATCCACCTGCCTCGGCCTCCCAAAGTTCTGGGATTACAGGTGTGAGCCACAGTGCTGGCCTCTTTGCCTGTTGATCCAGAAGTCTAAGGACTCAATGTGGCCTGGTGGGAGTCATAACTTCCAGTTTGATGGAATCATTGTGTCTCCCAAGGAAGCATTCCTCCTTTTGGACTAATACCTTGAGACCAGTAAAGCATAAAGTCATGGGGACAGGAAGCAGATATTTTGATTCTACAGATGAGTAAGATTTTTGTAGGCTGACTCCTCTATTTGCTCATACAACCACCATGATCAACTAGCCAACACCACAGGTCTCTGTGACTCATACTATTCTTTTTATTTGAGATAGGGTCTCACTCTCTCATCTAGGCTGGAAAGCAGTGTCACCAACATGGCTCACTGCAGCCTCAACCTCCAAGGCTCAAGTGATCCTCCCACCTCAGCCCCCAAAGTAGCTACAACTACAGGCAGGCACCAACACATCCAACTGATTTTTGTATTTTTGGAGGGGTAGAGACAGGGTTTCGCCATGCTTGTCAGGCTGGTCTCAAACTCCTGAGCTCAAGTGATCCACCTGCCTCAGCCTCCCAAAGTGCTAGGATTATAGGCGTGATCCACTGCACCTGGCCTGCAAGTCATCCTATTCTGCTTTGACTGTGCCATCCATGACAATAACCAGGCCCATGCTGCCTTTGGCAATTAAGTGCTGTCCTTTGGCCCCTGCCACATTGGGGCCAAATTATTGCCATTGCATATAGGATTCCCAATTCAGTGGCAGCAGTTTCCACTGAATTTCTACCTGCAGAAAAGAGTGACCACAGAGCTCTTCCAGGATGCTAGGGCGCCCCTCACAAATTTATTTCTCACAGATGTGGTGAAAGTGGTGTCCTTTGGACACTCCCAGGTTGAATGGGCAGGTAACACTTGATAAATCCCCTCTGATGTCTGTTTTACTCAAAGACTACTGATTTAAATGTTAATCACATCTTAAAAAATAACTTTGCTGCAATATCTAGGCTGGTATTTGACCAAGGAACTGGGCACTTTGCCTAGTCAAGTTGACACATAAAATTAATCATCACATATATTTAAATGAACGCAAAGTCTTTACCAATGCTAAAATCAAGAATCAGTCTTACTTACAGACATATCGATTACTCTAATGTGTATTTTGTGTATATACACATATTTAATAAATTTCCCATCTCCATCACTTTTCAAGCTGTCCAGGGTCGAGATTGATGCTTCTCCCTGATTAAAAAATTTCTCTTTTTTTTGTTTTGAGACGGAGTCTCGCTCTGTCACCCAGGCTAGAGTGCAGTGGCGCGATCTTGGCTCACTAGAAGCTCCGCCTCCCGGGTTAACACCATTCTTCTGCCTCAGCCTCCCGAGTAGCTGGGACTACAGGCACCAACCACCACGTCCGGCTAACTTTTTGTATTTTTTTAGTAGAGACGGGGTTTCACCATATTAGCCAGGATGGTCTTGATCTCCTGACCTCATGATCCGCCCGCCTCGGCCTCCCAAAGTGCTGGGATTGCAGGCATGAGCCACCGTGCCCGGCCCCTGATTAAAAAATTTCAAGCAGACCAGCACAGGGGCTCACGCCTGTAATCCCAGCACTTTGGAAAACCAAGGTAGGTGGATCACTCGAGCCCAGGAGTTTGAGACCAGCCTGACTGAGCAACATGATGAAATCTTGTCTCTACAAAAAAAAAAAAAAAAAAAAAAAAAAAAAAAAAAGAGCAAAAAATTAGCCAGGCATGATGGCCTGCACCTGTAGTTTCAGCTACTCGGGAGGCTGAGGTGGGAGGATAGATTGAGCCCAGGAGACTGAGGCTACAGTGAGCCATGATCTCATCACTGAACTCCAGCCTGGATGACAGAGTGAGACCCTGTTTCAAAACAATGATAATAATAACAATTGTAAGCAGCACAGTGGTGTTGAAGACATATCTCGACCAAAAGAAATCGTTATGTTTTCTTTCCTCCTCTTGGGAAGCTGGCTGGATTCAGGTAGAGTGGCACCATTTCACAGAGCCATAACCTTGGGCAAATTACTAAGGCTCTTTGTGCCTTAGTTTTTCCATTGGAAAAACGTGTTTAGAATAGTATTTCCCTTTTATTGTTCTTGAGGGGGCTCAAAAAACTAAAGTGATTAAACAGACTCACGCAGATTGTTGTGTAATAGGAAAATTGAAAGGTAAATAATCACTTCTTGCTTTCTTATTTAACGTAGGTTCTGCATCCTCCGGATCTGGAGTCACCTAAGCAGATCCCGCCCTTGGGAGCACTCCGCATTTTCAGGACTACTCTCCTGGAGTTGGGTGGGCGCGCTAGGGGCTTTGGAGGAGCCCCTGCAGAATTTTATGTAAAGGAGGCCCCAGACAAATGTGCCCATACAACCTCTCAGGAATGGGGAATGGAAGGGAGGGCTCGCCTCCACCGTGTTGCTGGGCTCAAGAGAAAGTGGCAGAAGGACCATGGCGGGGATAGTGACAGGCAATGCTGGAGGGCAGGAGGACAGAAAGTAAGGGTCACGTCCATGACTGTTCTCTGCACACAACTCCCTCGCTGCGCTCCCCAGCTCAGGCCTACCCAGGGACGAAGCTGGGGTTGCACACCGGCTCCGGGAATGGCGAAATACCGCAGATGGGGTGGTGGGGGTGGGAATATCGCGACCACCAGAGGCTGGGTTCCCGGAACGCTCGGGGACGGAGATGGCCAGCAACCACAAGGAAATGGGGAATATGGGGAAGTTGCGCGGGCAGGACGGCACGGACGCCGCGGACGACCGGGCGCACAGGCCTGAGCGAGCGAGCGAGTGAGCGGGTGCCAAGCAAGAGACCCGCGGTGCACACCTTGCGCCCGGCCGGCCTGCTGCTCACAGTCCCTCCACGTACCCACAGGAGGCCCAGACTCAGCGGGGCGGGTGCAAGCGCGGGGCGGGGCCTCTGCGTCCGGTCCCATCTCCGCCTGCAAAAGGAGCAGCTGGCTCCAGGCTCCAACGTGCCTTCCAGCTGCCTGACTGCCTCTTCGCCTCTCCCGTCATTTCTTGGCTCGAAATGGACCCCAACTGCTCCTGCGCCACTGGTAAGGGAACCCCGGCTCTGCGCCTGGGAATGCCCAATTCCCAGCCACAGTACAGTGTCCCTGCGTTTGAGGAGGTCGCATTTTGAGCTCTGAGCAGACGGGAACCCTTTACTTCGTCCAGTACTTTCTTCTTGGAATAGCTCCTGAGAGCATTGCCCTCCTCACTGTGCCTCTATGTCAGAGTTGAGTGTCCTGAGGCTCAAGGCTGTCCTGTTTCACATCACCTGGTTGATCAGGGGGCTGCTGGCCAAGCCCCAATGCTCTGTCTAGGCTCTAAGCAAGCAGGGTGGGTGGGAGGCAGGGAACACTGTCTTTGAGATTCAGGACAGGAGGTTTTGGCCCCCAATCCCAGTCCTCCTGTGTTGTGTGTGTATCTGGGACCTTCCTGGTGGGGTGAAATAGGAGGGTGCTTGCCCTTCCCAGCACGAGTGGAGAGGACATGGGGCTTGTCTTTCTCTGCTCTAAGTGGGAAAGGAGCTCTGAGGGCTGGCCCTGCACAGAGGATGGCGCACACTGGAGACTCATTGACCCACTGCTGTACCTTCTTCCTCTCACTCACTGCCCACTGCGTTTTTCTCTTCCTTGCAGGGGGCTCCTGCTCCTGTGCCAGCTCCTGCAAGTGCAAAGAGTGCAAATGAACCTCCTGCAAGAAGAGTGAGTGCGGGGCCATCTCCAGGAATCTGGGGCTGTGGCTAAGGTTGGGAGGGAACTCCAGGCTGGCCTGGAGTGCATGCTTCTGGGGAACGCCTTTCTTTGCCCCTGTTGGCCATGTCATTCCCTCTCCAGGCTTTCTGCTCTGAGCTCGAATGTGGCAGGGCAGCCTTTTTCTTTTGAGACACAAACTCCAAAGGTACCACCTGCGGTCTTAGAACAGAGCTGTACCAACCTAAAAAATCATCCTCTGGGTCTGGAGTCTGAGCTCGAACCAGGCCTGCTGTTGGGCCAGGGAAGTGCCTGATTGAGTCCGCTCTGACCTCTCACTCTCCCTTTTCCCCCAGGCTGCTGCTCCTGCTGCCCCATGGGCTGTGCCAAGTGTGCCCAGGGCTGCGTCTGCAAAGGGGCGTCGGAGAAGTGCAGCTGCTGTGCCTGATGTGGGGACAGCCCTGCTCCCAGATGTAAACAGAGCAACCTGCACAAACCTGGATTTTTTTTTCATACAACCCTGAGCATTTGCTACATTCCTTTTTCTATTAAATATGTAAACGACAATAAAACAGTTTTGACTTGATTCGGACCCTCCTTTCCTTTGTGTGGCTTTGAATTAATGGACCAGGGTTAGGGATTGAACCTGGAGTTTAGAGACCCAGGCTCTGGATGGACATGTGAGTCGCTAACAATCTGAGCGCCTCCTGACAAGCCAGGTTACCTCACTGAGCTTCATCTTCTATAAAAGGGAATTGCACTGTGCCAGGTCATAATGGGGGGACATCTATGATCACCTCTGGTCATATCAATTGTGGCACAGAAACTTCTCCATCTCTCGTTTTTATTTTCTGATTTCCCTGCCCAATTTCAGTTTCCTCTTCAGATTTTAGGCTTCAAAGAGATGACAGGGGTGGAATCCAATTCCTCAGCTGCTTGATTCCCACACCGGGCTTCTCAAACTCCATGGTGAAGGAAATTTTTACTACCTATGCATCCCAGATATAAACCTTTTTTTTTTAATTTTGGCATGTAAAACACTGATTTCAGAAAATACACTTTTAAAACTTTGTTGTTTATACAAAAAGAGATACATTTCTCAGGAGGCAGATAGCAAAATGTCACTGTGGATCAGAGCCTGATGAAACTAGCAATTTTAGCCTGGCATAGTCCCAGCTACTTGGGAGGCTGAGGTGAGAAGATTAGTTGAGCCCGGGAGGCGGAGGTTGCAGTGAGCCAAGATTGTGCCACTGCATTTCAGTCTGGGTGGCAGAGTGAGGCCCTATCTCAAAAAATAAAAAGTAAAATAAAATAAAAATAAACTAACAATGTTTCAAAATCTGGTTACAAAGAAGAAAAGGGAAGCCATCTCAAGGCTGAGATGTTGCTACCTGCTCCCCCAACCCCCGACCCCTGACACCAAGTGACACTGAGGCTGGGGAAGGCTGCACGGCCTGAGCCTTGGTGCTCCAGATGGACACTTCTTTCAAAATCTTGGCTTTGGCCAAAACATGGCAAGTTGATGAGTAAACTGTCCTGCTGAGAGGTGTGGTGGAGGATACGTCCTCTTAGGTGGGAAGATAAAAATAATTATGTCAATGATGGAGAAAATGAAATCAAACACAAAATACAAAACACAATTTTTCACATTTAACAGGAAAGAATTCAATAAATGCATAAAGAAGTAACAGAAAAATTGGCCAGGCATGGTGTCTCATGCCTGTAATCCCAGCACTTTGAGAGGCCGAGGTAGGCGGATCACCCGAGGTCAGGATTTTGAGACCAGCCTGAACAATACGGTGAAACTCCGTTTCTACTAAAAATACAAAAATTAGCCGGGCGTGGTGGCAGGCACCTGTAATCCCAGCTACTCAGGAGGCTGGGGCAGGAGAATCACTTGAACCTGGGAGGTGGAGGTTGCGGTGAGCCGAGAACATGCCACTGCACTCCAGCCTGGGTGACAGAACAAGACTCCATCTCAAAAAAAAAAAAAAATAGTAACAGAAAAATTGAAGATTTACAAACTCTGCACATATGTTCACGAGTGATGTACACTGCAGACTGGAAACGTTGGGCTGGTCCCATTGTGTGAATCACACACTTTCATCCGCACTGGCCACGACAACCTCACAAGGATACCATCAGCTGGGCTGAGGGCAATGGCTCAACCTTGTAATCCTAGCACTTTGAGAGGATGAGGCCAGCAGATTGCTTGACCTCAGGAGTTCGAGACCTGCCGGGGCAACACAGCGAAACCTGTCTCTACAACAAGTGCAAAATTTAATTGGGCTTGGTGACGTGTGCCTGTACTCCCAGCTACTCAGGTGGGGGGTGAGGCGGGGGGGGTAAGGTGGGAGGATCTCTTGAGCCCAGGAGGTGAATGTTGCAGTGAGCAGAGATCTTGACACTGCACTCCAGCCTGGTTGATAGAGCAAGACTCTGAAAGAAAGAAGAAAGAAGAAAGAAAGAAAGGAAGAAAGAAAGGAAGAAAGAAAGAAAGAAAAAAAGAAAGAAGAAAGAAAAAAGAAAAAAGGATACAATTAGCTTTAGCCTGCCCAGCATCACAGGACACTTGCTGACACCTGAGAGTTCCCTGTTGTGACTTGGCTCTGAATCTTTGAAAGTTCTGCCCAAGCTCATTCTCAGCAAACTATCGTAAGGACAAAAAATCAAACACCGCATGTTCTCACTCATAGGTGGGAATTGAACAATGAGAACACATGGACAGGGAACATCACACACCAAGGGACTGTCGTGGGGTGGGGGGAGGGGGGAGGGATAGCATTAGGAGATATACCTAATGTAAATGACGAGTTAATGGGTGCAGCACACCAACATGGCACATGTATACATATGTAACAAACCTGCACGTTGTGCACATGTACCCTAAAACTTAAAGTATAATAACAATTAAAAAAAAAAAAAGAAAGTTCTGCCCAAGCTCAAGCTGAATTTTCCCTTTCAAATTTCAGCCCTTGACTGTATCAATCCATCAAAGTGACTGGGGCTGTGGAGGGAAGAGCCGACCATTTTCCCAGCAAGATGCAGTGTGTGTAATCATGGGTTGCAGATGTTCCTGTTTGCCCTTGCAGGAGTGATAGCAGGTCCTGCAGTTTGGGGAGTGTGGGGGTGCTCATTAGGAAAGAGTGAGGCCCTAGCTGACTTCTAATTAAAGCCAATGATTAGTGCTCCCTGGCTATGTGGAGGGAATCCTATTTGATGTTCAATCAAAGAGAAAGATGAGTCTCTTGGCCTAGAGGTCAGGGCCCACTTACTCCCTGTTTCCCTGTGACGAGATTTCAGAAGGCAGCCTGAGCCTAGGGCATGGGTTTTGCTGTCAGGCAGTCCTGGTTCACAGCCTACTTCATCACCGAAAAAAAAAAAAAAAAAAAGTGAGAGTCTCATCTCTGAAAGAGAAAAAAAGCAACTTTGGAACTGGGTAACAGGCAAGAGTTGGAACAGTTTGGAGGGCTCAGAAGAAGAAAGAAAAATGTGGGAAAGTTTGGAACTTCCTAGAGACTTGTTGAATGGCTTTGCCCAAAATACTGATAGTGATACAGACGATAAAGTCCAGGCTGAGGTAGTCTTATATGGAAATGAGGGACTTGCTGGGAACTGGAGCAAAGGTGACTTTTGTTATGTTTTAGCAAAGACACTGGTGGCATTTTGCATTTGCCCTAGAGATATGAGGAACTTTGAACTTGAGAGAGATGATTTAGGGTGTCTGGTGGAAGAAATTTCTAAGCAGCAAAACATTCAAGAGGTGACTTGTGTGCTATTAAAGGCATTCAGAATTATAAGGGGAACAGAGCATAAAAGCTTGGAAAATTTGCACCCTGACAATGCAATAGAAAAAAAAAATCCCATTTTCTGAGGAGAAATTCAAGCTGGCAGCAAAAATTTGCATAAATAACAAGGAGCAGAATGTTAATCCCCAAGACAATGGGGAAAATGTCTCCAGGGCATGTCAGAGGACTTCACAGCAGCCCCTCCCATCACAGGCCCAAAGGCCTAGGAGGAAAAGTGGTTTCATGAGCCGGGTCTAGGGTCCCTGTGCTGTGTGCAGCCTAGGGACTTCGTGCCCTGCATCCCAGCCACTCCAGCCATGGCTAAAAGGGGCCAATGTAAAGCTCTGGTCGTGGCTTCAGAGGGTGCAAGCCCCAAGCCTTGGCAGCTTCCACATGATGTTGAGCCTGTGAGTGCACAGAAGTCAAGAATTGGGAACCTCTGCCTAGATTTCGGAAGTTGTATGGAAATGCAGAAGTTTGTTGTAGGAGTGGGGCCCTCATGGAGAACCTCTGCTAGGGCAGTGTGGAAGAGAATGTGGGGTCAGAGCCCTCACAGAGTCCCTACTGGGGCACCGGCTAGTGGAGCTGTGAGAAGATGGCCACCATCCTCCAGACCCCAGAATGGTAGATCCGCCAGCGGCTTTCACCATGTGCCTGGAAAAGCCACAGACACTCAATGCTAGCCCATGTAAGCAACCAGGAGGGGGGCTGTAAAGCCACAGGGGCAGAGCTGCCCAAGACCATGGGAACCTACCTCTTGCATCAGCATGACCTGGATGTGAGACCTGGAGTCAAAGGAGATCATTTTGGAGCTCTAAGATTTGACTGCCCTGCTGGATTTTTGACTTTTATGGGGCCTGTAGCCCCTTTATTTTGGCCAATGTCTCCCATTTGGAATTGCTGTATTTACCCAATGCCTGTAGCACCATTGTATCTAGGAAGTAACGAATTTGCTTTTGATTTTTCAGGCTCATAGGCAGAAGGGACTTGCCTTGTCTCAGATAATACTTTGGACTGTGGACTTTTGAGTTAATGCTAAAGTGAGTTGAGACTTTGGGGGACTGTGGGGAGGGCATGATTGGTTTCAAAATGTGAGGACCTGAGATTTGGGAGGGGCTAGAAGTGGAAAGATATGGTTTGGCTGTGCTTCTACCCGAATCTCATCTTAAATTTTAATTCCCGCAACTCCAAAGTGTCATGGGAGGAACCTAGTGGGAGGTAATTGAATCATGGGGGCAGGTCTTTCCTGTGCTGTCCTCGTGATAATGAATGAATCTTATGAGATCTGATGGTTTTAAAAATGGAAGTTTCCGGGCACAAGCTCTCTCTTTGCCTGCTCCCATCCATGTAAGACATGACTTGCTCCTCCTTGCCTTCCGCCATGATTGTGAGGCCTCCCAGCCATGTGGACCTGTAAGTCCATTTCTTTTGTAGATTGCCCAGTCTCGGGTATGTCTTTTATCAGCAGTGTGAAAACAAACTAATACAATGGGTGAGGGCATGAAGCTGCAGACAGCATGCATGAGTGCACATCCCACCTGTCACTTTTAGCTGTGCCTCACAACCTCTCTGTGTCTCCTGTAATAGGAGCATAATAATGGCATCTGGATTGTAAGATGAAAGAATTTTATACATGTAAGGAGCTTAGAATGCTGCTTGGCAAGCATTCTACAATATTAGCTATTGCTTTTTTTAAAAAAAAATAATAATCATACATCGCATGGGGGATATTTACTTACAGACAAAGAAGCCAGGCCTGGAGTGCCTAGCTGTGTATGCTCTCATTGTCATCTGCCACATGAACATGTGTCATGTGGTCCAAAGAGAGTCATTCACTGCTCCCACAAAATCATCATCAACACAGGGTTATTAAGCTACGAGCAAGATTCTCTGCCTCATGTCAGATATAAAATGACTGGCATTTCTGTTACCACCTGCACACTTTACTTATCATTTTATATTTAAATGATTAATATTTTCTTAAATATATTTGTATGAAAAGCAAACTCTTTTCCATCACCAAAAATGAAAATCGGTCCTATCCATACATACAAGATAGCTAGGAAAACTATAAATGTGTGTGTGTGTGTGTGTGTGTGTGTGTGTGTGTATATATATATATATATATATATATATATATATATTACACTTATGGATTGCTTTTGCCACTGCCCATGGTTGAGCTTGTGGCTTGCCATTGTTTAGAAGATTTCCAGCAAGAGAGAAGTGCTGATGACATACCTGGGCCAAAGGAAGGCTTGATCCATGGACACTTTCTCTTGAGGGGTTGGCTGGATTCAAATCAGTGACAATTTTTCAGCTCTGTGACTTGAACCAATTACTTTAACTCTGTAGTAGCTGTCTGTTTAGTAATACAAGTTCATAAATCGTATTTTTCTTTAAGATCACAAAGCAAGTGGTTAAAAAGAGATCGGCACAGACTCAATGTTGTGCATTCAGCCGGGAATATTGAAGAGATCAGCAATATTGAAGAGAAATAACCATTTATCTTGCTTTCTTTTTTTCCTTTCTTTCTTTTTCTTTTTTTCTCTTTCTTCTTTTTCTGTTTTTTTTTTTTTTTTTTTTTTTTTGACGTGCAGTGGCGCGATCTTGGCTCACTGCAAGCTCCACTTCCCGGGTTGACGCCATTCTCCTGCTTCAGCCTCCCCAGTAGCTGAGACTACAGGCACCCGCCACCAAGTCCAGCTAATTTTTTGTATTTTTAGTAGAGGCGGGGTTTCACCATGTTAGCCAGGATGGTCTCCATCTCCTGACCTCGTGATCCGCCCGCCTCGGCCTCCCAAAGTGCTGGGATAACAGGTGTGAGCCACCGCTCCCGGCCTATCTTGCTTTTTAATTTTATTTTTTTAGAGACGTTCACTCCCTATGTTGCCCAGGCTGGACTCGAACTCCTAGGCTCAAGTGATCCTCCCAAGTAGCTGGGACTACAGCAGTAGGCGCCACCTCGCCCACCTTGCTTTTTAATTTAAAGCAGGGTCTGCATATCATCTGAAGTAATCTCTCTTTGGGGACACCCCGCATGTCCAGAACTGCCATCCGGTATTGTGGTGGCCCTAAGGCTAGGGGTAGCATGGAGACTTAAGTGCAAAGGAGGACCTGGACAAATGTGCCCACACATCCTCTCAGGCGAGGAGAATGGACAGGAGAGAGAGGCCGATCCGTGTTCCCCGTGTTGCTATGTAAGGAGGTGCGGGACCGAGGAACCTAGGTGTGGACAGGGACAGGCAAGGCGGGGGACGAAGAGAAATGAAAGCCACATCGGTGGCGGATGTTCTGAACACAACTCGCTCGCTACCGCACGTTCCCCGCTCCGCACTCAGCGGATCCCGGGACGGCAGCAGGTGGGCTGCACACGGACTCTGGGACAAGTCGAGCTGAAAACCGCGGAGCTAGGGGTGGGGTGGAGACGCCCGCGACGCCAAGGCTGGGGTCCCGGAACACGCTGGGAGGAGGGTGGAAGGCAACCTCGGGGAAACTGGGAAAGGCGGCCTGGACTTCGGGAACACCGCGTACCTGCGGGGGCACAGCCCCACCCGAGCGAACGGGCTCCAAAGGGGAGGTCCCGCGGTGCCCACCGCGCAGAGCTCAGGGGGTGGTGCGCCCGGCCCTTCTGCGGCGCACAGCCCAGCCCAGGAACGCGGGCGGTGCGGACTCAGCGGGCCGGGTGCAGGCGCGGAGCTGGGCCTCTGCGCCCGGCCCGACCTCCGTCTATAAATAGAGCAGCCAGTTGCAGGGCTCCATTCTGCTTTCCAACTGCCTGACTGCTTGTTCGTCTCACTGGTGTGAGCTCCAGCATCCCCTTTGCTCGAAATGGACCCCAACTGCTCTTGCGCCACTGGTAAGGGAAGCTCTGCGCCCTGGAATCCCCATTTCCCAGCCCTATTACAGAGGGTCTCTGGGTTTCAGGAAGTCGCATTTTAAGTTCTGAGCGACGGGGACTCCAGTACTTCGTTAGATGCTTTCTTCCTGATCACGCCCCTGAGAGCATTGCCCTCATCCCTGGGCCTCTACGTCAGAGTTAAGAATACTGAGGCTCAAGGCTGAACTGCTCCACATCACCCAGTTGGTCATGGGCCTGCTGGCTGGGCCCCAGTGCTCTGTCCAGGCTCTGAGCAATCAGTGTGGTTGGGGGTGCTGGAAACATTGACTCTTCAGAGTTCAGGACAGAAGGTTCTGGCTCGCAGTCTCAATATTCCTGGGTTGTATGTGCACGTGGGACCTTCCTGGTGCGGTAAAACAGGAGGGTCCTTGCCCTTCCCAGCGTTAGTGGAGAGGACATGGGGCTTCTGTTCCTCTGTCCTGAGTGGGAAAGGAGCTCTGAGGGCTGGCCCTGCACAGAGGAGGGGGCACTGGAGACTCACTGACCCACTGCTGTACCTTCTGCATCTCACTCACTGCCCACTGCGTTTTCCTCTTCCTTGTAGGTGGCTCCTGCACGTGCGCCGGCTCCTGCAAGTGCAAAGAGTGCAAATGCACCTCCTGCAAGAAGAGTGAGTGCGGGGCCATCTCCAGGAATCTGGGGCTGTGGCTCAGGTTGGGAGGGAACTCAAGGCTGGCCCTGAGTGCATCCTTCTGGGGAACTGGGCTTTCTTTGCCCTCATTGCCCGTGTCATTCCCTCTCCAGGCTTTCTGCCCTAAATTCAGATGGGGCAGGACAGCATTTTTCTCGTGGGACACAAACCCCAACTGTACCCCCTATGGTTTCAGAACAGAGCTGTGCCAGACGAAAAAAAGCATCCTCTGGGTCTGGGTTCTGAGCTCGAGCCAGGCTTGCTATTAGGGCAGGGAGGTGCCCGGTCAAGTCTACTGCCACCTCTCACTCTCCCCTTCTTCCCCAGGCTGCTGTTCCTGCTGCCCCGTGGGCTGTGCCAAGTGTGCCCAGGGCTGCGTCTGCAAAGGGGCATCGGAGAAGTGCAGCTGCTGTGCCTGATGTGGGAACAGCTCTTCTCCCAGATGTAAATAGAACAACCTGCACAACCTGGATTTTTTTAAAAATACAACACTGAGCCATTTGCTGCATTTCTTTTTATACTAAATATGTGACTGACAATAAAAACAATTTTGACTTTAATCTTACTCTGTTCTTCTTTGTGTGTCTTGGAAAAAACGGACTGGGTGGGGGTTGAACCGGGATTTTAGAGACCAGGCTCTGGATGGAAATGTGAGCCACTAGCAATGTGAACACTTTCAGGCCAGCCAGGTTACCTCACTGAGTTTACACTTCTGTAAGATGGCATTCCACTGTGCACACCATATTGGTGGGGGGGCATATATGATCGCTTCCAGTCTCATGTAAAATGTGGCACAGAAACTCCTTCCCTCCTTTTTATTTTCTGATTTTCCTGCTCAACTTCAGATCCACATTGGATTTTAGGCTTAAAATCGGCTACAGGCCGGGCGCAGCTACTCAGGAGGCTGAGTCAGGATAATGGCATGAACCTGGGAGGCGGGGCTTGCAGTGAGCTGGGATCCCGCCAGGGCACTCCAGCCTGGGTGACAGAGTGAGACTCCCTCTCAAAAAAAAAACAAACACCGGGCATGGTGGCTCATGCCCGTAATCCCAGCACTTTGGGAGGCTGAGGCGGGCGGATCACCCGAGGTCAGGAGTTCGAGACCAGGCTGACCAACATAGAGAAACCCTGTCTCTACTAAAAATACTAAATTAGCCAGGCGTGGTGACGCATGCCTGTAATCCCAGTTACTTGGGAGGCAGAGGCAGGTGAATCGCTTGAACCCGGGAGGCGGAGGTTGCGGTGAGCCGAGATCGCGCCATTGCACTCCAGCCTGAGCAACAACAGCGAAACTCCGTCTCAAAAAAAAAAAAAAAAAAAAAAAAAAAAAAAAAGGGCTATAGGCCAGGAGCGGTGGCTCACGCCTGTAATCCCAGCACTTTGGGAGGCCAGGTGGGCGGATCACGAGGTTAGGAGATCGAGACCATCCTGGCTAACACGGTGAAAACCCCGTCTCTACTAAAAAAAAAATACAAAAAATTAGCCGGGCATGGTGGTGGGCACCTGTAGTCCCAGCTACTCCGGAGGCTGAGGCAGGAGAATGGCGTGAACCTGGGAGGCGGAGCTGGCAGTGAGCCGAGATCATGCCACTGCACTCCAGCCTGGGCGACAGAGCGAGACTCCATCTCAAAAATAAAAAATAAAAAAAAAATAATTGGCTACAGGACAGGCACGGTGGCTCACGCCTATAATCCCAGCACTTTAGGAGGCCAGGTGGGCAGATCACCAGGTCAGGAGTTTGAGACCAGCCTGGCCAACATGGTAAAACCCTGTCTCCACTAAAGATACAAAAAATTAGCCACACGTGATGGCACGTAGCTATAATCCCAGCTACTGGGGAGGCTGAGGCAGGAGAATTGCTTGAACTCGGGAGACTGAAGTTGCAGTGAGCCGAGATCCGCCAGTGCACTCCAGCCTGGACAACAGGGCGAGACTCCATCTCAAAAAAAAAAAAAAAAAAAAAGTGGCTACAGTGCTGGAACCCAACTCCCCAGTTCCTTGAATCCTACAAGTGTGCTATGATTTGGATGTTTTGTCACTACTAAATCTCATGTCGAAATGTGACTTCCAATATTGCAGGTGGGGCCTAGTGGGAACTTTGGGGTCATGAGCACAGATCCCTAAAGAATGGCTTGGTGCCATCCCGTGGTGAAGAGTGAGTTCTTCCTCTAGTAGCTCACTCCAGAGCTGGCTGTTTAAAAGAGCCAGGCATCATCCCTTTTTCTCTCTTGTTTCTTGTCTCTCTACGTGATGTGCCTGCTCCCTGTTGGCCTTCTGCCAGGAAGGTAGGCTTCCTGCGGCCCTCACCAGAGGCAGATGCCTGTACCACACTTATGCACAGCCTGCAGAAGCTTAAGAGAATCGCTTGAACCCCGAAGGCAGAGGATGCAGTGAGCCAAGACTGCACCACGGCACTCCAGCCTGGGCAACTGAGACTCTGTCTCAAAGAAAGAAAAGAAAGGAAACAGCAAACTGGCCCCAGTGTGTGGTTCACACACCTTGAGCAGCACTGCCCAGCACATCCCCACAAAAAACCCTCAGGCTTGGTCTGCCCAGTGTCACTGACAGGACACTCGTTGACCCCTGAGAGCTCCCTGTTGTGACTTGGCTCTGAATCTTTGGAAATTCCTCCCAAGCTCAGGCTGAATTTGTTCCTCTTTCAAATTTCAGCCCTTGACTACTTCCAACCACTAAAGTGACTGGGAATATGGAAGGAAATGCCCGGCATGTTCCTGGCACAATGAAGTGTGTGTGATCATGGGTTCCACATGAATACCTCACACCTGCCCATGCAGGAATGATGGCGGATTCTGCAGTTTGGAGGGTGTGCTGGTGCTCATTAGGAAGGAGTGAGGCCCTGGCTGACTTCTAATTAAAGCCAATGATTAGTTCCCTCGGCTATGTGGAGGGAATCCTATTTGACATTCAGTCAAAGAGGAAGATGATCCTCCTGACCTAGAGGTCAGGACCATGCTTGCCCACTGCTTCCCTGTGAAGAGTAGATTTCAGAAGGCAGCCTGTGCCTAGGGCATGGGTTTTGGTGTCAGGCAGTCCTGGTTCACAGCCCACCTCACCACGTACTGGCTGTGTGGCCTGAGTGCATCACTGAAACTCTCTGAGCCTCCAGTTCCTTATTTGTAGAAAGCAGATTATATCTCAAAGCAGGGATTAAATGACAGCATGGTCTGGCCCCTGGCTAGGGTTTAATAAATAGCAGTTATAAGCATTCTCTCTACACTGGCTTTTTTGGAAAATGAACCCTGTTAAATCTCAAAGATAAGAGAAACCTTATGGGTTTGAAAGCATTACTGTGGATTGGATACTGGCAATCGGATTGCAACCAGGCTGACCCTGCCAGGAGGCGTGTGGGTGACCTTCTGCGGAAAGTCCTTGTCGATAACATGCTGCCCCTACATTTGAGCAGACATAAAAATCCGTTCCCATCCTTCATATCATCTGATCACACGACCTCAGGAACGAGAGCCACAGGCCTCAAGACTGGGACAGCAAATATGCAGGGCCTGGAGTGCTTATGCTGTCTTCCAGATTAGTTAAGTAACCTACCCAATGTCACACAGCTCAGAAGTAAAGGGATGAATGAACCTATGCTAAACCTGGCCTGTGGCCCTGGCCACAGCTGGTAGATTATGATGCCACGGGATGCTAAATCTTGCCTATCTCAGTTCAAAGATACAAAGACTCTTTGGGATGGATGAATGTTGCTCTCGGCTTGAGAGATGAGAACTGAAACCCAGAGATGTCACAGAGCTGTGCAGGGGGACATTCCTGTCCACAGAGTGCACTTCCTATTGCTGCCTCTGTGCTAGATTTTCAGTGTCATTATCTTTCATGTGACTTAGTGGCATAGAGTGGTAGCTGAGGGTACGATGCTGCCATCAGAATGCATGAGTGCAAATCCCACCTCTGTTAGTTTCAGCTGCATGGCACAACCTCTCTGTGGCTCAGTCTCCTCCACTGTACAAGGGGCATGATACTAACCTCTGGCTTGTAGGATTAAAGGATTTAATACATATCAGGAACTTAGAATGGTACCAGGGGTGGGTGGTCTACAATATTAGCTATTGCTTATTTTGTTCATTCTATGGAGCATAGGGGATATTTATTTATTTGCACATAAAGGCCTGGAGTGCTCAGCTGTGTATCCTGTTATCCTCATCTACCGCATGAGCATGTGTCCTGTGGTCTAAAGAGAGCCATTCAGTGTCCCCACAAAATTGTTATCAACACTAGGGTTATAAAGCTATGAGGAAGATTCTGTGCTTCATGTCAGATACAGAAGAATGACTGCCATTTCTGTTACCACCTGCACCATCCCTTAGTTAATATTTTACCTTGAAATGATCAATACTTCTTAAACATATTTTTATGAAAAGCAAATTATTTTCCACCTGAGAAAATGAAATCCAATCTTGTCTTACACATGGAAGATAGCCCCCAAATTAATGTGTGTGTGTGTGTGTGTGTATTACACTTATGGATTACTTTTGCCACTGCCCATCAGAGAGCTGGTAGCTTCCTGTTGTTTATTTGAGGGTTTTTGGTTGTTTTTGTTTGTTGAGACAGAGTTTTACCCCTGTCAGCCAGCTGGAGTACAATGGCCCAATCTGCCACCTCTGCCTCCCGGGTTCAAACGATTTTCCTGCCCAAGCCTCCCCAGTAGCTGGGATTACAGGCAACTGCCACCATGCCAGGATAATTTTTGTATTTTTAGTGGAGACAGGGTTTCGCCATGTTAGCCAGGCTGGTCTCCAACTCCTGACCTCAGGTGATTCATCCGCCTCGGCCTTCGTAAGTGCTGGGATTACAGGTGTGGGCCGCGGTGCCCTTCCCCTGTTGTTTAGAAGATTTCCAGCAATAGAGAAGTGCTGACGACATATCTGGACCAAAGGAAGGCTTGATCATGGACACTTTCCTTTAAGAGGCTGGCTGGACTTAAACAAGGGCACAAATTTTTAGCTCTGTGACGACCAGCCAGTTACTTGGACATTTCCTTTGTAGTCCTGTGATGAGCAAAACGGGTTCATAACTAGTATTTCCCTTTAGGATTGCTGTGAGGATTCAAAGAATGAAAGAGATTAAAAAGGGACTGGTGTAGACTCAATGTCATGCAATAGTCAGGTATACTGAAGAGAAACAACTGCATGTCTTGTTTTTTAATTTTATTATTTTAGAGATGCTGACTTGCTATGTGGACTAGGCAGAACTCGAACTCCTGGGCTCAGGTGATCCTCCCGCCTCAGCCTCCTAAGTAGCTGGGACTACAGCTTCCCGCGACCTCACCCATCTTGCTTTTTAATTTAAAGCAGAGTCTGCATATCATCTGAAGTCATCTCTCTTTGGGGACATCCCACAGGTCCAGAACTGCCAGACGGTAGTGGGGTGGCCGGCTAGGCTGTGGGGAGCATGGAGATTTATCTGCAAAGGAGGACCTGGACAAATGTTCCCCCACATCCTCTCAGGCGAAGAGAATGGACGGGAGAGAGAGGCCGACCAGTGTTCCCCGTGTTGCTGTGTACGGAGGAGCCAGTCCGAGGGACCGCGGTGTGGACAGGGACAGGCAAGGCGGGGAAGGAGGAGAAACGAAAGCCACATTGGTGGCGGGTGCTCTGCACACGACTCGCTCCCTACCACACGCCCCCCGCTCCGCACACGACCGATCCGGGGACTGGAGCAGGAGGGCTGCACCGGGACTCCGGGACAGGCCCAGTTGAAAACGGCGGGGCGAGGGGGTGGGGTGGAGACGCCCGCGACGCCAAGGCTGGGGTCCCGGAAAGCGCGGGGAGGAGGGTGGAAGGCAAAGGCAACTTCGGGGAAACTGGGAAAGGCGGCCGGGACCTCGGGGACACTGCGTACCACCCGGCGCACAGCCCCTCCCGCGCAAACCCGAGCCAAAGGGGCGGTCGAGCGGCGCACTCGGAGCGGAGCTCAGGGGATGGTGCGCCCGGCACTTATGCTGGGCTCAGCCCAGCCCAGCCCAGGACCGCTGGCGGTGCGAACCCAGCCGGGCGGGTGCAAGCGCGGGGCAGGGCCTCTGCGCCCGGCCCCCTCCCCTGAGTAGAAAAGCAGCCGCAGGCTGTGGCGCTCCACCACGCCGTCCGGGTGGGCCTAGCAGTCGCTCCATTTATCGCTTGAGATCTCCAGCCTTACCGCGGCTCGAAATGGACCCCAACTGCTCCTGCACCACTGGTAAGAGAAGCCGACCCTGCGCCCTAGGAATCCCATTTCCCAGCCCCAGTACTGAGGGTCTCTGGGTTTGAGGAGGTCGCATTTAAGTTCTGAGCGGAAGGGAATTCCTTTACTTCCTTAGGTGCTTTCTTCCTGATCTCCCCTCTGAGAGCACTGCCCTCCCTCCTGGGCCTCTGGGTCAGAGTTAAGGATACTGAGGGTCAAGGCAGTCCCGCTCCACATCACCCAGTTGGTTAGGGTCCTGCTGGCTGGGCCCCAGTGTTCTCCTCCAGGCTCTGAGCAATCAGGGTGGACTGGGGGCTGGAGACATTTGAGTCTTCAGGGTTCAGCACAGAAGGTTCTGGCTGGCAATCTCAGTATTCCTGGGTTGGGTGTGCCCCTGGGACCTTCCTGGTAGGGTAAAACAGGAGGGTGCTTGCCCTTCCCAGCGTTAGTGGAGAGGACAGGGGCTTTCCCTGAGTGGGAAAGGAGCTCTGAGGGCTGGCCCTGCACAAAGGAGGGGGCACTGGAGACTCATTGACCCATTGCTGTACCTTCTTCATCTCACTCACTGCCCACTGCGTTTTTCTCTTCCTTGCAGGTGTCTCCTGCGCCTGCACCGGCTCCTGCACGTGCAAAGAGTGCAAATGCACCTCCTGCAAGAAGAGTGAGTGCGGGGCCATCTCCAGGAATCTGGGGCTGTGGCTGAGATTGGGAGGGAACCCAAGGCTGGCCCTGAGTGCATCCTTCTGGGGAACTGGGCTTTCTTTGCCCTCATTGCCCGTGTCATTCCCTCTCCAGGCTTTCTGCCCTAAATTCAGATGGGGCAGGACAGCATTTTTCTCTTGGGACACAAATCCCAACTGTAGCATCTATGGTTTCAGAACAGAGCTGTGCCAGACGTAAAAAGCTTCCTCTGGGTCTGGGTTCTGAGCTCCAGCCAGGCTTGCTATTGGGGCAGGGCGGTGCCCGGTCAAGTCTACTGCTACCTCTCTCTCCCCTTCTTCCCCAGGCTGCTGCTCCTGCTGCCCCGTGGGCTGTGCCAAGTGTGCCCACGGCTGTGTCTGCAAAGGGACGTTGGAGAACTGCAGCTGCTGTGCCTGATGTGGGAACAGCTCTTCTCCCAGATGTTAATAGAACAAGCTGCACAACCTGGATTTTTTTTCAATACGATACTGAGCCATTTGCTGCATTTCTTTTTATATTAAATATGTGAGTGACAATAAAACAATTTTGACTTGAATCTTACTCTGTTCTTCTTTGTGTGCCTTGGAAAAAATGGACTGGGTGGGGGTTAAACTGGGAGTTTAGAGACCAGTCTCTGGATGAAAATGTGAGTCACTAACAATGTGAACACCTTCAGGCCAGCCAGGTTACTCACTGAGTTCACCCTTCTGTAAAACGGTATTGCATTGTGCACACCATATGGGTGCGGGCCATACATGATCGCTTTTAGTGTGATTCCAAATGTGGTACAGAAACTTCATCCCTTATTTTTATTTTCTGATTTTCCTCCACAACTTGAGATCCACATTGGATTTTAGGCTTAAAAGTGGCTATAGTGCTGGAACCCAACTTCTTAGTTTCTTGAATCCTACACGGGTGCTATGATTTAGATATTTTGTCACTGCCAAATCTCATGTTGAAATGTGTCCTCCACTATTGCAGGTGGGGTCTAGTGGGAGCTTTTGGGGCCATGAGGACAGATCCCTAAAGAATGGCTTGGTGCCCTCCCATGGTGAAGGGTGAGTTTTTCCTTTGGTAGGTCACTCCAGAGCTGTCTGTCAAAGTGATTAGAAAGGGACAGGTATAGACTCAATGTTATGCCTTAGTCAGGTATACTTCAGAGAAATAACTGGATGTCTTGCTTTTTAATTTTATTTTTTTAGAGACGTTGACTCACTATGTGGACTAGGCAGGACATGAAGTCCTGGGCTCAAGTGATCCTCCCGCCTCAGCCTCCTAAGTAGCTGGGACTTCAGCTTCCCGCCACCTTCCCCACCTTGCTTTTTTTCTTTTTCTTTTTCTTTCTTTCTTTCTTTTTTTTTGGGTGGGGGGACCGAGTCTCGCTTTGTCGCCCAGGCTGGAGTGCAGTGGCGCTATTTCGGCTCAGGGCAAGCTCCGCCTCTGCGTTCATGCCATTCTCCCGCTTCAGCCACGGGATAGCTGGGACTACAGGTGCCCCCCACCACGCCCGGCTAATTTCCCATCTTGCTTTTTAATTTAAAGTAGGGTCTGCATATCATCTGAACTCATCTCTCTTTGGGGACAGCCCACAGGTCCAGAACTGCCAGCCGGTAGTAGGGGTGGCCGGCTAGGCTGTGGGGAGCATGGAGATTTATCAGCAAAGGACGACCTGGACAAATGTGCCCACACATCCTCTCAGGCGAGGAGAATCGACGGGAGAGAGAGGCCGACCCGTGTTCCCCGTGTTGCTGTGTACGGAGGAGCGGGTCCGAGGGACCGCGGTGTGGACAGGGACAGGCAAGGCGGGAGATGAGGAGAAACGAAAGCCACATCGGTGGCGGGTGCTCTGCACACAACTCGCTGGCTACCGCACGCTCCCCGCTTCCCACTCAGCCGATCCGGGGACAGGAGCAGGAGGGCTGCACCGGGACTCCGGGACAGGCCCAGCTGAAAACGGCGAAGCGAGGGATGGGGTGGAGACGCCCGCGACGCCAAGGCTGGGGTCCCGGAAAGCGCGGGGAGGAGGGTGGAAGGCAAAGGCAACTTCAGGGAAACTGGGAAAGGCGGCCAGGACCTCGGGGACACCGCATACCGCCGGGCGCACAGCCCCTCACGCGCGAAGGGGCGCCAGAAGGGCGGTCCCGCGGCGCGCCGGGAGTGGAGCTCAGGGGTTGGTGCCCCCGGCCCTTCTGCTGCGCACAGGCCAGCCCAGGACCGCTGGGGGCTCGAACCCAGCGGGGCGGGTGCAAGCGCGGGGCAAGGCCTCTGCGCCCGGCCCCCTTCCTTGAGTAGGAAAGCAGCCGCAGGTTGTGGCGCTCCACCACGCCGTCCACGTGCGCCTTGCGGTCTCTCCATTTATCGCTTGAGATCTCCAGCCTTACCGCGGCTCGAAATGGACCCCAACTACTCCTGCACCACTGGTAAGAGAAGCCCAACTCTGCGCCCTGGGATTCCCATTTCCCAGCCCCAGTACTGAGGGTCTCTGGGTTTGAGGAGGTTGCATTTTAAGTTCTGAGCGGAAGGGGACTCCTTTACTTCCTTGGGGTGCTTTCTTCCTGATCGCGCTCCTGAGAGCACTGCCCTCCCTCCTGGGCCTCTAAGTCAGAGTTAAGGATACTGAGGCTCAAGGCAGTCCTGCTCCACATCACCCAGTTGGTCAGGGTCCTGCTGGCTGGGCCCCAGTGTTCTCCTCCAGGCTCTGAGCAATCAGGGTGGATGCTGAGCTAGAGGCATTGAGTCTTCAGGGTTCAGGACAGAAGGTTCTGGCTGGCAATCTCAGAATACCTGGGTTGTATGTGCACGTGGGACCTTCCTGATAAGGTGAAACAGGAGGGTGCTTGCCCTTCCCAGTGTGAGTGGAGAGGACATGGGGCTTCTGTTCCTCTGTCCTGAGTGGGAAAGGAGCTCTGAGGGCTGGCCCTGCACAGAGGAGGGGGCACTGGAGACTCATTGACCCACTGCTGTACCTTCTTCATCTCACTCACTGCCAACTGCGTTTTCCTCTTCCTTGCAGGTGGCTCCTGCACGTGCGCCGGCTCCTGCAAGTGCAAAGAGTGCAAATGCACCTCCTGCAAGAAGAGTGAGTGCGGGGCCATCTCCAGGAATCTGGGGCTGTGGTTAAGGTTGGGAGGGAACTCAAGGCTGGCCCTGAGTGCACCCTTCTGGTGAACTGGGCTTTCTTTGCCCTCGTTGCCCATTTCATTCCTTCTCCCAGCTTTCTGCCCTGAGTTCAGATGGGGCAGAACAGCATTTTTCTCTTGGGATGCAAACCCCAACTGTACCATCTATGGTTTCAGAACAGAGCTATGCCAGACGAAAAAAGCTTCCTCTGGGTCTGGCGTCTGAGCTGGAGCCACGCTTGCTATTAGGGCAGGGAGGTGCCTGGTGAAGTCTGCTGCCACCTCTCACTCTCCCCTTCTTCCCCAGGCTGCTGCTTCTGCTGCCCCATGGGCTGAGCCAAGTGTGCCCACGGCTGCATCTGCAAAGGGACGTCGGAGAAGTGCAGCTGCTGTGCCTGATGTGGGAACAGCTCTTCTCCCAGATGTTAATAGAACAACCTGCACAACCTGGATTTTTTTTTTATACAATACTGAGCCATTTGCTGCATTTCTTTTTATATTAAATATGTGAGTGACAATAAAACAATTTTGACTTGAATCTTACTCTGTTCTTCTTTGTGTGCCTTGGAAAAAATGGACTGGGGTGGAGGTTAAACCGCAAGCTTAGAGACCAGGCTCTGGATGGAAATGTGAGTCACTAATAATGTGAACACCTTCAGGCCAGTCAGGTTACCTCACTGAGTTCACACTTCTGTGAAATGGTACTGCACTTTGCCACACCATATGGGTGGGGACCATACATGATCGCTTCCAGTCTCATGCCAAACGTGGCACAGAAACTTCATTCCTTATTTTTATTTTCTGATTTTCCTCCACAACTTGAGATCCACATTGGATTTTAGGCTTAAAAGTGGCTATAGTGCTGGAACCCAACTTCTTAGTTTCTTGAATCCTACATGTGTGCTATGATTTAGATATTTTGTCACTGCCAAATCTCATGTTGAAATGTGTCCTCCACTATTGCAGGTGGGGCCTAGAGGGAGCTTTTGGGGTCATGAGGACACATCCCTAAAGAATGACTTGGTGCCATCCCATGGTAAAGAGTGTGTTCATCCTCTGGTAGGTCACTCCAGTGGTGGCTGTGAATGAAAGTGATTAGAAAGGGACTGGTATAGACTCAATGTTATGCCTTAGTCAGGTGTACTTTAGGGAAATAACTGGATGTCTTGCTTTTTAATTTTATTTTTTTAGAGAAGTTGACTTGCTATGTGGACTAGGCAGGACTGGAAGTCCTGGGCTTAAGTGATGCTCCCGCCTCAGCCTCCTAAGTAGCTTGGACTACAGCTTCCCGCCACCTCCCCCATCTTGCTTTTTAGTTTAAAGCAGGGTCAGCACATCACATGAAGTCATCTCCTTTTTGGGGATATCCCACATGTCCAGAACTGCCAGACGGTAGTGGGGTGGCCGGCTAGGCTGTGGGGAGCACGGAGATTTATTTGCAAAGGAGGACCTGGACAAATGTGCCCCCACATCCTCTCAGGCGAGGAGAATGGACGAGAGTGAGAGGCCGACCCGTGTTCCCGTGTTACTGTGTACGGAGTAGTGGGTCCGAGGGACCTAGGTGTGGACAGGGACAGGCAAGGCGACAGCGAGGAGAAACGAAAATCACATCGGTGGCGGTTGCTCTGCACACAACTCGCTCGCTACCGCACGCTCCACGCTCTGCACTACGCCGATCCGGGGACAGGAGCAGGAGGCTGTGGCTGCACTCAGACTTCGGGACAGGCCGAGCTGAAAACCGTGAGAGGGGTGGGGTGGAGGCGACCGAAACGCCAAGGCTGGGTTCCCGGAACGCGCGGGGACTAGGGTGGAAGGCAACTTCGGGGAAACTGGGAAAGGCGACCGGGACCTCGGGGACGCCCCGTACCCCGGGCGTAAACTCACTCCCGCGTTAGCGGCCCCAAAGCGGGGAGGGGGTGGTCCCGTGGTCCGCACCCAGGGGAGCTCAGTGGACTGTGCGCCTTGCCTTTCTGCTGCGCAAAGCCCAGTCCAGGTCATCACCTCGGGCGGGGCGGACTCGGCTGGGCGGACTCAGCGGGGCGGGCGCAGGCGCAGGGCGGGTCCTTTGCGTCCGGCCCTCTTTCCCCTGACCATAAAAGCAGCCGCTGGCTGCTGGGCCCTACCAAGCCTTCCACGTGCGCCTTATAGCCTCTCAACTTCTTGCTTGGGATCTCCAACCTCACCGCGGCTCGAAATGGACCCCAACTGCTCCTGCGCCACTGGTAAGGGATGCTAGGTTTCTGGTCCTTAGGATACCTATTTCCCCGCCACAGGATAGATGTCCCTAGGAGTAGAGGTGTTTTTTGAGTTCTAGCTAAGTGGAGTCATTTATTTCATTGATCTAGTGCTTTTCCACTCAGCGCCTTCATCATCCCTAGAACATTCCTATTCTAATGCCTCCCATTTCAGAGGCGAGAGGACTCAGGCTCATAATTCTCCTGCTCCATGTCACCCAGGTAGTCGGGGACTGCTAGGCTGAGCCCCAGTACTCTGCGCAGTTCCTGGGGTGGATGGGAGACAGGAGTTATTGGTTTTTCGGGATTAAGGACATAAAGCCCATCCTAGCCTCTACAGATAGAAGTAAGATTAGGCTTCATGGTGCCCTGAGTTGGACAGGAGCTATCTATCAGGCCTGGCAATGCACTCAGCTGGCAGCATTTGTTGACCAACTGCTGTTATCTTCTGTATAAAATTCACTGCCTTTTTCTCTTCCTTGCAGGTGGCTCCTGCACCTGCACTGGCTCCTGCAAATGCAAAGAGTGCAAATGCACCTCCTGCAAGAAGAGTGAGTGTGGGGCCATCTCCAGGAATCTGGGGCTGAGCCAAGTCAGAGGCAGGAAACCAGAGCTGGGCATGGAGGAGTAGGCCAATGATCCATTTCCCACATCCCCTTCCCCAGCAACTGATTCAGGATCAGAGCCAGATCTTTAGACGTGATGGATTCCCAAGTTTCGTTCTTAAAATAGACAAACTGAGGCCAAGAGTGCACCAGCCTGCCAAGCACAGACATGACACCTAAGGACTTTCCTCCCCTAAGTGTGTGGTTCTGGGGAGCCAGCCTTCCTTTGTCCTTCATAACCCCAGTCACTGCCTTTCCAGCCTTCTGCCAGGTCTGGGGCTCAGATGGAGATAAGCTTTTCACAGAAGACCCTCACTCGAAAGATCCACCACTTATCTCCCATCTCCGACAGTGCATGCCATCCTGAACTAAGTGTCCTCTGGGGCTGGGGACAGAGCTTGGGCCAGGCTTCTCTGGGGGCAGGGAAGTCCCCGGTCAAGTCTGGTCTGACCTCTCACTCTCCCTTCTTCCCCAGGCTGCTGCTCCTGCTGCCCCATGAGCTGTGCCAAGTGTGCCCAGGGCTGCATCTGCAAAGGGGCATCAGAGAAGTGCAGCTGCTGTGCCTGATGTCCGGACAGCCCTGCTCGAAGATATAGAAAGAGTGACCTGCACAAACTTGGAATTTTTTTTCCATACAACCCTGACCCATTTACTGTATTTTTTTTAATGAAATATGTGAATGATAATAAAAGTTGCTGACTTAATGCTGGCTCTGGTTTTCTTTGTGTGCCTTGGAAATAAGGGACCCCATACCCAACAGAGCTGGGATGGTGGATTGCATTGAGAGTCCAGAGACCTGGGTGCTGGGACCTTGTCCTATTATCTTACACACTGAGTGCCTTAAGGCAAATCAGGCACCTGCCTCAGGTCAGTTTCTTAAATAAAAATGTAAGAGCGTGATGACAGATGATATAATGCCACAGGAATCTGTCACAGACTTAAGCTTTGGTAAGATAAAATCTATTAGTATGACAAAAAAAAAACACCAAATCCATTTTTTATATTGAACAGGACAATTTCAGTAAATATATGGAAGACAAGATAGGAAAAATAAAATTACACTACACATTTGTTCTAGGATGTATATTTCAGACTGGAAACAGTTCACAGACTGGCCCCAGTATGTGGGTCACACACCTTCAACACCACCAGCCAGGACATCCCCACATGGAACCATCAGTCTTGGCCTGTCCAGGGTCACTGATGTGACTCTTGGTATCTCTGAGAGCTCCATGTTGTGACTTGTCTCTGAATCTTCGGAAGTTTCTCCCTAGGTCATGCTGAAATCCGTTCCTCCTTCAAGTCCAGCCCTTGGTTAATTCAGGCAAGCAAAGTGACTGGGGGAGTGGAGGAAATTACCCAGGATCCTCCCAGCAAGCTGGAGTACAGAGAAGGATTAGTTCCAGATGAAGTACTTTGAGTCCGCCTATGCGGAGGTGATGGCATATTATGCAGTTTCTAAAGTGTGGTGGTGTTCATTAGGAAGGAGTAGGGGGCCCCAGGTAACTTGTAATTAATGGCAGCAATTAGTTCCTCTGGCTATTTGTTGCGGGAATTGCTATTTGATGTTCAAAGAAGAAAAGGGGTCAAGCGGGCCAGGAATCAGGACCATGCTGGCCTGCAGGTACTCCTTTTGAAGAGAGGGTTCCAGAAGGCAGGCTGTGCAAAGAGCATGGGGTTCAGGGTCAGGGCAGTCTTGTTTAACTGCCCACTTCACCACCTACTGGCTGTGAGACCTAGGCAGGTTGCTCAACCTCTCTGAGCCTCCATTTCTTCCTTTGTAGAACTGTCTGTCACAATTCAGAGCTAGAAGGGACCTTGGTTAGTTAGTGCAGCTGTGCCTCTGATGGGTGAGATGGCATGTTGAGGCTGAGAGGTCACAGAGCTATGCAGAGGGATTGACTGCTAGCTCAGTGTCCTTCCCACTGCTGTCTCTGTGCCAGATTTTCAGTGTCCTTGGGTTTTACATGACACAGTAGCATAGGGTGGTTGTTGAGGGCACCATGATGCAGTCAGCATGCATGAGTGCAAATCCCAGCTGCGTCACTTATATGTGGGTGACGCAACCTTTCTGTGGCTCAGTCTCCTCAACTGTGAATTGACATAATAATAGAGTCTGCTGGTAGGAGCAAATCACTTAAAACATGTGAAGAACTTAAAATGGTGCCTGGCTTGTGCTGACTAGTCTGTAATAGCTTTGATTGTAATCTTTATTCATAGCATAGGGATATTTTTCTACCTCTAGACAAATAAGCCAGGCCTGGTGGGCTTAGCTGTGTGTCCCATGTTGTTCTCATCAATAACAGGAGCACGTGACTTGTGGCCCAGAGAGGGTCCTCCACTAGTCCACAAATAAGGATCCATATTGGATATATAAAGCCACGAGCAAGACAGTCCCTGTCTGCATAACAAATGCAAAAGGATTCCTGCCATTTCTGCTATCGCCTGCGCTGTTATTTTCCTTAACATTTTCTCTTAAGTAATCATATTTCTTTAATATATTTATAGGAAAAGCAAACTCTTTGACACTACTGAGAAAAAGAATCAGTCACACTTGCAGATATGGAAGGTAGCCATAAAATTACATATACATCCCTTCTGTCACTTCCAGAATTGACCTGGACGTTTGTTTATGTTTAAAGATTTCAAGCAGTAAAGAGGTGCTGAAGACATACCCAGGCCAAAGGGAAAGTTTGCCCTTGACCTCTTTCCCTTGAAAAGCTGACTGGATTGAGACCCACAGTACCACTGTTACCGGTGCAGGGTGTCCAGGTTCTTAGTACCTTGAACAAAGAATTTGACAAAATGTACAAAGTAAGGGAGGGAGGAAGCAACAAAAGCGGAGGTTTATTGAAAACAAAAGTATACTGCACAGGGTGGGAGCTGGCCCCAGCGAGTGGCTCAAGGGCCTGGTTATAGAATTTTCTATGGTTTAAATATCCTCTAGAGGTTTCTCATTGGTTGCTTAGTGTACACTCTATGTACAAGAAGTAGTGGTCCGCTATCAGTCTGACTGATTGCAGAAAGCAACCAATTAGAAGCTGAAGTGAAGTTACAAAGTTACTCCTGTGCAAATGAAGATGTAGCCCAAGACCAGCCCAACTGGTTGCCATAAGGGGCAAATCAGAGGTACTTTCAATTTCTCATCTCCCATGCAGACAAAGTGGGGAGGGGTTGCAAACGAAGTAGCCTCTGGTCCTTTTGTTACTTGGGTGTGGAAAGTTGGGGTTTTCCTTTTGGTTTAGTTCTAGAAAGACTGTGAATCAGCCTTAGGTTCACTGCCTCCAGAATCTATTCTCTTGCCTCAGCACTTCCACCCTCTGTTCCGGGCTAGTTACCTATCTCCTTGTGTTGTCGTTGTCTGATTAGTAAGATGCTGTCATAAAGAGTATTATCCTCGAGGGTTGCTGAGAGGGTTCAAATAGCCAAAGTGACTAAACAGGGTCTGGCCAAGACCAAAAGCTCGGCAATAGTCAGGAATTCTGAAAGTGAAATAAGCACTTTTCATGCTTCCTAATTTAATGTAGGGTCACCACATCAGGGAAAAGATCCCTCCCTTGGTGACGTCCCAAGCTTTGGATGTCCTTAGTCCTGGTGGGCCAGCTAGGCTGTGGGAAGCCCAAAAGAAGTTAAAGCAAAAGAGGACTTAAGCAAATATGCACATCGCCCCCTCAGGAGTGGAGAATGGAAGGGAGGGAGGCAGAGCCCTGTATCTGGCCTGTTGCTGTGTGCTGTGAAAAGGAAAAATGAGGCCAAAGGACCTGGGTGACTATGCAGGTGGGTCGAAGATCACATGGGAGGCTGGTCCTCTGCACACAACTCCCTCGCTGCGCTTCCCGCCTCGGTCTTATCTGGGGACGTGAGCACTAGGCTGGGGTAGCACATGGACTCCCACAGAGCCGAAGCTCACGTCACTGGTGCGGGGTGCGGGGGTGGGGATACCGCGACCACCTGAGGCTGGGTTCCCGGACCGCCCAAGGGCAGGAATGGAGTGCAATCTCCGGGAAATTCGGGAGGGCCGGGATTATAGCAGGGACGCCGCGTACCGCCAGGAGCACAGCCCCTCCAAAGCGAGCGTGAGCCAAAGGGCCGCCCCCAGGGTGCGCAACAGCCACGTTAAGGAGGATCCTGCGCCCGGCCCGCCTGGTGCGCACAGCCCCGCCCTGAACCCTGGGCAGCGCTGACACTGAGCTGGGCTGGTGCGAGACCTGGGGCGGGGCCACTGCACCCAGCACCCTGCCCTGACTGTAAAGTCAGGCGGCCTGCTCCTGTTCCGCCTCCTACCGGCCCGCCTGTTTTTTCGCCTGTGGCTTAGGAACTCCAGCCTCACCTGATCTCCGAATGGACCTCAGCTGCTCCTGCGCCACTGGTAAAGGATGCCTGGTTTCGGGTCTTAGGATCTTCATTTTCATACCACAGAATAGAACATCCCTGGGGCAGGAGGCAGGTGCATTTTGAGCTCTTCCTAAAGTGGACTCCTTTGCTTTGCACTTCTCGAGCTTTCTCCCCGCCAAGAGCCTTCATCACCACTTAGAACATTGCCATCTTCCTAGTGCCTCCGATTTCTGAGGCGAGAGGACTGAGGCTGAAAACTGCCCGGCTGCAGGTCACCCTCAAGGCCAAAGGTGTGCTGAACTAGGACCCAGTGCTCTGTCCAGCATTGAGCTGCCTGAGGTGGATGGGAGGCACACAACATTCACTCCTCACTGCCTTTTTCTTCCTTGCAGGTGGCTCCTGCACCTGTGCCAGCTCCTGCAAATGCAAAGAGTACAAATGCACCTCCTGCAAGAAGAGTGAGTGTGGGGCCTTCCCTGGGAATCTGGGGGCTGGGCAGAGTCAAAGGAGGGATCCCAGACCTCCGCAGACAGGAGCAGACCAATGACGAACTTCCCACATCCCCTTGCTTCAGCAAATGACTTAGGATCACAGCTGGAAGAACACTAGAGATGGTTAATTCCCAATCTTTATTCTTACCAGGGGGAAACTGACACCAAGAGAGCACACCAGCCTGCCAAGCACAGGCCTGATACTTGAGGACTTTCCTCACTTAGGTGTATTATTCTAGGAGACTGTCCTTCCTTTTACTGCAAAGAGCATGTCGCTCCCTCTGGAGTCTTCTGCCCTGTCCTGGGCACAGGAAGGGTGGGTAGCTTTTTCATGGCAAGACTCTCACCCCAAAGATCCAGGAGTTGTCTCCTGACAGAACAATGCCATCCTGAACTAAGCGTCTTTTGGGGCTGGAGGCACAGCTTGAGGCAGGCCTCTGTTGGGTCGGGGAGATCCCTGGTCAAGCCTGCTCTGATCTCTCACTCCCCTTCTTCCCCAGACTGCTGCTCCTGCTGCCCCATGGGCTGTGCCAAATGTGCCCAGGGCTGCACCTGAAAAGGGGCATTGGAGAAGTGCAGCTGCCGTGCCTGATGTTGGGACAGCCCTGCGTCCAGTTGTAAATAACGCAACCCCTACAAATCTAGTTTTTTTTTAAACACAAACCTAACCCATTTACTATGTCTGTTTTCTTAAATGAAATATGGGAATGATAATAAACATTGTTGGCCTTATTCTGCCTCTGTTTTTTTTGAGGGGGTGTCCTGAAATAAGACACCTCAGACCCAGCAGAGCTGGGATCATCCTTTATGCTGAGTGCCTTAAGGCAAGTCGGGTCACCTGTCTCAGGTCCGTTTCCTAGCTAAAAATGTAAGAGCATCAGGCCAGATGATATGAGGGCACAGGAATCAGTCATGGACCTATGCTTTGGTGAGATAAATAGAATGAATAAGTATGAAAAATAAAAATACAAAGTTATTTCTTATATTCAACAAAGAAATCTCAAAACAGATGTGAAGAACAAAATAACAGGAAAAATAAAATACTAACGCTGCACATCTGTTGTAAGGTGCAGTGACGTTCAGTATGAAGGAGGAAGGCCCTGGGTGTCTTGTACTTCATGGCAACTGTTAGTTATCTGGCTATTTGGTGAGGGAATTGCTATTTGATATTCAAAGAGGAAGAGGAGTCACATGGCCCAAGACTAAGCATCATGCTGGCCTAAAGGTGCTTTGTGAAGAGGGGATTTCAGAAGGTAGCCTGGCCAGGTACAGTGGCTCACACCACTTCAGTGGCTCACGTCATGCTCTGCTCAAGCCAAGGCAGGAGAATTGCCTGAGGCCAGAAGTTGGAGACCAGCCTGGGTAACACAGTAAGAACCTCTCTCTATGTAAAACAAAAAATTAAAATAAAACAAGAAGAGAAAGCAGCCTTGGGCAAAGTGCAGGCATTTTGGTGTCACACAAGCAGGTTCACAGCCCACTTCATCCCTTACTGGCTGTGTGACCTGGGCAAGGTGCTTAATCTCTCTGAGGCTTTATTTACTCATTTGTAGAAAGAAGATTATATATCTACATTGGGATGAAATGTGATAGTGGCCTAGCACCTGGTTAGGACTCAATGAAGAGTGCTGTTATAATCATTTGTCCACATGGACTTTCCAGACAGAATCCTGTTAGATCCCATCAAGCTACTTGGGAAAGAGCCAGTTCCTTGGAAGCATGATTGTGGACTGGAAGTTGGGAATGGGTTCGGAGTCTTGCTGATCTGGTCTTAAGGATATGTGGATGACCTCCTGCACCAACTGTCCAGCATAAGACACTGCTCCAGCATTTGGACAGAGAACAAGCCTTTCCCACCCTTCAAGTCACTTGATCTTCACACAAACCAGAGAGACAGTGTGTGCAGAGGCTGCCTATGCAGGGGAGCACTGTCCTCTAGAGTAGTTAACAACCTGCCCAAGGTCACACAACTCAGCACTACAGGTATAGATGAACTTAAGGTACAGCTGTCCTCATGCCCTCTCCAGAGCTGGCAGATCATTGTGTAAGTGGATGCTAAGCTCTGCCTGTCACAGTTTTTAGCTGGAAGGACCCTTGGTTAGTTGACTCCATTGTGCCCTGACTGGATAGATGGCACACGGATGCTCAGGGAGGTTAAGAGCTATGAAGAAAGATTGACTGCCCGCTTGTTACTCTTCCCTCTGCTGTCCCTGTGCCAGGTTTTTCATGTCCTTGTGTTTTACATGAAGTAGTGACATAGGGTGGTGGTTGAAGGAATGATGTTGCATGAGTGTAAATTTCAGGTGTGTCATTTATACCAGGGTGAAACAACCTCTCTGTGGTTCAGGCTCCTACTCTGTTCCCTTGCATAATAACAGGGTCTGGCTGGTAGGAACAAATCACTTAATTCATATAGAGAACTTAATATAGCGTTTGGCATGTCTCAAGTAGTCTGTAATAGCTATGATTTTATTATCTTTATTCATAGCACAGGGACATTTTAGTACTTCCAGACAAATAAACCAGTCCTGGTGGGCTTAGCTGTATGTCCCATGTTGTTCCTAACAATAACATGAGCATATGACCTGTGGATCAGAGAGGGACCCCTACCCATCCACAAATAGGGATCCACACTGCATATATAAAGCCACGAGCAAGATAGTCCCTGTCTGCATAACAGATGCAAAACGATTCTTGCCATTTCTGCCAACACCTGCGCTGCTATTTTCCATAACATTTTCTTTTAAACAATCATATTTCCTTAATGTATTTATAGAAAAAGCAAACTCTTTGACAGTACTGAAAATAAGAATCAGTCTCACCTTGCAGACATGGAAGGTAGCCGTACAATTATATATATCCCTCTGTATCACTTCTGTTGCTCTCCGGATTGACCTTGACATTTGTTTTTGTTTAAAGATTTCAAGCAATAAAGAGGTGCTGAAGACATAGCCAGGCCAAAGAGAAGTTGCATCATTGACCTCTTTGCCTTGAAAAGCTGAGTGGATTGAGACCCGCGGCACCACTTCCACCCTCTGTCCTGGGCTAATTACTTATCTCCTTGTGTTGTCGTCTGATTAGTAAGATGCTGTCATAAAGAGTATTCCTCTTAAGGGTTGCTGTGAGGGTTCAAATAGACAAAGTGACTAAACAGGGTCTGGCTGAGACTAAAAGCGCTGTAACAGTTAAGAATTCTGAAAGTAATAACCATTTTTCATGCTTCTTAATTTAATGCAAGGGTGAGCACACCAGGGAAAAGATCCCTCCCTTGGGAACATTCCAAGTTTTGGGAAGCTCCATCCTTGGGCTTGGTGGGCCAGCGAGGCTGTGGGAAGCCCCAAGAAGTTAAAGCAAAAGAGGACTTGGACAAATGTGCCCATCACCTTCCCAGGAGTGGGGAATGGAAGGGAGGGAGGCAGGGCCGTGTGTCTGCTCTGTTGCTGTGAACAAGACAAACGTGGCCAAAGGACCTGGCTGGCAATGCAGGTGAGGCAAAGGTCACATGGGAGGCTTGTCCTCTGCACACAACTCCCTCGCTGCACTTCCCGCCTCAGTCCTATCTAGGGACATGAGCATTAGGCCGGGGTAGCACACAGACTCCCACAGAGGCGAAGCTCAGGTCATTGGTGCGGGGTGCTGGGCTGGGGACACCGTGACCACCTAAGGCTTGGTTCCTGGACCGCTCAGGGGCAGGAGTGGACTCCAATCCCCGGGAAATTCTGTAGGGCTGGGATTATAGCAGGGACGCCGCCTACCGCCAAAGCGAGCAGGAGTCAAAGGGCAGCCCCCAGGGTGCGCACTGGCAGCGCTAGGGAGGATCCTGCGGCGGGCCCGTCTGCTGCGCACAGCCCGGCCCTGAACCCTAGGGCGCCTCTGACACTGCGGGAGCGGGGGCCAGACTTGGGGCGGGGCCTCTGCGCCCGGCACCCCACCCTAACTACAAAGCCAGAGGTGGCTCCTGAGCTCTGTTCCCCCTCCCACCGGCTTGCCTGCTTCTTCGCCTCTGGCTTAGGTACTCCAGCCTCACCTGGTCTCCAGATGGACCTCAACTGCTCCTGCGACACTGATAAAGGATGCCGGGTTTCGGGGCCTTGGGATCTCCATTTTCATGCCAGAGGATAGAATGTCCCTGCGGCAGGAGGCAGGTGCATTTTGAGCCCTACCTGAAGTGGATTATTTTACTTTGTACTTCTGGTGCTTTTTCTCTTACCAATCGCCTTTATTATCATCACTGAGAACATTACCATAGTCCCAGTGCCTCCCATTTCTAAGGCGAGAGGAATGAGGCTCAAAACTGCCCCTGCTCCGGGTCACCTATAGGCCAGAGGTGTGCTGAGCTGGGACCTAGTGCTGTGTCCAGCTTTTGAGCTGCCTGGGCTAGTAGGGATGTGGGAAACATTGCTTCTTCAAGATTTCCCACTGAGGTCCCCGTGTGCTATGAAAAAGAGGGCGCCTGCCGATCTGAGCCTTTGTGGAGAAAAGGTGGGGCTGGGCTTCCATGTGCCTGAGTGGAACAAGGTACCAGGTTTCCCATGCACTGAGCAAGAGGATGCTGAGGGCCTGCTCCTAACCCTGCAGCACACTCACCGCTCACTGCCTTTTTCTCTTTCCTGCAGCTGGGTCCTGCACTTATGCCAGCTTCTGCAAATGCAAAGAGTACAAATGCACCTCTTGCAAGAAGAGTGAGTGTGGGGCCTTCCCTGGGAATCAGGGTGCTGGGCAGAGTCAGAGGAGGGAACCGAGAGCTCAGCAGGCAGGAGCAGGACAGTGACAAGCTTCCCACATCCCCTTTCTGGTAAGTGATTCTGGATCACAGCTGGAAAAACACAAGATAGTTGATTCCCAACTTTCATTCTTAAAATGGGGAAACTGAGGGCATGTGCGTGCACCAACCTGCCAAGCACAGACCTGACACTTCAGGACTTTCCTCACTTAAGTGTACGGTTTTGGGGAACTGGCTTTCCTTTGTCCCTGTAGCCCCAGTCACTGCCTCTCCAGTCTTCTGTCATCTCTCAGGTATAGGTTGTGCTGGGCAGCTTTTTCACTGGAAGACCCTCACCCCAAAGATCCACCAGTTGAGTCCTAACAGAGCAATGCCACCCTGAACTGAGGGTCCTCTGGGGCTGGAGGCAGGGCTTGAGCCAGGCCTCTGTCAGGGCAGAGAGGTCTCCGGTCGAGTCTGCTCTGACCTCTCACTCTCCCCTTCTTCCCAGACTGCTGCTCCTGCTACCCTGTGGGCTGTGCCAAGTGTGCCCAAGGCTGCATTTGCAAAGGGGCATCAGATAAGTGCAGCTGCTGTGCCTGATGCTGGGACAGCCCTGCTCACAGATGTAGAAAGAGTGACCTATATAAACTTGGAATTTTTTTCCATGCAACCATGACCCATTTACTGTATTTGTCTCTCTTTTATGAAATATGTGAATGATAATAAAAGTTGTTGACTTATTCTGGCTCTGGTTTTCTTTGTATGCATGGAAATAGTGGACCCCATACTCAAGAGAGCTGGTATGTGTGACTGCATTGAGAGTCCAGAGACCTGGGTGCTGGGACCATGCCCTATCATCTTACACCATGAGTGCCTTAAGGAAAACCAGGTTCCCTGTCTCAGATCACTTTTTCAGCTAAAAAAGATTCCTTTAAGATTATAAAATGGTATTTTTACTGTACCTTTCTATGTTTAGCTACACAAATACTTACCATTGTGTTAAAATTGCATAATAGTGTATAGGTTTGAAGCCTAAGAACAATAGGCTAAAGCAGACAGCCAAGCTGTGTAGCAGCCAGTATCAGCTAGGTGTGTGTGAGTACATTCTACAATGTTTGCACAATGACGAAATTGCCTAAAGACATATTTCTTAGAATGCATACCTCTCATTAAGTGACACATGACTGTAATAGGGTTGGACTCGTAGAGGCCAATGATTTAATGGATGTAAAGAACTCAGAATGGTGCCTTGTACATGACCAGTGGTCTATAATATTAACTACTATTTTGTTATTATTATTCACGGCTGCTATGGCCTGAATGCTTGTGTCCCTCCAATATTCATTTGTTGAAATCTAACTTTCACTCTGTTGCTTTTAAGAGGTGGTGCATTTGGGAAGTGACTATGGCATGCAGGCAAAGCGCTCATGAATGGGATTAGTGCCTTAATAAGAGAGGCCTGAGGGAGCTTGTTTAACTCTTTCCACCATGTGAGGACCAGCAAGAAAGAGACATCCATGAGGAATGGGGCCCTCACAAGACTCCAAATATGCTGGTGCCTTGACCTTGGACTTCCATGACTCCAGAACTGAGAGAAATATATTTTTGCTGTTTTAAGTTACCCAGTTTAAGGTATCTGGTGGTAGCAGCCCAAATGGACTCAGACGATAGCATAGTTGACATTTTTACTCCAGACAAAAGAGCCAGGCCTGGTGTCCCTCCCTGTGTGTCCTCTGTCTTTCTCATCAGCCACATAAGCATTGACCTGTGGTCCTGACAGGGTCCTGCACTCTGCCACAAAATAAGGATTCACACCAGAAATATAAAGCCATGAGCAAGACAGTCCCTGTCCCCATCACAGAAATGGAAAGACGCCTGCCAGTTCTGCTACCACCTGCACCAATATGTGACTCAACATTTTTCTTTTAAATGATTCCTATTTCCTTAGATATATTTATATGAAAAGCAAACTCATTAGCGCTACTGAAAAAAGAATCAATTTAACTTCCAGACATAGAAGGTTGCCATGAAATTCTCCTTATTCATACCCCTCTGCATCCCTGTTTTGCTTCCAGGACTGACCTTGATGCTTGGTTTTGTTTAAAGATTTCAAACAGTAAAGAGACGAATATACCTAGGTCAGACGGAAGCTTCATCAGTGCCCTCTCTCCCTTGGGAAGCTGACAGGACTCAGACCCAGCAGTATCATTTCCTAGCCCTCTGACCACGGGCTAGTGGCTTGAACTCCTTGTACTGTCATTGTCCAGATTAGGAATATGGGTTCATAAATAGAATGTGTGTCCCTTTTGGGTTGCTGTGAGGGTTCAAAGATTGAAAGTGATTAAACAGGGCCTAACATGGATTAATGTTATGTACAATAATAGGAATATGGAAGGAAATTGCTTTCTAATTTCATCCAGGATCTGCATGTCACCTTCAATGATCCCTCTTCTGGGGACATCCCACATTTTCCGAATGGCCATCCTGTCGTAGGGCGGCCAGCTAGGCTGTGGGGAGACCCTGGAGAGATTTATGCAAAGGAGGACCTGGACAAATATCCCCATTCAGCTTCTCAAGAGTGGAGAATGGAAGGGAGGGAGACAGAGCCCTGTGTCTCTGTCCTGTTGCTGTGCACAGGAGAAATGTGACTGAGGGACCGAGGTGGGGACATACTCAGGCAAGGTGGGAAATCCAAAGGTCACAGCCTCCACCAGTCCTTTGCACACAACTCTCTCCCTGTGCTCCCGCTGCTGCTGATCCTGAAAGTTGAACACGGGGCTGGGGTTGCACACGGTATCCAGGGAAGGTAACGATGATAACAGTCCTGAGTCAGGCCAGGTCACTGCTCATGGCCCAGGCATGGACCACGGGCAGTGCAGACTCAGCAGGGGTGAGTGCAAGGGCCAGGGCGGGGCCTCTGCACCCCACCACCTCCCCCGACTATAAAGGGAGCAGCCAGCTCCTGGGCTCCATCACACCTTCCTCCTGCCCTGACTTCTCATATCTTGCCTAGGAACTCCAGGCTTGTCTTGGCTCCAAATGGATCCCAACTGCTCCTGCACCACAGGTAAGGGACGCCTGGCTCTGGGCCTTGAGATGCCCATTCCCGGCCACTGTACACAGTGTCCCTGGGTTAGAGAAGGTTGCATTATGAGATGTGAGTTGAAGGGAACTCGTTTACTTTTGCCAGTGCTTTCCTCTTGCCCAAGCTCCTGTGAGCATCTCCCTCCTCTGTGCTTGTAAGTCAGAGTTGGGGATTCTGAGGATCGAGGCTGTCCTGCTCCATGTCACCCACCTAGTCAGGGGGCTGCTGGCTGCGCCCCAGTGCTCTGCTCTAACTCTGAGCAGCCGGGAAGGGTGAGAGGTGGGGGACATAGCCTCTTCAGAGTTCAACACAGAAGGTTTTGGCCTCCAGCCCCAGTCTTCCTGGACTGTGTGTGGAGCTGGGACCTTCCTGATGGGGTATATAAAGAAGGGTGCTTGCCCTTCCCAGCCTGAGTGGAGAGGACATGGGGCTTCTGTTCCTCCGCTCTGAGTGGGAAAGGAGCTCTGATGGCTGGCCCTGCACAGAGGATGGCGCACTGGACACTCATGGACTCACTGCTGTACCTTCTGCATCTTACTCACTGCCCACTGCCTTTTTCGCTTCCTTGCAGGTGGCTCCTGTGCCTGCGCCGGCTCCTGCAAGTGCAAAGAGTGCAAATGTACCTCCTGCAAGAAGTGTGAGTGTGGGATCATCTCCAGGAATCTGGGGCTGTGGCTAAGCTTGGAAGGGAACACAAGGCTGGCCCTGAGTGCATGCTTTTGGGAACTGGTCTTCCTTTGCCCCTGTTGGCTGTGTCATTCCCTCTCCAGGCTTTCTGCTCTGAGCTCAGATGGGTCAGGGCAGACTTTTTCTATTGGGACACAAACCTCAAATGTACCATCAGAACACAGCTGTGCCAGCCTAAAAATGCATCCTCTGGGTGTGGGGGCTGAACTTCAGCCAGGCTTGCTGTTGGGACAGAGAGGTTCCTGGTCAAGTCAGCTGTGACCTCTCACTCTCCCCTTCTTCCCCAGGCTGCTGCTCTTGCTGCCCCGTGGGCTGTGCCAAGTGTGCCCAGGGCTGTGTCTGCAAAGGCTCATCAGAGAAGTGCCGCTGCTGTGCCTGATGTTGGGAGAGCCCTGCTCCCAGACATAAATAGAGCAACCAGTACTAACCTGGATTTTTTTTTTTAACTACCCTGACCGGTTTGCTACATTCTTTTTTCTATTCAATATGTGAAAGACAATAAAACACTTTTGACTTGATTCTGACTCTCCTTTTCCTTTCTGTGGCTTGGAAATAACAGTTGGAGTGGGGGATTGAACTGGGAATTTAAAGACCTGGTTCTGGATGGAAATGTGAGCCCCTATAGTCTGAATACCTTCAGGCAAGCCCGGTTACCTCCCTGAGCTCCATCTTCTGTAAAATGGAACTGCACTGTGTGGGATCACATGACGGGGTTGGGGGGACATGCATGATCGCCTCGGGTCATGTCAAATGTGCAAATGTGGCAGAGAAACTTCTCCATTTCTCATTTTTATTTTCTGATTTCCCTGCTCAGCTTCAGTCCCTCATCAGATTTTAGGCTTGAAAGTGATGACGGGGTGGAATCCAACTCCTCAGTTGCTTGAGCTCTACACGGGGCTTCTCGAACTCCACAGTGAAGAAACATTTTCTAATTCCAATCCATCCCAGGCCTAAACCTTTGTAAATAAAATAATATTAATTACAGATATAATGAAATCAAACACAAAATACAGAAACCATTTTAAGATTCAACAGGAAACATTTCAATAAGTATACACAGAAATAACAGGAAAATGAGAGATTCACAAACTTTGCCCATATTTTGCTTATGTGCATTGCAGACTGGAATCAGCAGACTGGTCCCAGGGTGTGGCTCACACACCTTGAGCAGCACTGCCCAGCACGTCCCCACAGGAACCATCAGGCTTGGCCTGCCTAGTGTCACTGACAGGACACTCACTGACCCCAGAGAGCTCCCAGTTGTGACTTGGCTCTGAATCTTTTTTTTTTTTTTTTTTTTAAACGGCGTCTTGCTTTGTTGCCCAGGCTGGAGTGCAGTGGTGCGATCTTGGCTAACTGCAAGCTCCGCCTCCCAGGTTCATGCCATTCTCCTGCCTCAGCCTCCCGAGTAGCTGGGACTACAGGCGCCCGCCACCACGCCCGGCTAATTTTTTGTATTTTTAGTAGAGACGGGGTTTCACCGTGTTAGCCAGGATGGTCTCGATCTCCCGACCTCGTGATCTGCCCGCCTCAGCCTCCCAAAGTGCTGGGATTATAGGCATGAGCCACCGCGCCCAGCCGGCTCTGAATCTTTGCAAGCTCCACCCAAGCTCAAGCTGAATTTGTTCCTCTTTCTAAATTCCAGCCTTTGCCTACTTCAAAACATCAAAGCGACTGGAGATGTGGAGGGAAATGCCCAGCATGTTCCCAGCAGGGTGCAGTGTGTGTCATCGTGGGTTGCAGAAGAAGTTCTTCGTGTCTGCCCATGCAGGGGTGATGGAGGACTCTGCGGTTTGGAGGGTGTGGTGGTGCTCATTAAGGAGTGAGTCCCTGGCTGATTTATAATAAAAGCCAACAATTAGTCCCCCTGGCTCTGTGGAGGGAATGCTATTTGATGTTCAATCAAAAAGGAAAATGAATTTCCTGGCCTAGAGATCAGGACCATGCTTACCCACTGCTTCCCTGTGAAGAGGAGATTTCAGAGGGCAGCCTGAGCCTAGGACATGGATTTTCGTGTCAGGCAGTCCTGGTTCACAGCCTGCTTCACCGCCAAAAAAAAAGTAAGATTCTCATCTCTGAAAGAAAAAAGAAAAAAAGAAGAAAAAGTTAAAAATAAATAAATAATGAGGCTTATGATTATTCTCTCTACACTCACTTTCTTTTTATTTATTTTTTAATTAATTAATTAATTTTTTTGAGATGGAGTCTCCCTCTGTTGTCCAGGCTGGAGTGCAGTGGTGGGATCTCAGCTCTCTACAGCCTCCGCCTCCCGGGTTCAAGCGATTCTCCCACCTCAGTCTCCTGAGTAGCTGGGATTACAGATGCACACCACCACGCCCAGTTAAGCTTTGTATTTTTGTAGAGGCAGTGTTTCACCCTGTTGGCCAGGCTGGTCTCGATCTCCTGATCTCAAGTGATGCGCCAACCTTGGCCTATCAAATGCTGGGATTACAGGTGTGACCCACTGCACATAGCCTACACTACTTTCTTAGACAAATTCTGTTAAATCCCAACGACCTCCTGGAGAAAGGCTCATAGGTTTGGAAGCATTACTCTGGATTAGATGCTGGGAATGAGATTGCAGCCTGGTGATCCTGCCGGGAGGAATGTGGTATTGGATAAGATGCTGCTGCTTGGCATTTGTACAGACACAAAAGCCTTTCTCAGCCTTCATATCACTGGATCTTCACAGAACCTTGGGAATGAGAGCCACAGGCCTCAGAACCAGGACAGCAAATATGCAGGGCCTGGAGTGCCTGTGCTGTCTTCCAGAGTAGTTAATCAACCTGCCTAAGACCATGGAGCTCAGAAGTGAAGGGATGCATGAACCTATGTTACCCCTGGCCTGTTGTCCTGGTCACAGCTGGCAGAGCATGATCTGCTAATCACTGGATGCTATACTCTGTCTACCGTGGTTCAAATCTATAAAGATGCTTCGGGATAGACCGATTTTGCACTTGGCTTAAGAGATGAGCACTGAAGCCCAGAGAGGTCACAGAGCTGTGGAGGGGGAAAGTGACTGCCAACTGAATGTGCTTCCCACGGCTGCCTTTGGGCCAGATTTTCCGTGTCCTCATCTTTCTTGCGACTTGGTAGCATAGAGTGGTGGGTGAGGGCATGATGCTGTCATTAGCATGCATGAATGCAAATCCCGCCTCTGTCACTTTAGCTGTGCCTTGCAACCTCTCTGTGTCTCAGTCTCCTCCCCTGTAAAAGGTGCATAATAATGGCATCTGGCATGTAGGATTAAATAATTTAATACATGTAAGAAACTTGGAATGATGCCTGGCAAGTGGTGAGTAGTCTACAATATTAGCTATTGCTTCTTTAAAACAATCAATACACATAGCATAGGGGATATTTGTTCATTCACAGACAGAGCAGCCAGGCCTGGAATGCCTAGCTGTGTATGCTGTCATTGTCATCTACCACTCAAACACGGGTCCTGTGGACCTGAGAGTTATTCACTGTTCCCACAAAAATGTCATCAACACAGGGTTAAAAAGCTATGAGCAAGATGCTGTGCCTCATGTCACAAATAGAATGACAGCCATTTCTGCTGCCATGTGCACATTTTATTTATCATTTCACATTGAAATGATTAATACTTTCTTAAATATATTTTTATGAAAGCAAACTCTCTTCCACCACCAAAAATGAAAATCAGTCTTATCCATATGTAGAAGATAGCCAGAAAAGTATATATGTGTGCATGTGTATGTATGTATATATATATGCTTATTACACTTATGGATTGCTTTTGTCATTGCCCATGGTTGAGCTGGCGACTTTGTCATTATTATTATTATTATTACTATTTTGAGACAGAGTCTCTCTCTGTCACCCAGGCTCGAGTGCAGTGGCACAATTTTGGCTCACTGCAACCTCAGCCTCCCAAGTAGCTGGGATTACAGGCTCGTGCCACCACGCCTGGCTAATTTTTGTATTTTTAGTAGAGATGGGGTTTTGCCATGTTGGCCAGGCTGGTCTTGAACTTCTGGCCTGCAGTGATCTGCCCACCTCAGCCTCCCAAAGTGCTGGGATTACAGGCGTGAGCCACGGTGCCCGGCCTGACTTGTTATTATTTAAAAGATTTCAAGCCATAGGGAAGTCCAGCAATAGAGAAGACATAGCTGGGCCTTATTTCAGAGAATTTCTCCTGAGAGGCTGGCTGGATTCAAATCAGTGCACAGCTTTTTAGCTCTGTGACGATGAGCACGTTGCTTGAACTTTCTTTGTTGTAGGTGTCCATTTATTAATATGGGTTCATGCCTAGTATTTCCCTTTACAATTGTTGTAAAGGTTCAAACAATGAAAATGATTAAAAGGAGACTGGCACAGACTCAACCTTAAGCAATTGCTAGTAATATTGAAGGGAATTAACCACTTGTCTTTCTTACTTCTTATGTTAAGTTTTTCTTTTTCTTTTTCTTTTCTTTCTTTTCTTTTCTTTTTTTTTTTTTTTTTTTTTTTTTTTTTTTTTTGAGAGGGAGTTTCACTCTTGTTGCCCAGGATGGAGTGCAAAAATGGTGCGATCTCGGCTCACCGCAAACTCCGCCTTCAGTGATCTCGCTTCTGGGGGCATCCCATATTTTCCAAACTGCCATCCTATAGTGGGGTGCCCGTCGAGGCTGTGGGGAGACCCCGGAGAGATTTATGCAAAGGAGGACCCAGACAAATGTGCCCATTCAGCCTCTCAAGAGTGAAGAATGGAAGAGAGGGGGGCAGAGCCCTGTGTCTTCCGTGTTGCTGTGCGCAGGAGAAACATGGCCAAAGGACTGAGGTGGGGTGACAGGGACAGGCAATGCTAGAGATCCGAAGGTCACATCCTCGGCCTGTCCTTTGCACACTACTCCCTTGCTAGGCTCCCTGCTCCCGCCAATCTAGACAGTGGCGCAAGAGACTGGGGTTGCACTGGGACTCCAGGAAAGGCTTAGCTGTTGACGAAGGACCGGGGCGGGGCCGGGGGGCGGGGCGAAGGCCAGGATCTCCAGGTACCCGGAACCCCAAGGGGCGGGTGTAGCAGGCAATCTTGGCGAAACTGGGAAGGGCGGGCAGGAGGGCAGGGAAGCCGCTCACCCAGGCACAAAGCGCCTCCCGCTTGAGCGGACTCCAAAGGGACGGTCCGCGGTGTGCAGCGAGCTGCGCTCAGGGGACCTTGCGCCCGGCCCTTCTGCTGCACACAGCCCACCCAGGACCTCCCGCAGCGCTGACAGGCGGGGCGGGTGCAAAGACGGGGCGGGGTCTCTGCGCCCGGCCCCCTCCCCTGACTATCAAAGCAGCGGCCGGCTGTTGGGGTCCACCACGCCTTCCACCTGCCCCACTGCTTCTTCGCTTCTCTCTTGGAAAGTCCAGTCTCTCCTCGGCTTGCAATGGACCCCAACTGCTCCTGCGCCGCTGGTAAGGAACGCCGGGTTCCGTGCCTGGGGATGCTCGATTCCCAGACACCATAGAGAGTGTTCCTGGGTTTGAGAAGGTCGTATTTTGAGATCTCAACTGTAGGGGACTCCTTGACTTAGTCCAGTGCTTTCCTCTTGGCCAAGATCCTGAGAGCATTTCCTTCCTCTCTGTGCCTCTGTGTCAGCGTTGAGGGTACTGAGGCTCAAGGCTGTCCTGCTCCACGTCATGCGGTTTGTCCCAGGGCTGTTGGCTGAGCCCCAGTGCTCTGACCAGGCTTTGAGCAGCAGGATTAGATAGGAGGCAGGGGACATTGCCTCTTCGGGGTTCAGGACAGAAAGTCGAAGTCGCCGTCTTCCCAGGCTGTGCCTGGAGCCTGGGACTTTCCTTTGGAGTGCAAACAGGAGGCTGCTTGGCCTTCCCAGCATGAAGGGAGAGGACATGGGGCTTCTCTTCCTCTGCTCTGAGTGGGAAAGGAGCTCTGAGGGCTGGCCCCGCACAGAGGAGGGGGCAATGGAGACTCATTAACTCACTGCTGTACCTCCTGCAGGTCACTCGCCGCTCACTGGCTTTTTTTTCTCTTTCTCGCAGGTGTCTCCTGCACCTGCGCTGGTTCCTGCAAGTGCAAAGAGTGCAAATGCACCTCCTGCAAGAAGAGTGAGTGTGAGGCCATCTCCATGGTCTGGGGCTGTGGCTAAGGTTGGGATGGAACCCAAGGCTGGCCCTGAGTGCATGCTTCTGGGGAACTGGCCTTCCTTTGTCCCCGTAGGTTGTCACTGCCTTTCTAGTCTTCTGCCCTGTGCAGGGCGCCTGGGCAGCTTTCTCATAGGAAGACCCACCCCAGATATTTCCCAGTTGTCTCCTGACAAAGCCATACCCTCCTGAACTGAGGGTCCTTTGTGGCTGGAGGCTCTGTTGGGGGCCTCTGTTGGGGAGGGAGGTCCCTGGGCAAGTTGGCTGTGACCTCTCATGCTCCTCTTCTTCCCCAGGCTGCTGCTCCTGCTGCCCCGTGGGCTGTAGCAAGTGTGCCCAGGGCTGTGTTTGCAAAGGGGCGTCAGAGAAGTGCAGCTGCTGCGACTGATGCCAGGACAACCTTTCTCCCAGATGTAAACAGAGAGACATGTACAAACCTGGATTTTTTTTTTATACCACCTTGACCCATTTGCTACATTCCTTTTCCTGTGAAATATGTGAGTGATAATTAAACACTTTAGACCTGATTCTGACTTCAGTTTCCCTTATGTGCTTCAGAAATCAGAGACTGGGGTGGGGGATCGAACTAGGGTTGCAGACTCCTGGGCTCTAAATGGAAATCTGAGTCCCTAACAATCAGAGTGCATTAAGGCAAGCCAGGCTGCCTCACTGTGCTTCCTCTTCTGTAGAATGGAATAACACTTCATCAGGTCATTGGTGGGGATCCAGAATACAGGATCACCTTCATTCTCAAATGTGGCACAGAAACTTCTCAATGCCTCCTGTTCCTTCTCTGATTTCTCTGCCCAACTTCAATTCCTCTTTGGATTTCAGGTTAGAAAGTGACTACACGGAATGGAATCAAACCCCTTAGTTATTTGAATTCTACACCGGGCTTCTCAAACTCCAGGGTGAAGGAGGGGTTTTTAATTCCTATCCATTCCACATCTAAACCTTGGTAAATGAAATAATACTAATGATGGAAGTCATGAAATTAAATTCAATATACAAAATCTGGCCGAGCAGGATGACTCACACCTATAATCCCCATACTTTGAGAGGCTCAAAAGGGAGGATCACTTGACACCAGGAGTTTGAGACCAGCCTTGGCAACATAGGGAGACCCTTGTCTCTAAATAAATAAATAAACACTTAACAAGGTGTGGTGGAGCAAGTCTGTAATCGTAGCTACTTGGAGGCTGAGGCAGGAGAATCCATCTAGCTCAGGAATTGAAGGCTGCAGTGAGCCATGTTTGCACCATTGCATCGCAGTCTGGGTGACAGAAGGAGACCTCATAAAAAAAATTACAAAATCCATTTTTAGACTCAACAGGAAAAAGTTCAATAAATATAAAAAGAAATACCAGGAAAATTACAACTTTATAAACTATGTATATGTTGATGGATGCCGTGCACTGCAGACTGTAAACAGCAGACAGGCCCTAGTGTGTAGATTACACACTTTGAGCAGCAGTGGTCATGACATCCTGACAAGGAACCATCAGTCCTGGCTGGCCCAGTGTCACCAACAGGACACTCTCTGACCCCTGAGTGCGCCCTGTAGTGACTTGTGTCTGAATCTTTGGCAGTTTCTCCCAAGATTAAGCTATTTTTGTTCTTTAAATTCCAACCTTCATTAATTCAGGGCAGCAAAGTGACTGGAGATGTGGAGGAAAGCGTCATCTCGGCAACGCAGAGTCATGAGAAGGACTGGGTGCAGATGAAGGATGTTGAGTGTGCTGATGCAGTGGTGATGGCATATTCTGCAGTTGGAAGGTGTGTTGCTGTTCAAGAAGGAGAGAGGAGTCACCCTGGTGACTGGTAGTTAGGCCAACAGTAGGTTCCACTGGCTACTGGTTCGAGAATTGCTATCTGATGTTCAATCACAGAGGAAGAGGAGTTAAGTGGCCCAGGAGTCAGGACCATGCTTGCCCGCAGGTGCCCTTTGTGAAGAGGGCATTTCAGAAGGCAGCGTGGGTCATGTGCAAGTTTGGGTGTCACATAACCAGATTCACAGCCCACTTCACACCTTCCTGGCTGTGTAGCTGGCACAAGTCACTTAACCTCTCTGTGCCTCCATTTCCTCACTTGTAGAAAGCAGATTATAAATATATGTAGGGATTAAATGTGATAGTGCCCTGGTACCTGGCTCGGGCTTAATAAACAGTGCTGTTATAATCATTTGTCCACGTGCACTTCCTGGAGATAGAATCCTGTTACATCTCATCAAGCTCCTTGGGTAACACTAATCTGCCTGGAGGTATTATGTGGACTGGAAGTTGAGGATGGGTCTCTTGTTGATCTGGTCTTAAGGGCATGTGGATGACCTCCTGCACAAAATTGTCCAGGATGAGACACTGCTGCAGCATTTGGACAGAGAACAATCCTTTCCCACCATGTTGAGTATAAAAAGTAGACTTTGTTTTTATATTTCATACTAATTCATTTTAGTTTATTTTGCCAAAGCTTAGGTCTGTTACAGATGCCCATACCATGATATCTCTTACGTGCTATCCCCAACCCCTCCCTTCCTCCCTCTGCGCACCATCGCCACCAGCTTTGCCTCTCTGGGGTCCGTGTGCAGCTCCATCCTCTTGCTCACCTTCTACACTGGCTGTAGCAGGGAGCGGAGCTAGTGAGCAGTGTGCAGATGAGCCACGGTGGAGGTGACTTGCTTCTCCCTCACCCTCCCCTCTCATTGTCTGTCCTTCTTCCCACCTAGGACCCTCAAAATCGTTTCCGCTGCAGACAGAATGTGGCAACCAAGGGTCGGCCTCTCTCTCTGTTCCTTCGATGCTCCTCCTCTGAGGTGATGGTGGGCACATTTGTCAGTTTCCTCCTTTTCATATAGTTCTCCTGGACTATCCCAGGCCTGCCAGCCACCCCACTGCAGGATGGCAGTTTTGAAAATGAGGGGCACCCTCCAAAGAGGATGACTTTGGGTGACATGCAGACCCTGCGGTCAATCAAGGAGAGTAGTGGGTATTTCTCTTCAATGTTCTTATCATGTAACATTTAGAACGTGCCAGGCCTCTTTAAATCATTCATTCCTTGAACACTCCCAATAATCCTAAAGGGAAATGCTATTTATGAACCCATTTTACTAATCTGACAACTATAACAAGAGGTTTAAGTAACTTGCTCAACATCAGAGAGCTGAAAACTTATCACTGATTTAAATCTAGCCAGCCTCTCAAGAGAAGCTGTCCATGATCAAGCTTTCCTTTGGCCCAGGTATGTCGTCAGCACTTTTCTATTGCTGGAAATCTTTTTTTTTTTTTTTTTGAGACGGATTCTCCCTGTGTCGGCCAGGCTGGAGTGCAGTGGCTCCATCTCAGCTCACTGCAACCTCAATCTCGGCTCACTGCAACCTCCGTCTCCCAGGCTCAAGCAATTCTCCTGCCTAAGCCTCCAGAGTTAGCTGGGACTACAGGCGTGTGCCAAGATGATGCTTGACTCTGAGCTGGCGCAGGTGCAGGACCCACCTGCAGGGAAGAGAAAAAGGCAGTGAGCAGTGAGTGTGGTGCAGGGTTAGGAGCAGGCCCTCAGCATCCTCATGCTCAGTGCATGGGAAACCTGGTACCTTGTTCTGCTCAGGCACACGGAAGCCCAGCCCCATCTTTTCTCCACACAGGTTGTGATAGGCAGGCGCCCTCCTAATTTTACTCCACAAGGCCTTATGTCAGGAATCCTTAAGAGGCAATGCTCCCTGCCTCCCATCCACTTCAGGCAGCTCTAATGCGGGACAGAGCACTGGGTCCCAGCCCAGGACCCTACTGGCTATCTGGGTGACCCGGAGCAGGGCAGTTTTGAGCCTCAGTCCTCTAGCCTCAGAAATGGAAGGCACTGGGAAGATGACAACAGTCTAAGTGGTGATGAAGGCGCTTGGCAGGAAGAAAGCACCGGAAGTGCAAAGTAAAGGAGGCCACTTTAGGGAGAGCTAACATGCACCTCCCTCCTGCCCCGGGGACATTCCATCCTCTGGAATGAAAATGGAGATCCTAAGGCCCGAAACCCGGTATCTCTTACTAGTGGAGCAGGAGCACTTGGGGTACATTTCGAGCCGAGGTGAGGCTGGGGTTTCTAAGGGAGGGGCGTAGAAGCAGTGGGGCAGGTGGGAGGCATGGTGGATTCCATGAAGCGGGCGATCAATTTATAGTTAGAGGAGGGGGCCGGGTGCAGAGCACCCCCTCCCCCACCCCCACGCGGAATCCGCGGCGCCTGCGGTCCTGGGTTGGGATGTGCGCAGCAGGCGAGTCGGGAGCACCATCCCCTGAGCGCAACCTGGTGGGCCCCCTGGGGCCGCCCCTTTGGCGCCCGCTAGTGCGGGAGGGGCTATGCTCCCGGAGGTACGTGGCGCCCCTGCCACCCTGAGAGCTATTTTCTATTCCCAGGTGGTCGCGTTATCCTCATCCCCCGCCCTGCACCTTCGTCATCAGCTTTGCCTCTCCCGTGTCCGTGTGTAGCTCCATCCTCGTGCTCGCCTTCTTCATTGGCGGAAGCTGGGAGCCGAGAGAGTGAGCCGTGCGCAGATGTGCGGCGGTGGAGGTGGCTTTTGTTTCTCCTCCGCGCCCCCTCCCCCCCCGCCCCGCACATTGCCTGTCGCTCTTCCCACCTAGGACCCTCAAACTGGTTCCCCCTGTACACAGAACCTGGCGACCACGGATCATCCCCTCTCTCTTCCTTCGATGCGATCATATAACATTTAGATTTTGCCAGGCCCCTTTAAATCATTGCTTCTTTGAACCCTCCCAACAATCCTAAAGGGAAATACTGTTTATGAACCCGTTTTACTAATCTGACAATTATAGCATAAAGTTTAAGTAACTTGCTCAACATCACGGAATGGAAAAGTTGTCACTGATTTGAATCCAGCCAGCCTCTCAAGAGAAAGTGTCGATGATCAAGCCTTCCTTTGGCCCAGGTATGTCATCAGCATTTCCCTATTGCTGGAAATCTTTTAAACAATGTCAAGCCACAAGCTGAACCATAAGCCGTGACAAAAGCAATCTATAACTGTAATATATATACACACACATACAACACACATTTATACTTCTTCTGACTATCTTCTATGTGTGGAATAAGACTGATTTTCATTTTTGCTGCGGGAAAAGAGTTTGCTTTAAATGAAAACATATTTAAGAAAATATTAATAACTTCAATATTGTATGTTAAATACAGTGACTGGGAGGGCAGAAATGATATTCTTTTTGATCTGACATGAGGCATGGAATCTTGTTTATACGTTTACATCCCTAGTGTTAGCGAATGTCCCTTTGACCACAGGACACATGTTCATGTAGTAGATGAGAATAACAAGATACACAAGTGAGAACATCTGGCCTGGCTGCTTTGTCTGTGAGTAAATAAATATCCCTCATGCTATGTATAATGAGAAAAAAAAAGCAACAGTTATTGTTATAGATGACTTACCCCTTGCCAGGCACCATTCTAAGTTCCTTACATGAATTAAATCATTTAATTTTACAAGCCAGATACTATTATCCTCCAGTTGATAAGACTGAGACACAGAGGTTGTGTCACACACAAAGTGGCAGAGGTGGGATTTGCACTCACGCAGGCTGACTGCAGCATCGTGCCCTTACCCCATGCTCTATGCCACCAAGTCAATACAAGGATGAGGATGCTGAATGTCTGGCCGTGAGGCAGCTTTGGAAGCACATTGAGTTGGCAGTCAGATCGCTGTGCATAGCCATGGACCTCTCTGGGCTTCAGTTCCTATCTCTCAAGCCAAGAGCAAAATTTGTTCATCTCCAAAGTCCTTTATAGCTTTGAACAGAGATTGGCAGGGTTTGGCATCTAGGGATGCCATGATCTGCCAGCTGTGGGCAGGGCCAGAGGCCAGCCTTACCATAGGTTCATCCATCCCTTTCCTTCTCAGCTGTGTGGCATTGGGGAGGTTGCTTAATTCCTCTGAAAGATGACTCAAGCACACCAGCCCCTGAATATTTTCTGTCCCTGTCCTGAAGCTTGTGACCTTCATTCAACAGGTTACATGAAGGTCAAATGACATGAAGAATGGGAAAGGATTTTATGAGTGTTCAAATGTTGGGGGAGCGTCTTATCACAGAGGACTTTCTGCAGGAGGACATCCACACTCCTCCTGTCACTGGATCAGCCAGGTATGCAACCACTTCACAGCATCCCACCCAGAGCAATGCTTCCAAACCAATGAGCCTTTCTCCAGGAGTGAGTTAGGATTTAATGGTATCTTTTTCCAAGAAAGTCAGTGCAGAGAGAATGATCATAATCACCATTGTTTATTAAAGCCTAGGCAGCAGCCAGGCCACTCTCTTATTTTCTTTTTTTCTTTTCCTTTTTTTTTTTTGAGACAGAGTCTCATTCTGTTGCATAGCCTGGAGTGCAGTGGCACAATCTTGGCTGACTGCAGCCTCTATATCCTGGACTTAAGCAATCTTCCCATCTCAGCCTCCAGAGTAGCTCAGACAGACACAGGCCACCAGAGCCATATAATTTTTGTATTTTTTGTAGAGACGGGGTTTCTCCATGTTGCCCGGGCTGGTCTCAAACTCCTGGGCTCAAACAGTCTCCCTACTTCTGCCTCCCAAAGTGCAGGTATTACAGGCATGAGCCACTATGCCCGGCCCACACTCTCATTTAATCCCTGCATTGAGATATAATCTCCTTTCTACAAATGAGGCACTAGATGCTCAGAGAGTGTGGGTGACTTGCCCAAACCACACAGCCAGTAAGTGGTGGAGTGGGCTGTGAAATAAGACTCCCTGACACCTAAAACTATGCCCTAGGGGCAGGCTGCCTTCTGAAATCATTTCACAAGGAAGCAACAGGTAAGTGTGGTCCTGACTTCTACACAAGGAGATTCATCTTCCTCTTTGACTGAACATCAAATAGCATTCCCTCCACAAGTGGAGGGACTAACTTGTCATTAACAAGACATCCAGGGACTCTTTCTTTCCTAAGGAACATCACCACACTCAGCCAGCTGCACAATCTGCCATAGCTGTGTTCTGAGAACTTCTGTAAACAAAGTAATATTAATTATGGAGATGATGAAATCACAATCAAAATTCCAAACTAAGTTCATCTGCAACCCACGATCACACTACATCTTGGCGGGAATATGCTGGTTTGAAGTAGTCAAGGGCTGGAGTTTGAAAGAGGAACAAATGAAGCCTGACCTTGGGAGGAACTTCCAAAGATTCTGAGCCAACTCCCAACAGGGAGCTCTCAGGATTCAGCGAGTGTCCTGAGTGTGCTGTCTGTCTGTGACGCCGGCTAGGCCAAGCCTGATGGTTCCTCATGAGAATGTCCTGGCCTGTGCTGCTGAAGGTGTGGTCCACAGTGGGGTCAGTCTGCTGTTTCCAGTCTCCAATGCAACTCATCCATGAACATATGTGCAGAGTTTGTAAACCTTCCATTTTTCTGTTATTTCTGTATGTATTTATTGATTTTTTTGTGTAAAATGTAAAACATGGGTTCTGTATTTTGTGTTTCATTATCTTCATAGTTAATATTACTTTATTTACAAAGGTTTAGGTCTGGGATGGATAGAAAATGAAAACTGTCCCTTCACCGTGGAGTTTGAGAAGCCCCGTGGAGGATTCAAGTAATTTAGGCATTGGAATCCACCTCCTGTGGTCACTTTCAAGCCTAAAATCCGCGGAGGATCTGAACTTGGGCAGGGAAACCTGAGAATAAACATGAGGAATGGAGAAGTCTCTGTACCACGTTTAATGAGTGGAGCTGATCGCGTATGTCCCCATCCCCATATCATCCAGCACAGTGCAGGTGCCTTTTACAGAAGATGGAGGTCAGTGATGTAACGGGGCTTGCCTGAAGGCGCTCAGACTGTTCAGCACTCACATTTCCATCCAGAGCCCAGTCTAAACTCCCAGTTCAATCTCCCACCCCAGTCCCTCATTCCAAAAACACAACAGGAACCAGAACGGGAATCAAGTCTAAGTGTTTAATTATTATTCACATATTTCACAGAAAAAAAGGAATGTAGCAAAGGGGTCAAGATTGTAGCAAAAAACAAAAAATCCTGGATTTTACGGGTCACTCTATTTGTACTTGGGAGCAGGGCTGTCCCGACATCAGGCGCAGCAGCTGCACTTCTCCGATGCCCCTTTGCAGATGCAGCCCTGGGCACACTTGGCACAGCCCACAGGGCAGCAGGAGCAGCAGCCTGGGGAGGAAAGGAGATTGAGAGGTCAGAGCAGACTCGATCAGAGAACTCCCTGCCCCAACAGAGGCCTGTCTCCATCCCTCCAGCCCCAGAGGACCCTTAGTTCATGATGGCATGGTTTTTGTCAGGAGACAACTGGTGGACATTGGAATGGGTCTTCCTTTGAGAAAGCTGCCCCACCTCACATAAGCCCTGGAAAGTGCAGAAGACTAGACAGGCAGTGACAACCTACAGGGACAAAGGAAGGCCGGTTCCCCAGAAGCACGCACTCAGGGACAGCCTTGGGTTCCCTCCCAACCTTAGCCACAGCCCCAGATTCCTGGAGATGGCCCCGCACTCACTCTTCTTGCAGGAGGTGCATTTGCACTCTTTGCACTTGCAGGAGCTGGCGCAGGTGCAGGAGACACCTGCTAGAAGAGAAAAAGCCAGTGAACGGTGAGTGAGATGCAGAAGGTACAGCAGTGGGTCAATGAGTGTCCACTTCCCCCTTCTCTGTGCAGAGCCAGCCCTCAGAGCTCCTTTCCCACTCAGAGCAGAGGAAGAGAAGCCCCATGTCCTCTCCATTCATGCTGGGAAAACCAAGCACCCTCCTATTTCTACTCCAAAGGAAAGTCCCAGGCTGCAGACATGGCCCAGGAAGACTTCGACTTTCTGTCCTGAACCTGGAAGAGGCAATGTCCCCTCCTATCCAATGTCTCCTATCCAATCCGGTAGCTCAGAGTCAGGTTAGAGAATTGGGGCTCAGCCAGCAGCCCTGTGACCAACCAGGTGACGTGGAGCAGGACAGCCTTGAGCCTCAGGACCCTCAACTCTGACATAGAGGAACAGGGAGGAGGAAAATGCCCTCAGGAGCTTGGCCAACAGGAAAGCACTGGACCAATAAAGGAGTCCCCTTTACCTCTGATAGCAAAATACGACCTCCTCAAACCCAGGGACACTCTCTATGGTGTCTGGGAATTTGGCATCCCAAGGCACAGAACCCGGGCGTCCCTTACCAGCGGCACAGGAGCAGTTGGGGTCCATTGCAACCCGAGGCGAGACTAGAGTTCCCAAGCGAGAAGGGAAGAGGCAGTGGGTGCACGTGGAAGGCGGAGTGGAGCCCAACAGCCAGCGGCTGTTTTTATAGTCAGGAGACGGGGCCGGGCGCAGACGCCCCGCCCCGCCCTTGCACCCAGCCCGCTGAGTCCGCACCGCCCGCGGTCCCGGCCTGGGCTGTGCGCAGGAGATGGGCCAAGTGCAAGGTCCCTTGAGCGCAGCTGGGCGCACACCGCAGGACGGCCCCTTTCGCACCGGCTCGCGAGGGAGGCGCTGTGCCCCCCGTGTGCGGCTTCTCTCACCCTGCCAGGCCTTCCCAGCTTCCCTGAGGTTGCCTGCTACACCCGCCCCTTGGCGTTCCGCCTACCCCAGTATTCTGGCTTTCCCCTCACCTTCACCAACGCCCAGGTCTCTAGTCAATAGCTAAGCCTTTCCTGGAGTCGAGGGCAACCCCAGTCTTGTGCTCCACTTTCTGGATCTGCCAAAGCGGGGAGCATAGCAAGGGAGTAGTGTGCAAAGGGCAGGCCAAGGGTGCGAACTTCGCATCTCTGGCAGTATCCGCCCTGTCCCCGTTCCCACCTCAGTCCTTTGGTCACGCTTCTCCTGTGCTCAGTAACACGGAAGAAACAGTGATCTGCCTCTCTCTTCTATTCTCCACTCTTGAGGAGCTGAATGGGCCCATTTGTCCAGGTCCTCCTTTGCATAAATCTCTCCAGGGTCTCCCCACAGCCTAGCCGGGTACCCCACTACAGGATGGCAGTTTGGAAAGTGTGGCAAGTCCCTAGAAGAGGGATCATTGAAGGTGATATGAAGATCCTGCATTAAATTAGAAAGCAAGAGCGCTGGTTATTTTTCCTTCCATATTCCTATTACTCTATGTTACACGGGTCTGTGTTTGGCCCTGTTTAATCACTTTCTGTCTTTGAACCCTCACAGCAACCCTAAAGGGACATGAGTCCTTTTCACGAACCCGTATTCCTAATCTGGACAATGACGAGGAGTTCAAGCCACTAGCCCAGGGTCAGGGAGCTGGGAAGTGGCACTGCTTGGTGTGAATCCTGTCAGCTTCCCTAGGTAGAGAGGTCAGTGATGAAGCTTCTCTATGGCCTAGGTATGTTTATCTCTTCACTGCTTGAAATCTTTCAACAAAACCAAGCATTACAGTCAGTCCTGGAAGCAAAACAGAGACATAGAGGGATATGAATAAGTATACTTTGATGGGAGGGAGGCAGGGTCCTGTGTCTTCCGTGTTGCTGTGCACAGGAGAAACGTGGCCGAAGAACTGAGGTGGGGACGGGGACAGGAACAGGCAATGCCAGAGATCTGAAGGTCGCATCCTCGGCATGTCCCTTGCACACTACTCCCTCGCTGTGCTCTCTGCTCCCACCAATCCAGACAATTGAACAAGAGACTGGGGTTGCACTGGGACTCCAGGAAAGCCTTAGCTGTTGACAGGGGGTGGGCAGGCCCCGGGGTGTGGGGCGCAGGTCAGGATCTCGGGGCACGCGGAACGCCAAAGGGCGGGAGTAGCAGGTAATCTCAGGGAACTGGGCAGGCCCGGCAGGGTGAAACAAGCAGCTCACCCGGGTGCACAGCCCCTCCCGCGGGAGCCGCTGCGAAAGGGCCGTCCCCGCGGTGTGCACCGACCTGCGCTCAGGGTACTTTGCGCCCGACCCGTCTGCTGCGCACAGCCCAGCCCAGGACCGCGGGCGGCTCGGACTCAGTGGGTCGGGTGCAAGGGTGGGGCAGGGTCTCTGCACCCGGCTCCCTCCCCTGACTAGAAAAGGAGCTGCCAACTGTTGCGCTCCACCACGCCCTCCACGTGTTCCACTGCCTCTTCTCTTCTCGCTTGGGAACTCCAGTCTCACCTCGGCTTGCAATGGACCCCAACTGCTCCTGCGAGGCTGGTAAGGAACGCCCGGGTTCTGTGCCTTAGGATGCCAAATTCCCAGACACCATAGAGAGTGTCCCTGGGTTTGAGGAGGTCATATTTTGCGATCTGAGCTGAAGAGGACTTCTTTACTTCCTCCGCTGCTTTCCTCTTGGCCAAGCTCCTGAGAGCATGTCCCTCTTCCCTGTGCCTCTATGTCAGAGTTGAGGGTCCTAAGGCTCAAGGCTGTCCTGCTCCACATCACCCCGTTGGTCACGAGGCTGCTGGCTGAGCCCCAATTCTCTAACCAGGCTCTGAGCAGCCGGATTGGATGGGAGGCATTGGATAGGTGGGGACATTGCCTCTTCAGGGTTCAGCACAGAAAGTCGAAGTCGCAGTCTTCCCGGGCTGTGCCTGGAGCCTGGGACTTACCTTTGGAATACAAACGGAGGGTGCTTGGTTTTCCCAGCATGAATGGAGAGGAGATGGGTCTTCTCTTCTTCTGCTGAGTGGGAAAGGAGCTCTGACGGCTGGCCCTGAACAGAGAAGGGGGAAGTGGACACTCATTGACCCACTGCTGTAACTTCTGCATCTCACTCACAACACACTGGCTTTTTCTATTCCTTGCAGGTGGCTCCTGCGCCTGCGCCGGCTCCTGCAAGTGCAAAAAGTGCAAATGCACCTCCTGCAAGAAGAGTGAGTGCGGGGCCATCTCCAGGAATCTGGGGCTGTGGCTAAGGTTGGGAGGGAACCCAAGGCTGGCCCTGAGTGCCTGCTTCCTTTGTCCCCCTAGGCCGTCACTGCCTTTCCAGTCTTCTGCTCTGTCCAGGGCTCCTGTGGGGCTGGGCAGTCTCTCATAGGAAGACTCACCCCAATATCCACCAGTCGTCTCCTGAAAAAGCTGTGCCATCCTGAACTAAGGATCCTCTGGGGCTGGAGTCTGAGCTTGAGCCAGGCCTGCTGTTGGGAGAGGGAGCTCCCTGGTCAAGTCTGCTGTGACTTCTCTCTCCCTTTTTCCCCAGGCTGCTGCTCCTGTTGCCCCCTGGGCTGTGCCAAGTGTGCCCAGGGCTGCATCTGCAAAGGGGCGTCAGAGAAGTGCAGCTGCTGTGCCTGATGTCGGGACAGCCCTGCTGTCAGATGAAAACAGAATGACACGTAAAATCCAGGATTTTTTTTTTCTACAACTCCGACTCATTTGCTACATTCCTTTTTTTCTGTGAAATATGTGAATAATAATTAAACACTTAGACTTGATTCCCGTTCTGGTTCCTGTTGTGTTTTTTGGAATGAGGGACTGGGGTGGGAGATTGAACTGGGAGTTTAAAGACTGGGCTCTGGATGGAAATGTGAGTGCTGAACAGTCTGAGCGCCTTCAGGTGAGCCCCATTACATCACTGACCTCCATCTTCTGTAAAAGGCACCTGCACTGTCCTGGCTCATATGGGGATGGGGACATACGCGATCAGCTCCACTCATATTAAATGTGGTACAGAGACTTCTCCATTCCTCATGTTTATTCTCAGGTTTCCCTGCCCAAGTTCAGTTCCTCAGCAGATTTTAGGCTTGAAATTGGCCACAGGAGGTGGATTCCAATGCCTAAATTACTTGAATCCTCCATGGGGCTTCTCAAACTCCACGGTGAAGGGACAGTTTTCATTTTCTATCCATCCCAGACCTAAACCTTTGTAAATAAAGTAATATTAATTATGAAGATAATGAAGCACAAAATATAGAACCCATGTTTTACATTTTACACAAAAAAATCAATAAATACATACAGAAATAACAGAAAAATGGAAGATTTACAAACTCTGCACATATGTTCATGGATGAGTTGCATTGGAGACTGGAAACAGCAGACTGACCCCACTGTGGACCACACACCTTCAGCAGCACAGGCCAGGACATTCTCATGAGGAACCATCAGGCTTGGCCTAGCCAGCATCACACACAAGACAGCACACTCAGGACACTCGCTGAACCCTGAGAGCTCCCTGTTGGGAGTTGGCTCAGAATCTTTGGAAGTTCCTCCCAAGGTCAGGCTTCATTTGTTCCTCTTTCAAGCTCCAGCCCTTGACTACTTCAAACCAGCATGCTCCTGGCAAGAGGCAATGTGATCGTGGGTTGCAGATGAAGTTATTTTGGAATTTTGATTGTGATTTCATCATTTCCATAATTACTAATACTTTATTTACACAAGTTCTCAGAATACAGCTATGGCAGATTGTGCAGCTGGCTGAGTGTGGTGATGTTCCTTAGGAAGGAAAGAGTCCCTGGATGTCTTGTTAATGACAAGTTAGTCCCTCCATTTCTGGAGGGAATGCTATTTGATGTTCAGTCAAAGAGGAAGATGAATCTCCTTGTGTAGAAGTCAGGACCACGCTTACCTGCTGCTTCCCTGTGAAGCAATTTCAGAAGGCAGCCAGCGCCTAGGGTGTAGTTTTAGTTGTCAGGCAGTCCTAGTTCACAGCCCACTCCACCACTTACTGGCTGTGTGGTTTGGGCAAGTCACCCACACTCTCTGAGCATCTAGTGCCTCATTTGTAGAAAGGAGATTATATCTCAATGCAGGGATTAAATGAGAGAGTGGGCCAGGCACAGTGGCTCATGCCTGTAATACCTGCACTTTGGGAGGCAGAGGTGGGAAGGTTGTTTGAGCCTAGGAGTTTGAGACTAGCCTGGGCAACACGGAGAAACCCCATCTCTACAAAAATTACAAAAATTAGACGATGTGATGCCATGCACCTGTGGTCCTAGCTGCTCTGGAGGCTGAGAAGGGAGGATTACTTGAGCTCAGGAGGTAGAAGTTATAGTCAGCAAGATCGTGCCACTGTACTCCAGGTTGGGCAACAGAACAAGACTCTATCTCAAGAAAAAAAAAAGACAGAGAGAGAGAGAATGAGGAATGATGCCTGGCAAGTGGTGAGTAGTCTATAATATTGGCTATTGCTTCTTTAAAACAATCATTACACATAGCGTAGGGGACATTTGTTTATTCACAGACAAAGCAGCCAGGCCTGGAGTGCCTAGCTGTGTATACTGTAACTGTCATCTACCACTCAAACACGGGTCCTGTGGACCAGAGAGTCAGTCACTGTAACCACAAAAATGTCATCAACACAGGGTTATAAAGCTATGAGCACGATGCAGTGCCTCATGTCACATATAGAATGACTGCCATTTCTGCTGCCATGTGCACATTTTATGTATCATTTCACATTGAAATGATTAATACTCTCTGAGATGAACAAATTTTGCTCTTGGCTTGAGAGATGGGAACGGAAGCCCAGGGAGGTCGCGGCTATGCACAGGGGTCTCACTGCCAACTCAACGTGCTTCCACCGCTGCATCCCAGCGGTGGAATATGAGGACATTCAGCATCATCATGTTTGTGTTGACTTGGTGGCATAGAGCATGGGGTAAGGACATGATGCTGCAGTCAGCCTGTATGAGTGCAAATCCCAACTCTGCCACGATGTGTGTGACGCAACCTCTCTGTGTCTCAGTCTCATCAGCTGGAGTATAATAATATCTGCTTGTAAAATTAAATGATTTAATTCATGTAAGGAACTTAGAATGGTGCCTGGCAAACAGTGAGTCATCTATAACATTAACTGTTGCTTTTTTTTCTCTCATTACATATAGCATGGGGGATATTTATTTACTCACAGACAAAACAGCTAGGCCAGATATGCTCACTTGTGTATCCTGCTATTCTCATCTACTACATGAACATGTGTCCTGTGGTCAAAAGGGACATTTGCTCTTCCCATATAATAGTCATCAACACTAGGGATATAAAGCTATAAGCAAGATTCCATGCTTCATGTCAGATGAAAAAGAATGTCATTTCTGTACTCACAGTCACTGTATTTTACTTAACTTATAACATTGAAGTGACTGATATTTTCTTAAGTATATTTTTTTATTTAAAGCCAACTCTTTTCCACCAGTGAAAATGAAAATCAGTCTTATTCCACACATAGAAGATAGTCAGAAAAAGCTGGGCACAGTGGCTTACGCCTGTATTCCCAGCACTTTGGGAGGCCGCGGCAACCGGATTACCTGAGGTCGGGAGTTGGAGACCAGCCTGGCCAACTTGGTGAAACCTGGTCTCTACTAAAAATACAAAAATTACTTGGCATGGTGGCACACGCCTGTAGTCCCAGCTACTCTGGAGCCTTATGCAGGAGAATTACTTGAGCCCGGGAGACAGAGATTGCAGCCAGCCGAGATCGCGCCACTGCACTCCAGCCTGGCCGACAGAGGGAGACTCCGTCTCAAAAAAAAAGATTACCAGCAATAGAGAAGTGCTGACAAACCTGGGCCAAAGGAAGGCTTGATCTTGGACACTTTCTCTTGAAACGCTGGCTAGATTCAAATCAGTGTAAACTGTTTAGCTCTGTGATGTTGAGCAAGTTACTTAAACTTCTTGTTACAGTTGTCAGTTTCATTCGCGTCCATGTGAAGAGACCACCAAACAGGCTTTGTGTGAGCAACATGGCTGTTTATTTCACCTGGGTGCAGGTGGGCTGAGTCCGAAAAGAGAGTCAGCGAAGGGTGGTGGATTATCATTAGTTCTTGTAGGTTTTGGGACAGGCGGTGAAGAGCAATGTTTTGTGGGCAGGGGTGGATCTCACAAAGTACATTCTCAAGGGTGGGGAGAATTACAAAGAAACTTCTTAAGCGTGGGGGAGATTACAAAGTATCTTCTTAAGGGTGGGGGAGATTACAAAGTACATTGATCAGTTAGGGCGGGGAAGAAACAAATCACAATGGTGGGATGTCATCAGTTAAGGCTATTTTTACTTCTTTTGTGGATCTTCAGTTACTTCAGGCCATCTGGATGTATATGTGCAAGTCACAGGGGATGCGATGGCTTGGCTTGGGTTCAGAGGCCTGACAGTCAGATTAGTAAAACAGGTCATAAATAGTATTTCTGTCAGGCCTCTGAGCCCAAGCCAAGCCATCGCATCCCCTGTGACTTGCACGTATACGCCCAGATGGCCTGAAGTAATTGAAGAATCACAAAAGAAGTGAAAATGCGCTGCCTTGCCTTAACTGATGACATTCCACCACAAAAGAAATGAAAATGGCCTGTTCCTGCCTTAACTGATGACATTATCTTGTGAAATTCCTTCTCCTGGCTCATCCTGGCTCAAAAGCTCCCCTACTAAGCACCTTGTGACCCCCACTCCTGCCCGCCAGAGAACAACCCCCCTTTGACTGTGATTTTCCTTTACCTACCCAAATCTTATAAAACGGCCCCACCCCTATCTCCCTTCGCTGACTCTCTTTTCGGACTCAGGCCGCCTGCACCCAGGTGAAATAAACAGCCTTGTTGCTCTCACAAAGCCTGTTTGGTGGTCTCTTCACAAGGATGCAAGTGAAAATTTCCCTTTAGGATTGTTGGGAGTGTTCAAGGAATTAATGATTTAAAGAGGCCTGGCACATTCTAAATGTTACATGATAAGAACATTGAACAGAAATACCCACTTCTCTCCTTGATTGACCGCAGGGTCTGCATGTCACCTAAAGTCATCCTCTTTGGAGGGCATCCCTCATTTTCAAAACTGCCATCCTGCAGTGGGGTGGCCGGCAGGCCTGGAAAGTCCCGGAGAACTATATGAAAAGGAGGAAACTGACAAATGTGCCCGCCATCACCTCAGAGGAGGAGCATGGAGGGAAGAGAGAGAGGCCGACCCGTGGTCGCCACGATCTGTCTACAGGGGAAAAGAGTTTGAGGGTCTTAGGTGGGAAGAGTTACAGGTAATGAGGGGGGAGGGCGAGGGAGAAGCAAAAGTCACCTCCACCATGGCTCATCTGCACACTGCTCACTCGCTCTGCTCCCGGCTCTAGCCAATGAAGAAGGTGAGCAAGAGGATGGACCCGGATGCACACGGACCCGGGAGAGGCGAAGCTGAGGACGACTGTGCGGGGGAGGGAGAATGGAGGGGGTGGGGACAGCGCGACCACCTGGGAATGGGAAATGGCCCTCAGGGTGGCAGGGGCGGCGCGTACCTCTGGCAGCATAGCCCCTCCCGCACGAGCGGGCCCCAAAAGGGCGGTCCCCGGGAGCCCACCAGGCTGCACTCAGGGGATGGTGCGCCTGACCCGCCTGCTGCGCACAGCTCAACCCAAGACCGCAGGCGCCGCGGATTCCGCGTGGGGGTGGGTGAGAAGGGTACTCTGCACCCGGCCCCCTCTTCTAACTATAAATTGAGCTTCCGGTTCCTAGAATCCACCACGCCTCCCACCTGCCCCACTGCTTCTTCTCCTCTCCCTTAGGAACTCTAGCTTCACCTCGCTTCGTAATGGACCCCAATTGCTCCTGCTCCACTAGTAAGGGATACCGGGTTTCGGGGCTTTAGAATATCCATTTCCATTCCAGAGGATAGAATGTACCCGGGGCAGGAGGGAGGTGCATGTTAGCTCTTCCTAAAGTGGCCTCCTTTACTTTGCACTTCTCGTGTTTTTCCCTGTCAAGCGCCTTCATTACCACTTGGAATGTTGCCATCTTCCCAGCGCCCCCCCACTTTTTTTTTGTTTTTTTGTTTGTTTTTTGTTTTGTTTTGTTTTGTTTTGAGACGGAGTCTTGCCCTGTCGCCCAGGCTGGAGTGCAGTGGCCCGATCTTGGCTCACTGAAAGCTCCGCCTCCCGGGTTCACGCCATTCTCCTGTCTCAGCCTGAAGAGTAGCTGGGACTACAGGCGCCCGTCACCACGCCCGGCTAATTTTTTGTATTTTTGGTAGAGACAGGGTTTCACCGTGTTAGCCAGGATGGTCTCGATCTCCTGACCTCGTGATCCGCCCTCCTCGGCCTCCCAAAGTGGCCCTCCCATTTTTGAAGCGAGAAGACTGAGGCTCAAAACTGCCAGGTCACCCAGATAGCCAGTGGGTTCCCGGGCTGGGACCCAGTGCTCTGTCCAGCATTAGAGCTGCCTGAGGTGGATGGGAGGCAGGGAGCATTGCCTCTTAGGGATTCCTGATATAAGGCCTTGGGGAGTAAAATTAGGAGGGCGCCTGCCCATCCCAGCCTGTGGGGAAAAAAGGTGGAGCTGGGCTTCCGTGTGCCTGAGTGGAACAAGGTACCAGGTTTCCCATGCACTGAGCAGGAGGATGCTGAGGGCCTGCTCCTAACCCTGCAGCACACTCACTGCTCACTGCCTTTTTCTCTTCACCTGCACCTGCACCAGCTCCTGCAAATGCAGAGAGTGCAAATGCACCTCCTGCAAGACGAGTGAGTGAGGGGCCTTCCCTGGGAATCGCAGGGAGCGGGGGTGCTGGGCTGAGTCAGAGGAGGGATCTCAGATTCTGCAGGCAGGAGCAGGCTCATCACTAGCTTCCCACATCCCCTGAAACGGATTCAGGATCAGAGCTGGAAGAACATTAGGGATGGTTGATTCCTACCCAACCTTCATTCTTAACAATGGGGAAACTGAGGTCACAAGAATGTACCAGCTGGCCAACCACAGACCTGATTCTTGAGGGCTTTTCTCACTGAAATGTATGGTCCTGGGGAATTGCCCTTCCTTTGTCCCCACAGTCCCAGTCACTGCCTGTCCAGTCTTCTGCTCTGTCCTGGCTCTGGTGGGGCTGAGCAAGTTTTTCACAGGAAGGCTCTCACTCCAAAGATCCACCATTGTCTCACAGAGCACACCATCCGGACCTAAAGCTCCTCTGGGTCTGGGTGCGAGCTTGAGCCAGGCCCACTGTTGGGGCAGAGAGGTGCCTGTTCAAGTCTGCTGTGACCTGTCACTCTCCCCTTCTTCCCCAGGCTGCTGCTCCTGCTGCCCCGTGGGCTGTGCCAAGTGTGCCCAGGGATGTGTTTGCAAAGGGACACTGACAAGTGCAGCTGCTGCTCCTGATGTAGGGAAAGCTGTGTTCCCAGAAGTAGAAAGTGTACAAACCTGGAATTGTTTTCCATACAACCCTGACCCATTAGTACATTTGGGTTTCTAAAAATAAAATATGTTAATGATAATAAAAGTTGACTTTATTCTGGCTCAGTTTTGTTTTGTGTGCCTTGGAAAAAAGTGATCTGATACCCAACAGAGCTGGGATAAGCAATTGCATTGAGAGTCCAGACACATGGGTGCTGGTACCACGTCCTATCACCTTACACACTGAGTGCCTTAAGACAAATCACATTACCTGTCTCTGCTAAAAAATGTAAAAGCATTATACATGTAGGCCGGGCATGGTGGCTCACACCTGTAATTGCAGTACTTTGGCAGGCCAAGGTGGGCAGATTACAAAAGGCCAGAAGTTCAAGACCAGCCTGGCCAACGTGATGAAACCCCCATCTCTACTAAAAATACAAAAATTAGCCACGAGTGGCGTCGGGTGCCTGTAATCCCAGCTATTTGGGAGGCTGAAGAAGGAGAATCACTTGAACCCGGGAAGTTGTGGTTGCAATGAGCCGAGATTGCACCACTGCACTCCTGCCTGGGTAACAAGAGGGAAACTCCATTTCAAAAAAAAACCAAAAAAACAGTATACATGTAAGAGATATAATGGCATAGGCGTGGGCATCTGTAACAGACCTAAGCTTTGGGAAAATGAACTAAAATGAATTAGTATGAAATATAAAAACAAAATCTACTTTTTAATATTAAACAGGCAAATTATTAATAAATATAAATATATGAAAACAAAAAAATACATACAAAAAACAATGTATGAAAAACAAAATATATGACTATATTTAAATATATTAAAAAACAGAAAAATAAAAATTTACAGACATTGCATATATGTTCTAGGTTGCGTATTTCAGACTGGGAACAGTTTGTAGACTAACCCTCATGCGTGGATCACACACCTTCAGCAGTGCTGGCCTGGACATGTCCAAAAGGAACTATCAGTCCTGAACGGCACCATGTCACTCATGGAACTCTCGCTACCCCTGAGAGCTCCTTGTTCTGACTTGGCTCTGAATCTTTGGAAGTTTCTCCCAAGGTCAGGCTGCAGTCTCCTTCAAATTCCAGCCCTTGGTTACTTCAGGCCAGTGCAGTGAATAGGCAGGTGGAGCGAAGTGTCCAGCATCGTCCTGGCAAGCTGACTATAGATAGCAACTGGGGTTCCCAGGTGAAGTATTTTGACTCCGCCTCTGCAGGGGTGATGGCATATTCTGTACTTTGAAGGTGTGTGGTGTTCATTGAGAAGGATGAGGACTGATCATTGCTACCAACAGCTGGTACCTCCAGCTATCTGCTCAGGGAATTGTTATTCGAGGTTCAATCACAGGGAAGATGAGACAAGTGACCCAGGAGTCAAGACCTAGATGGGCTGCAGGTGCTCTTTGTGATGAGGGAATTTCAGAAGGTAGCCTGGGCCAAGTGCAGGCTTTGGTGTCAAACAACCGGGTTCACAGCCCACTTCACTCCTGACTGGCTGTGTGGCCTGCACAAGTCACTTAACCTCTCTGAGCCTCCATTTCCTCATCTGTATACAGGAGATTATATTTCCATGTAGGGATCAAATGGGACAGTGGCCTGGTACTAGTGGCCTAGGGCTTACTGAACAGTGCTATTATAATCATTTGTCCATGTGGACTTTCTAGACAGACAATCCTATTAGCTCCCATCAAGCTCCTTGGAAAAGGCCCATCTGCCTGCGGGTATTATGTGGACTGGAAGTTGGAGATGGATTTGGAGTCTTGCTGTTCTGGTCTCAAGGGCATGTGGATGACCTCCTGCACCTGCTCTCCAGGATAAGACACTGCTCCAGCATTCAGACAGAGAACAAGCCTTTCCCACCTTTCAAGTCATTTGATCTTCACACAAACCAGACACACAGTGAATGTGAAGGGTTTGGTGAGATGGTGCTGTCTTCTAGAGGAGTTGTACTGTCTTCTAAAGGAGTTAAGCAATCTTCCCAAGGTCACATAGTTTAGAAGTAAAGGCATGAATGAATCTATGCTGTGGGTGTCCTCATGCCCTCGCCATAGTGAAATATCACGCTGTCAATGGATGCTAAGCCCGGCCTCTCACATTCCAGAGCTGGAAGGGCCCATGGTTAGTTAGCCCAATTGTGACCCTGACTTGATAGCTGGTGAACTGAAGCCAGAGAGGACACACAGCTATTCAGAGGCTCTGACTGCCAGCTCAGTGCTCTTACCACTGTGCCTCTGTGCCAGAGTTAGTGTCCTCATGTGTCACACGACAGGGTGACACAGGCTTGTGGTTGAGGGCATTATTCTATGGTCAGCCTGTGTGAGTGCCAATCCCGGATGTGTCATCATGTATACCTGGGTGACACAACCTCTCTGTGGCTCAGTTCCTGCACTGTAAAAGGGGCAGAATATAATAATACATCATGTGCTGTATAAGGACGTTTTAGTTATAGATGCACTGCATATAGCATAGTGGTCCTATAAGGTTATAAGGTAACTGTACTCTACCTTTCTATGTTTAGCTATGTTTAGATACACAAATACCACTGTGTTATCATTGCCTTCAGTATTCAGTACAGTAGCATGCTGTACAGGTTTGAAGCCTAGGAGCAATAGGCCATATCACATAGCCTAGGTCTGTGGTAGGCCATAATATCTAGGTTTGTTATTGTACTCTTTACACTGTTTGCACAACATGAAATCACCCAACAATGCATTTCTTAGAATGTATTCCCATCACTAAGCAGCATATGACTGTAATGGGGTCTGACTTGTAGAAATAAATGATTTAATAGGTATAAAGAAATTAGAATGGTGCCTTGCACATGGCAAATGATCTATAATATTAACTATTATTTTGTTATTTTTATTCATGGCTGCTATGGTCTAAATGCTCGTATGCCTCCAATATTCATATGTGCAAATCTAATTTTCAGTGTGTTGGTACTGAGGTGGTGCATTTGGGAGGTGACTGAAATAAGAGGACCTAGTGCTCATGAATGGGATTAGTGCCTTAATTAGAGAGGCCTGAGGGAGCTTGTTTAACTCTTTCCACCATGTGAGGACCCAGCAAGAAAGAGACATCCGTGAGGAACGGGGCCCTCACAAGACTCCAAATATGCTGGTGCCTTGACCTTGGACTTCCATGCTTCCAGAACTGAGAGAAATATATTTTGCTGTTTTAAGTTACCCAGTCTAAGGCATCTGGTGATAGCAGCCCAAATGGACTCAGACGATAGCATAGTTGACATTTTTACTCCAGACAAAAGAGCCAGGCCTGGAGTCCCTCCCTGTGTGTCCTCTGTCTTTCTCATCAGCCACATGAGCATTGACCTGTGGTCCTGACAGTGTCCTGCACTCTGCCCACAAAATAGGGATTCACTCCAGAAATATAAAGCCATGAGCAAGATAGTCCCTGTCCCCATCACAGAAACGGAAGGATACCTGCCAGTTCTGCTACCACCTGCACCAATATGTGACTTAACGTTTTTCTTTCAAATGATTCCTATTTCCTTAGATATTTTTATATGAAAAGCAAACTCATTAGCACCACTGAAAAAAGAATCAGTTTAACTTCCAGACATAGAAGGTTGCCATCAAATTATGCTTATTCATATCCCCTCTGCATCTCTGTTTTGCTTCCAGGACTGACCTTGATGCTTGGTTTTGTTTAAAGATTTCAAGCAGTAAAGAGATGAATATATCTAGGCCAAAGGGAAGCTTCATCATTGCTTTGGGACGCTGACCGGATTCAGACCCAGCAGTGTCACTTCGCAGCCCTCTGACCCTGGGCTGGTGGCTTGAACTCCTTTTATTGTTGTTGTTCAGATTAGAATATGGGTTCATGAATAGAAGTATGTCCCTTTAGGGTTGCTGTGAGGGTTCAACGATGCAAAGTGACTAAAAAGGGCCTAACACGGATTAATGTTATGTAGAGTAATAGGAATATGGAAGGAAAAATAACCCTGTTTCTTGCATTTTAATTTAATCCGGAATCCGCATATCACCTAAAATGATCCCTTTTCTGGGAGCATTCCACATTTTCCAAACTGTCATCCTGTGGTGGGGTGCCCGGCTAGGCTATGGGGAGACCTGGAGAGTTTTATGCAAAGGAGGACCTGGGCAAATGTGCCCATTCAGCCTCTCAAGAGTGGAGAATGCAAGGACGGGGGCAGAGCCCTGTGTCTGTTCTGTCCCTAGACATAAGAGAAACGTGGCCAACAGACCGAGGTGGGGACGGGGACAGGGACCGGCAATGCAGGAAATCCGAGTGTCACATCCTCTGCCTCTCATTTGCACACTGCTCCCTCGCTATGCTCACCGCTCCCGCCGATCCAGGGACGTGATCCAGGGACTCTGGGAAATGCAAAGCTACACACAGTGGAGCGGGGGCTGGGGGTGTGTAGACCGCCGGGATTCCGAGTTTCCCGGCACGCCTAGGAGAGGGAGAGGCAGGCAATGTCAGGGAAATTGGGCAGGCAAGACGCCAGGGACGCCACGTACTGCCAGGTTCTCAACGAGGTGGAGCCAAAGGGGCAGGCCCCGCGGTGCGCCCGGCGCTGGGCTCACGGGTTGCTGCACCCGGCCCAGGATCGCGGGCGGTGCAGACTCAGCAGGGGCGGGTGCAAGGACGAGGCGGGGCCTCTGCGCCCGGCCCTCTTCCCGGACTATAAAGAGAGCCGCCGGCTTCTGGGCTCCACCACGCTTTTCATCTGTCCCGCTGCGTGTTTTCCTCTTGATCGGGAACTCCTGCTTCTCCTTGCCTCGAAATGGACCCCAACTGCTCCTGCTCGCCTGGTAAGGGACACCTAGCTCCGCGCCTTGGGATGCCCGTTTCCCAGCCACAGTACAGACTCTTCCTGGGTTTGAAGAAGTCGCATTTAAAGTTCTGAGCTGAAGGGGCTCCTTTATTTCGTTAGGTGCTTTCTTCCCGATCACGTCCCTGAGACCACTTCTCGCCTCCCTGTGCCTCTAAGTTAGAGTTGAGGGTACTGAGGCCCAAGGCTGTCCTGCTCCATGTCACCCAGTTGGTCAGGGGGCTGCTGGCTGAGCCCCAATGCTCTGACCAGGCTCTGAGCAGTCAGGGTGGATGGGAAGTGGGGGGCCATTGCCTCTTCGGAGTTCAGGACAGAAGGTTCTGGCCTCCTGTCTTAGCCTTCCTGGGCTGTGTCTGGAGCCTGGGACCTTGCTTGTGGGGTAAAAGCAACAGAACACTTGCCCTTCCCAAAATGAAGGGAGAGGAGATGGGGCTTCTCTTCCTCTCCCCTGAGTGGGAAAGGAGCTCTGGGGGCTGGTCCTTCAGCACAGAGGAGGGGTCACTGAAGCGTTATTGACCAGCTGCTGTACCTTCTGCATCTCACTCCACGCTCACTGCCTTTTTCTCTTCCTTGCAGTTGGCTCCTGTGCCTGTGCCGGCTCCTGCAAATGCAAAGAGTGCAAATGCACCTCCTGCAAGAAGAGTGAGTGCAGGGCCTTCCCTGCGAATCTGGGGGATGGGCCAAGTTAGAGCAGGGAACCCAGAGCTCTGCAGGCAGGGGCAGGCCAATGACCAGCTTCCCCAAACCCCTCCTTCAACACCTGATTCAGAATCAGACCTCAAATTGCCTTAAAAATGGGTGAGTCCCAGCCTCTTATTACCAAACTAGAAACTGAGGCCCAGAGAGGTTACCAGATAGTGTTGGGAACAAAGCTGGAATGTGAACCTAGGTCTCCTGCCTCCTGATGCAGCCTTCTTCACCCTTCTGGGTCCTGAAGCACTTAAGGCCCAGGATCTGGAAGACCCCGGGTGATTTCAAACCTAATGATCCAGTCCTTTCCTGCAGGGGTAGCCCAGAGCTTCCCTAGCCTTCCCCAGAACTGCTGTGTCAGGGATTTGCCCCCTGTCCGGCTGTGAAGACTTTCCTCATTTAAGGGTAGGTTTTGGGGAACTGGCCTCCTTTTG